>NC_000017.11:81442131-81742542 GCF_000001405.40 Homo sapiens | reverse complement strand
TATTGTGTTTTCTGTGTGTGATGTGTGTGTGGTGTGTGTGCTGTGTGTTTGGGGTGTGTGGTGTGTGTATTTGTGGGGTGTGTGTGGTGTGTGTGGTGTGTGTGTGGTGTGTTATGTATTGTGTGTTTTCTGTGTGTGGTGTGTGTGGTGTGTTTGTGGAGTGTGTGTGGTGTGTGTGTGTGGTGTGTTTGTGGGGGGTGTGTGTGTGGGGGTGTGTGAGGTGTGTGTGAGGTGTGTGTGTGGTGTGTATTGTGTATTTTCTGTGTGTGGTGTGTGTGATGTGTGTGTTTGTGGAGTGTTTGTGGTGTGTATGTGGGGGGGTGTTTGTAGAGGGGGGATGTGTTTGCGGGTGTGTGTGTGTGTGAGGCCCCCGCGTGTCGCTCACTCCTTCAGGGCCTCTTCGGAGCAGCAAGGATGCCAGGGCTCTGGAGGGGCTGCCTCTCCCCCAGAAGGCCTGGCCAGGGCGAGCCTCCAGGGCTGAGGTGCGAGGGGCTCCCGTCCAGGCACACCCAAGACCCAGTGCAGCGAGGTGGGGGAAGGGTGTGTCCCTCTGGCCCGGCTGCAAATCTGATCATGGGCCCCCAGCGACGGTGCCGGGTGCAGGCACTGGGGTAGGCAGCCTCGGAGGCCCCTGGTGACCAGGACTCTCGCTCCAGCCTCTCCGGCCACCTCAACCCTGCACGCAGCAGGTGTTCCCCAATCAGGGCACCAGGATGGACCCTCGGCCGAGATGGGGCTGGTCAGAGACCAGAGTGTGTGTGTGTGTGACCCGGGTGTGGCCGCGCCTGGAGGTCCATCTCTGTGGAAGGCTGGGCTCTCCTCCCCGTTTCACAGATGGGGCGCCCAGGGCTCTGGAGGTGGCTTGCCAGGGAAACCCTCAGACCCCCTGGAGCCGGGTCCTAGGGAAAGTTTGGTGGGCGCTGCCCAGCCTGGCCCTGGCTTGTGGGAAGCAGGCTGGACTGAGGGACTCAAAGTCGTCCTCCCATGGCCGCCCCTCCTCTCCCTGAGTGAGCCCCCCATCCTCCTGCAAAAGGGGAGGTTGTAATGAGGGCACCTGTGTCCCGGCATCTGCCTCGCCAGACACTCTCGCCCTGAGCTACCATCAAGGTCATCAGGCTCTGCGAAGTCACATTAGGCTGCATCTGGCGAGGCTCGATCAAATCAGGCCAGTTGGCGGGATGGTGGAGGTGGACGGGGCCAGGCTCCGATCAGCAACAGGTGCGGGAGCTGCGGGTCCTGGGCAGCGCCGGCGGGGAGGCAGGGGCACAGGGCAGGGAGGAGCAGCGCGATCCCTGGATTCCCCACAGGGTGCGGGGGCAGCAAGGTCTGATGGGGACAGACAAGCCTCAGGCCCGGGGCTGTGAGGGGAGCCTGGGTTGGGGGGGGTGCCCAGAGGGGGCAGGCGTGGGTGCTGAGGGGTGGTCTCAAAGCCCCTGGTGCGGGGTGAGGACCAAGATGTGTCTTGGGTTCCCTGTGGCTTCAAGGAGGGGCTGGGGAGGGAGGCTGGGGGAGGGAGGGGCTGGGAGGGCTGGAGGGGGTCCCGCAGGAAGCCCGGAAGAGGCCAAGCCTGCACTGTGCGGTGGCCCCTGGGACCTCCAGACTGTCCAGGGCCAGGAGCACCACTGGGCTTCCTGCCCCGCGCCTCCCGCCCTGCGTGCCGCTCACGGCCTCAGTGCTCCCCCCGCCAGCGCGGCGGGTGTTTCTCCACCAACTTCCCTGCTGGGCATGGGGTGGTGGCGGCGCACGGCTGTAGGGCTCACCCGGGATGGCCTGGCCTGGACCCAAGTGGACGGGACTCACCACCAAGCCTGGTCTCCCGCGTTTGAGAGGTGCAGGGGTGTCACCGAGACTGAAGGCGAGAAAAAAGCTCAGGGCAGCCGGCAGCAGTTCAGGGCCTCCGGTGAGATCCAGAAGACCCAATCGCGGCGGTGTTCTCTCCTCAGAATGTGTTTATTGAGGTCCTGACCCTCATTTCCTGAGAACGGGGCTGTATTTACAGATATGGCCTTTAAAGAGGGGATTACAGCGAGTCCTGTTCCCACATGACCGCTGGCCTTGTTTTTTTTTTCCTTTGAAATGAAGTCTTGCTCTGTCACCCAGTCTGGAGTGCAGTGTCACGAGCTTGGCTCACTGCAACCTCCACCTCTTGGGTTCAAGTGATTCTTCTGCTTCGCCTCCTGAGCACCTGGGATTACAGGCACCCACCACCACACCCGGCTAATTTTTGTATTTTTTAGTAGAGATGAAGTTTCCCCATGTTGGTCAGGCTGGTCTCGAACTTCTGACCTCAGGTGATCCACCCGTCTCGGCCTCCCAAAGTGATGGGATTACAGGCGTGAGCCACCGCGCCTGGCCCACCCCCACCCCCACCCCCATCCCCCACTTTTTTTATTTTTTGAGACGGAGTCCCACTCTGTCACCCAGGCTAGAGTGCAATGGTGCGATCTTGGCTCACTGCAACCTCCGCCTCCTGGGTTCAAGCGATTCTCCTGCCTCAGCCTCCCGAGTAGCTGGGATTACAGGCGCTGGCCACCACACCTGGCTAATTTTTATATTTTTAGTAGAGACGGGGTTTCACCATGCTGACCAGGCTGGTCTGGAACTCCTGACCTCAGGTGATCCGCCCGTCTTGGCCTCCCAATGTGCTGGGATTATAGGCATGAGCCACCACGCCCGGCCTGAGTCGTGTCCTGAGAAAAAGAGATAAGGGCCAGGCTCAGTGGCTCACACCTGTAATCCCAACACTTTGGAAGGTCGAGGTGGGAGGATGGCTTAAAGCCAGTTGAGCCTGGGCAACATAGTGAGACCCCATCTCTACAACAAAATATAAAAAATTAGTCGGGTGTGGTGACACATGTCTGTGGTCCCAGCTACTTGGGAGGCTGAGGTAGGAGCATCACCTGAGCCTGGGAGGTCTAGGCTGCAGTGAGCTATGATAACACCACTGCACTCCAGCCTGGGTGACAGAGAGAGAGAGACCCTGTCTTCAAAAAAAAAAAAAGAAGAAGCGAAAAGAAAAAGAAGAGAGACTAGGACACAGATACACACAGAGGGATGACTCTGTGTGAGGAGTCAGGAGAAGAGGGCCATCTACAAGCCAGGGAGAAAGGCCTCAGGAGGAACCAACTCTGCAGGCACCTTGGTCTCGAACTTCCAGCCTCCAGGACAGTGGGAGAATGGGCTGCTGTTGGAGCCCTGTTCTATGGCACCTTGTTATAGAAGCCCCGGAAACGAATGCAGCTCCACCACAGCATTGACAGCGAGCCTCATTCCGAAAGCCAGAGTGCAGACGGGGCCAACCCTCGGGCCCAAGCTCTGATCCCAGGGCGGTGGCGTCTGGTCTGCCTCCCGTGTTGAAGTCAGGGCCCCGGTGGCAGCGGGGGGTGGGACGCTATGACCTGGATGCGGTATTTGGGTAGAAGCCTCTTAGATCCCTGCCCTCTGTTCCCTCCGCAGTGGCGGGAGTGGCTCCCACTGCCGGGACCTTGCAAAGGTCTCACCTGAGGCGAGTGTCCTCCTTAGGGTCTGCCTGTCCTCGTCCCCCGCAAAATTCTAGGCCAGTAACTAGGGTGTTCTGTCCCTGCGACTGGAGGGTGTGGGTTATTCTGCAAGGAGCTGCGGCCTGGCAGGACGGGGAGGACGGGTGGAAATGGAGATGGAGGATGCTGGAGGGGAGGGCGGAAGAAGGCCCGCGTGGGGCCTTTATTGATTGAAAGGAGCATTTTCCAAATCCCGGTAAGGATGCCGGGAACCAGGCCGAATCCGCTGCTGGGTCAGCTCCTGGGAGCTTGGGGCAGGTGCACAGGCTGCCTCGGCCCAGTGTCGAGGGAGGGCCGGGAGACGGAGGAACAGGAGTGCTGGGTTGTGTTTTTGAGCTGGGAGGTGCTGGTATTGGAAAAGGACCCGGAGGACACGCTGGTCGCCAGGCGATAAGGAACCACCGGCCCTCAGCATCAAGGAGCTCAGTGTCCCCCTGGGCCAGGGTTGGTGGCAGAAGAGCCTCCCTCGGAACTGGCTCCTAGTATGTCAGGGTGAGGGGACCCCAGAATGGCATCAACAAGGAACGCGTGGCCCATCGACAGGCGGCAAGTCAGGCATGGCTCCCTGGGGCTTGGGCCTCCAGGAGGCGAGGACTTGGTGTCCTAAGGGGCAGGTATTAGCTGTCTACTGCCCGTAACAAATCACCCGACACTCAGTGCCGTAGAAGAGCAGGCATTTATTATCTCCAAGTTTCTGTAGGACAGAAGTCTGGGTCCCCTGCTCAGGGACCTTCACAAGGCTGCAGCCGAGGTGTGGGCCAGGCCCGTGGGCCTCTCAAGGCCCGACTGTGGGGTCCCTTTGCAAGCTCACCCTCCACCGTCTCAGGCCTCGGGTCCCTGACTGCTGGCTGGAGGCCTCAGTTTCTTGCCACGAGGGCTTTTTCTTGGGGCGGCTCAGCACCTGGCAGCCAGCTCTGCTCAGAATGTGTAAGAGAGAGAGAGGAAAACAGAAGCCCAGTGTTGGCGTGACCTCCCCTTGGAAGGACAGCCCGTCACTTTGGCTACAACCTATTCATAGAAGGGAGCCCGCTCCCACCCACACTCCAGGTGGGGGTAACTCACTGGGGCACCAACACAAGTGGGCTCGTGGGGCCACCCTAGAGGCTATGATGGATAGAGGGAGCAATGGATGGGCACACAGGAGTGCCACAAAAGAGACAAGAGTGGGTGACCTGCTGGGCACAGTGGCTCATGCCTGTAATCCCAGGACTCTGGGAGGCCAAGGTGGGTGGATCATCCGAGGTTGAGAGTTCGAGACCAGCCTGACCAACATGGAGAACCCTGTCTCTACTAAAATACAAAATTAGCCAGGTGTGGTGGTGCATGCCTGTAATCCCAGCTACTCGGGAGGCTGAGGCAGGAGAATCACTTGAACTCGGGAGGCAGAGGTTGCAGTGAGCCAAGATTGCGCCATTGCACTCCAGCCTGGGCAACAAGAGCAAAACTCCGTCTCAAAAAATAAATAAATAAAAAAAGAAGAAGAAGAGTGGGTGACTCCTTGCCGACATTCCAGACCTGAGCCTGGTCTCAGGCAGCCACACAAGGAGAGAGGAAACCACACAGGTCACTTGTGAGCTGTGAGTATGGGCCAGGCACAGCGGCTCACACCTGTTATCCCAGCACTTTGGGAAGCCAAAACAGGAGGATTACTTGAGACCAGGGGTTTGAGACCAGCCTGGACAACATAGTGAGACTCTGTCTCTACTACAAAATTTTAAAATTAGGCCAGGTGTGGTGGCTCACACCTGTAATCCCAGCATTTTGGGAGGCCAAGGCAGGCGGATCATGAGGTCAGGAGATGGAGACCATCCTGGCTAACACAGTGAAACCCCATCTCTACTAAAAATACAAAAAATTAGCTGGGCGTGGTGGTGGACGCCTGTAGTCCCAGCTACCCGGGAGGCTGAGGCAGGAGAATGGCAAGAACCTGGGAGGCGGAGCTTGCAATGAGCTGAGATTGAGCCATTGCACTCCAGCCTGGACGACAGAGCGAGACTCTGTCTCAAAAAAATAAAAAATAAAAAATTAGCCAGGTGCAGTGGTATGTGCTTGTGGTCCCAGCTAATTGGGAGGCTGAGGTGGGATGATCGCCTGAGCCTGGGAGGTCAAGGCTGCAGTAAACCGTGATCGTGCCACTGCACTTTAGCCTGGGCAACAGAGAGCGAGACTCCATCTCTAAAAAAGTATTAAACATAGGCCAGGTGCAGTGGCTCACACCTGTAATCCCAGCACTTTGGGAAGCCAAGGCGGGCGGATCACCTGAGGTCAGGAGTTCGAGACCAGCCTGGCCAACATGGTGAAACCCCGTCTCTACTAAAAAGACACAAATTAGCCGGGTGTGGTGGTGGGCGCCTATAATACCAGCTACTCGGGAGGCTGAGGCAGGAGAATCGTGTGAACCCAGGAGACAGAGGTTGCAGTGAGCCGAGATCGTGCCACTGCACTCCAGCCTCGGCGACAGAGTGAGACTCTGTCTAAAAAAAAAAAAAAAGACAAGATGGCAATGCCCATCAATCCTTGTTAAATTCACGGGCACAATTCCCACAAAAAACCAGATGGACCCTGGCAGATGCCATGGACAGCCATAAACTCAGGGGAGCAGCAGCCACACAGCAGCGGCTGAGCCAACTTGCTGTCTTCCCTGGAGTGAGCCACGCAGCGCTGGCCCACAGTAGGTGGAGACGGACCTAGTGAGCATGTTCGTCCCAGCCTGGCTCAGCAGGGCTGGAAGCTGGCATTCACCTGGAGCCCGCTCAGTCTGCAGTCCCTGCCCCGCCCCAGAGTGTGTTAACGCTCCTGCCGTCACCACAATTCTAGTGCTTGAAGAGCCCAAGTATCAGTTGAGATATTATTGGTTGTAAGTCATTGGAAACTCAACTGAAATGGGCTGGAAAGACAAATGGATCACATCACTAGATGATTTGGGGAGCACCCGCAGGAGCAGCTGACTCGGGGGCCGGGCTCCCTCTCCGAAGTTCCCTGTGCTCCGCCCACCGCTGTGTTGGTTTCAGCCCTAGGCAACGGCCACTGTCCTATCATCTGCACCGCCTGCGACTCACACCCCTGGAAGTTAGGAGAGTCTCCCCTCCACCAACCGTCAAACCAAAGTCCCCAGTTGCCAAAGACCAGCTCAGCCCAGGTCACGCACCCTCTGCAGCTCAGCCCGTGTGACTGAGAAGTCCCAGGAGAAGGAAGGGGAAGTGGGTGTCTCCAGGCATCACGAAGCCTGCTCTGCGGGGCTACGTGTGTAGACACAGGCTGGTGGAACGCCTTGCCGGAGAGCAGGGGTGGTTCCAGGGAGGTTCCCAGGTCCCAGCTCCACTCTTGGCTGGAGGAAAGCCTAGGAAGATGCCCTCCCGTCTGCAGGATGGTGCGCGTGACTCAGCAGGGACAGAGCTGCCTTTCCGGGTGCCTGGTCCCACAGGGGAAGCCCCAGAGTCTCCCCGGGGAAGGGACTGCAGTGAGGTGCCAGTAAAGCTCAGACCCCTTGGGAAGCAGTGAGCCTTCCCAGCAGGGTGAGCGTGCCCTCTGCATCACACAGGGAACTCCCCCCAGGAGGTCCTGAGCCTGCAGGAGGGGACGGCGGGCCCTGGGTTCTGCCTGACCCGGACTCGGGGGTGGGTGGATGCCCCTGGAAGGGTGGCCTGCAGAGCCCCCAGTGACCGGGACTCTGGGGACCGCAGGGGCTGGGGCTGAGCTGCAGCCAAGAGACCTGCTGCGGAAGGGGGGACCCCTTGCAGACAGCCCATCACTGCCCTGTTCCTGCCGCCAGGTGTGGCATCGGTGTTGCTCCCGGGTCCGGGCAGTGGTGGCCGCTGCACCAGTTCCATCACTGGGGGCTCTCGGGGTTGGGTGCTGGGATAAAGGCAGGCCCCAAGCTTCTGGGATCATGGGTCTGGAGTTGTCCCTGGAAAATAGAGCTGGACCCCTTTTGTGCCCTGAGGGCGGGTGACCACACATGGTCACAGGGCAGGAGGGTGGATTGCAAGCTGAAGTGGGTTGGAGAGACCCTGGAGGGGTTGGAAGTCCCACGCGGGAGACTCAGCTGAGCCTCCTCTGCACCCTGCCTGCAGCTGCTTCCCCTGCAGTGCCCACCCCCAGAGCCCTGCCAAGTCCCAATGGAGCCCCACAATCATCCCCCAACGTTACTCACCTCAGGCGGCCAGAGTCTCCCCTCCATACTCGAAGCTGCCGGGGTCTCCCTGCTGCAGACTCTCCCTAGCAGGGACCCAGACAGACGGACGCTGGTGGCTGGACAGATGGGCTCCCGGGTCTAGGTTGCCCAGCCCAGCCCAGCCCCTCTGTCTCCAGCGTGGGGTCAGACTCCGGGAAGGATGCTGTGGCCTCCATCCTGTGGTCGGCCTGTCCTTCCAGGCTCAATCAGACGTCACCCCGCAGCCCTCCTGAGTCGCCCGGCCCTGCCGTGCCCTCCCCGAGGGGCTAACGAGGCCTTTGCTCTGGCTCTGGCATCCGCCCATCGGCCCAGTGCCAAGTGGAGTCCACATGGTGCCCGCCCAGCACCGGGTGATGGTGACGGTGACGGTGGTGACTGTGCGGGGCCGTCTGGCCTGTGGAAACCTGATCCTACCCCTGGCCCCGGGGCCGGCTAAGTCCCCAAAAGCCCAAAGCCGGGGTTCTAGTGCTGCTTGGGCCTGGGCTGCCCTCTCACGGAAGCTCTGTGGGCACCTCCTCTGTCAGGCGGCCGCCTGGGCCGGATCTGGACCCCAGAGCTGTGTCATTGCGTATTTGCCAGACCATTCATGTCCCAAGCAAACTGGACAACACCGTCTTTGCCATCTCCCCTGCAGACAGCCTGCAGCAGGCTGGGGTTGGGTGAGGAGGACCCTCCAGCAGGACAGGCCGCCCCCACAAACCGAGCCTGATCACCCTGACCCTGTTTCACCCTGGACAGCCGAGGCCTCCCCCAGGGCTGGCTTGGCATAAAGAAGCCCCCATGCCAGCCCTGCCGGGCAGAACCCCATCTGTCCAGGCTGCACTGGGCGCTGCCACCCTCCTCACCCTGCCTGGCTGGCCATGTCCCAGCCCCATTCCAGCACCAAGCCTTCCTGAGCCGACAGCGCCACATGGCTGCCACCCAGAGGCCACTCAGGGAGTGACAGGCCGCTGGCCAGCCGGGTGGACCATCCACCCCACCGCCTCTGCCGGCTTCTCCTCACTCACCTGTTCACACACTCATTCATTTGCTCAATGATTCATTCATCCATCCTTCACAAGGCTGGGTCCTTGGCAGGCGGGGCACAGAGGAAGAACAGGCCTTGTGGCCGCAGGGACGCAGCCAGAGAAGACACACCCAGCCCTGCTCCCCTCCGGCTTCCTAGTGGGGACACAGCCGATGCCTGTAGTTCTTTTGGATTTTTGGTTTTTCTTGAGACGAAGTCTCACTCTGTCGCCCAGGCCGGAGTGCCCTGGCGTGATCTCGGCTCACTGCAGCCTCCACCTCCTGGGTGCAAGCGATTCTCGTGCCTCAGCCTCCCGAGTAGCTGAGATTACAGGTGCGCGTCATCACAGCCGGCTAATCTTTTGTATTTTTAGTAGAGATGGGGTTTCACCATCTTGGCCAGGCTGGTTTCGAACTCCTGAGCTTAAGTGATCCGCCTGCCTCGGCCTCCCAAAGTGCTGGGATTACAGGCTTGGGCCAATGTGCCCGGCTTAGATGCCTGAAGTTTGTAAAAACAGATAATGTCACAGAGAGGGGAGGTCAGTGGAGGAAGCAAACTGCCCCCTGGATGTGTGGGGGGGCCAGGGCAGACAGGAGGGGCCACGAGGGGCAGGAGGAGGGAAGAGCGTGGGACCCTGAGCAGGGCAAGGGCCAATGGGTGGGAAAGGGGCGGAGATGCACAGAGTGACTTCACATCCACTTCTCGGGTGGAGGGCTGGGGGCCGGGCAGAAGGTAGAGCCTGCATCTTCAGAGACCTCCTGGGCCGCAAGGAGGAGGGGCAACAGGTGAGGATGTGGGTGTGGCCTGGGCAACAGGTGAGGGTATGGTATGGCCTGAGTGGCAGGTGAGGTGTAGCCCTGGCCTGGGTGGCAGATGACATGGCCTGGGAGGAGGGTGGTGGGGCAAGGCGCTCTACACGTCTCTTTCCTGGGTCCACCCGTGCCCCAGCGTTCCCCTGCCCCCCACCCCAGGGCATCCCAGGAGTCTCTGGAATCACGCAGAAGACTCAGGACTCTTCAGCTTTTACAGGCAGCCTCCCGTCCTCTGGAGGCTTCCCAGGGGAGGGGCCGCTGGTGTTACTGGTTGGAAGGTCTCGACTGTGAGTTGTTTAGGTTCTTGTGTGCAGAACAAAGAATTGAACACGCACAAAGAAAGCAACAAAAGAATGAAGTAACGAAAGACAAGACAAGCAAAAAACGGAGTGACGAAAGCACAGATTCATTGAAGACCACAAGGTGCAATTCACAGAGAGGCAGCGGGCGGAGCAGGCGGCCCCAGAGCCTCTATGGCAGTGCTCCCCAGGGTTTTTAGGAAGCCAGGAGAATTTGGTAACACCCCAGGTGCCCTTTAGAGGCCTCCAACTGGTGACTCCTTATGAAGGACTGGCTCACAGCCAATCAGAGGCTGAAGTGGAAACTGTCTTGTTACCATAGGAGTGAGGCCCAGTGTTACCCAGAACCAGCTGCCTTTGCTGTTCTCTTGCTCACGCCTCAACCCTGGGTCACCCCAATTATTCCCTCCTCTCCTGCCTCACTGCGAGAGAACAAATCAGTCAATGCTTCAACCTGTGTCTCACCTGCAGAGAGGCTCCCGAGGCACTCGTCCTTCCCGGCAGCCCTGCCCTCTTGTCTTGCCTGGCCCTGTCTGCGCCCCAGTGCATACCTGAACCCCCATGTTCTCCTTTGTCTCCTGCGTCTGGGCCCATGGGGAGCGCCCGGGCAGCCGGCAGGTTGGGGGGAGGGCGCGATTCTGCTTCAGGCCCCGCGGATTCTCCTCTGCCCCAGCGGGCGCACATTTGGGCACCAAGACTGCACTTCTGCGGGGCACGGATCCGGGGGAGGGCAGGTGTCTCTCTAGGCCTCAAATCCAGGCCAGGAGCAGGGGGCGACTGGGCTGGGAGTGGGGAGCACCGCCTGGAGCACCAGCAGACAATGGGCGTCCTCAGCTGTCACCCCCTCCCTCCATTGTCTACTTGGTTGCCTGGCTGTTTTGTTTTGTTTTGTTTTTTTGAGACGGAGTCTCGCTCTGTCGCCCAGGCTGGAGTGCAATGGCGCGATCTTGGCTCACTGCAACCTCCCGTTCCCAGGTTCAAGCAATTCTCCTGCCTCAGCCTCCCAAGTAGCCAGGATTAAAGGTGCCCGCCACAACACCCAGCTAATTTTTGTATTTTAGCAGAGACGAGGTTACACCATGTTGGTCAGGCTGGTCTCCAACTCCTGACCTCAGATGATCCGCCTGCCTCCGCCTCCCAAAGTGCTGGGATTATAGGCATGAGCCACTGCGCCTGGCTCCTGGGTGTTTTTTTTTAATGGCTTTACTGAGACATAATTCACATACCACACAATTCAGAATGCGTCCAGCTCAGCGAGTTTCTGCATCTTCAGAGCTGTGCAGCCGTCACCGCAGGCAGTTTTAGATCATTTCCTCATCTCAGAAAGAGCCCTCCACCCTCCAGCTCCCGCCCCCTTCCCGCATCCCTCCCTCCCCAGCCCTAAGAGCTGTCTCCACAAAGTCGCTCAGGATGCCCCTGTAAGTGCTGCCACACAGCATCTGTCTGCTTATTTCACACAGCACAGTGCCCAAGGTCCGTCGGTGCTGCCGTGTGGATCAGAACTTCATTCTAAGGCCCAAGAGTCCACTGCATTGGGCACAGGACCCCCTGTGTGACCAACCTCTGTTGATGGACACAGCTGTTTCCGCCTCTCTGTGATTATGGATGTGCTGCTATGCACAGGCGCGCACAATGTTTTATGTAGACTCTTTTTTTTTTTGAGACAGAGTCTCACTCTGTCACCCAAGCTGGAGCGCAGTGGCATGATCTTGGCTCACTGCCACCTCTGCTTCACTGGGCACAAATGATTCTCCAATCTCAGCCTCCAGAATAGCTGGCACCGCAGGCACAAGACAACGATGCCCAGCTAATTTTTTTTTTTTTTTTTGAGATGGAGTTTCATCTTGTTGCCCAGGCTGGAGTGCAATGGCGTGATCTCGGCTCACTGCAACCTCCGCTTCCCAGGTTCAAGCGCTTCTGCCTCAGCCTCCTGAGTAGCTGGGATTACAGGTGTTAGTCACCACGTCCAGCTAATTTTTCTATTTCTAGTAGAGACGGGGTTTCACCATGTTCATCAGGCTGGTCTCAAACTACTGACCTCAGGTGATCCGCCTGCCTCGGCCTCCCAAAGTGCTGGGATTACAGGCATGAGCCACCACGCCTGGCAATTTTTGTATTTTTTAACGAGACAGGGTCTCCCTGTGTTGCCCAGGCTGGTCTTTAATTCCTGAGCTGAAAGTGATCCATCTGTCTAAGGCTCCCAAAGTGCTGGGATTACAGGTGTGAGCCAATGCGCCTGGCCGGACGTCTTCATTTATCTTGGGTCCTCACCTAGGAGTGGCATTGCTGGGTTGCACGGCCACTGTATGTTTAATTGTTTGAAGAACCACCAGCTGGGACGTCTTCTTTAAGCCCAAACCTGACCCACTGCTGCCCTGTCCAGGCCCCTCCCAGCTCTTCACTGCGTGACCCAGCTCTGCCAAGGACTCAGACGTGGCCCTGGCCGATACCTCCCACCATGGCTTCCATTGTGTATATTTGTTTATAGAGTCTTGTGCCATGCATATTTTTAAAAATATTATATAATCAAATGTGTATCTTTTCTATAATTCACGGGTTTTAAATTTTGCTATATCTTGTTAAGGGAATGCTCTTTATCAGATCAAGGAATTGTTCTTCTACTACTAGGTTGCAAAGCAATTTTTTTTTTTTTTGAGATGGAGTCTTGCTCTGTCACCCAGGCTGGGGTGCGGTGGCGCGATCTCAGCTTACTGCAAGCTCCGCCTCCCGGGTTCACGCCATTCTCCTGCTTCAGCCTCCCCAGCAGCTGGGATAATAGGCACACGCCGCCATGCCCAGCTATTTTTTTTTTTGTATTTTTAGTAGAGATGGGGTTTCACCGTGTTAGCCGGGATCGTCTCGATCTGACCTCATGATGTGCCCACCTCGGCCTCCCAAAGTGCTGAGATTACAGGCGTAAGCCACCGCGCCCGGCATTGCAAAGCAATTTTTAAAAATTGCAAATGAGGCCAGGCACGGTGGCTCACTCCTGTAACCCCAGCACTTTGGGAGGTTGAGATGGGTGGATCACGAGGTCAGGAGTTCGAGACCAGCCTGGCCAACATGGTGAATCCCCGTCTCTACTAAAAATACAAAAATTAGCCAGGCATGGTGGCGGTCACCTGTAATTCCAGCTATTCAGGAGGCTGAGGCAGGAGAATCACTTGAACTCAGAAGGTGGAGGTTGCAGTGAGCTGAGATCATGCCATCGCACTGCAGCCTGGGTGACATAGCGAGACTCTGTCCCCAAAAATATAAATAAATTAAATTTTTTTTTAATTAAAAAAATAAAAGTTGCAAATGAGTATTTTTCTTTTTTGAGACGGGGTTGCACTCTGTTGCCCAGGCTGGAGTCCAGGGCCACCATCACGGCTCACTGTAGCCTCAACCTCCTGGGCTCAAGCAATCCTCCCACCTCAGACCCCCAGTAGCTGGGACCACAGGTGTGCGCCCTGTGCACATATGCACCATGCTTGCCTAATATTTTCTTATTTTTTTAGATGGGGTTTTGCTACATTGCCCAGGCTGATCTTGAACTCTTGAGCCCAAGGGATCCACCTGCCTTGGTCTCCCAAAGTGCTGGGATTGCAGGCATGAGCCATGACCCCTGGCCCCTGCAAATCAGTATTGAATTGCACAAAATGCTGTTTCTGTAGCTGTTGAGATGCCTGCAGAAATTTTATTCTTTAATTTTTTTTTTTTTTTTTGACGGAGTCTCGCTTCGTGCCCAGGCTGGAATGCAATGGTGCGATCTTGGCTCACCGCAACCTCTACCTCCCAGGTTCAGGCGAGGGTCCCGCGTCAGCCTCCTGAGTAGCTGGGACTACAGGCACACTCCATGATGCCGGGCTAATTTTTGTATTTTTACTAGAGACGGGGTTTCACCATGTTGGCCAGGCTGGTCTTGAACTCCTGAGCTCAGGTGATCCGCCTGCCTCGGCCTCCCAAAGTGCTGGGATTACAGGCGTGAGCCACCACGCCCAGCCTCCTTTACTCTTAATGTAACATGCAGATAACATTAGTTAGTTTCCTGACATTGAAATTCTGATATAACCCCTACGTGATCATGAGGTCTGACATTTCTTATATGCAGCTGACTTCAATTTATTAATAGTTTATCTAGGCTTTCTACATCTACAGTCATGAAACAGATGTGTCTTAATTTTCATTTTGGAGTTGAGATCATGCTAGCCTTCTGTGAAAATTTCAAGACACGGATTTTTCTGTTCCATGAATGTTTGGTAAAAATTCACCCGTAAAACCAGCTAGAGCTGGCCAGGTGCGGTGGCTCACGCCTGTAATCCCAGCACTTCGGGAGGCCGAGGCAGGTGGATCACCGGGTCAGGAGATCGGAGACCATCCTGGCTAACACGGTGAAACCCCGTCTCTACTAAAAAATACAAAAAAATTAGCCGGGCGTGGTGGCGGGCGCCTGCAGTCCCAGATACTCAACTCAGGAGGCTGAGGCAGGAGGATGGTGTGAACCTGGGAGGCGGAGCTTGCAGTGAGCCGAGATCACACCGCTGCACTCCAGCCTGGGTGACACAGCGAGACTCCGTCTCAAAACAAACAAACAAGCAAAAAATGCTGGATACGGTGACTCATGCCTATAAATCCTAGCACTTTGGGAGGCGGAGGTGGGCAGATCACCTGAGGTTAAGAGTTCAAGACCAGCCTAGCCAACATGGCAAAACCCCATCTCTACTAAAAGTAAAAAAATTAGCCGTGGCAGGCACCTGTAATCCCAGCTATTCAGGAGGCCGAGGCAGAAGAATCGCTTGTACCCAGGAGGTAGAGGCTGCAGTGAGCCAAGATCAGGTCACTGCACTCCAGCCTGGGTGACAGCGTGAGACTCTGTCCCAAAAAAAAAAAAAAAAAAAAAAAAGAGCAGACACCCAAGGGTCAACAAACCCAGGAGCAAAACCAACACCACAAAACAGGCACACACAATACACCCAGGAGGTAAAACTCGGGCCCAAAGCCAGCAGAGCAAACATGAGAAGATACCAGGAAAAGTATAATGAACCCGGTCTCCAGAGAGGCGGCAGCACGTCACAGCCAATACACACCAAAGATCGGCTCTTTCTCCCTCTCCTCATTGTCTTCGCGTCGTCAGCTTCGGCCTGCGCTGACTTGCCTCATGGTCACAAGATGGCTGCCAGCAGCCTCCAAGGCCATTTGCTGCGTGGTCCACGCACGACAGGAGCAGAGCTTCCGCCGGTAGGGCCCGGAGTGTCGTCCTTGCCCAACCCACAAGCTGGCAGAGAAGTTTCCATCCCGGAAGCTACAATAAACATCTTACATATCATTGGCCCAGTGTGGGTGACAGGCCCATGCCTAAACCAGTCACTGTGGGCCATGCCGACTGGTTTAAACCAACCCTATTCATGCTGGGAGCTGGGGTCAGGCCCTGGTGCCCTTGAGGCCCAAGGACTGGGGTGGGGTGGTAGCTGCTTGAATAAAACAGCAGGCATTTTACTAAGGGGTGGGGGGCAGGATGTCAGATGACCTGAAGCATCACGTGACTATTTATTTTATTATTTTATTACTTTATTTATTTTTGAGACAGTTTAGCTCTGTAGCCCAGGCTGGAGTGCAGTGGTGCAATCTTGGCTCACTGCAATCTCTGCCTCCTGGGTTCAAGTGATTCTCCTGTCTCAGCCTCCCGAGTAGCTGGGACTACAGGTGCGCGCCACCATGCCCAGCTAATTTTTGATTTTTAGTAGAAACGGGGTTTCACCATGTTGGCCAGGCTGGTCTTGAACTCCTGACCTCAAGTGATCCACCTGCTTCGGCCTCCCAAAGTGCTGGGATTACAGGCGCGAGCCACTGCGTCCGGCCTGAATTGCCACATGAGTATTTATGCACACCCAAAACAAAATGACCCGGAAAGGTAGAACATAAGGCAGGTACGGTGATATTAACATCAGACAAAATAGAAGTGAAAACAACAATGATTACATAGGACCTAGAAGAATATTCCATCACTGAAAAAAAGAATGGTCTGCCAAACGTAACTGTGTGACCATCAGAAGTGTGTCCACAGAGGCTGGACTGCATCAGGGCTCCCAGGGCATCTCTCCTCACGTCTTGCCATCAGAACTGGGTCACATGGAGGCCGGGCACAGTGGCTCATGCCTGTAATCCCAGCACTTTGGGAGGTGGAGGTGGGTAGATCATTTGAGGCCAGGAGTTCAAGACCAGCCTGGCCAACCTGGTGAAATGCCATCTCTACTAAAAATATAAAATTAGCTGGGCATGGCGGCGCATGCCTATAATGCCAGCTACTTGGGAGGCTGAGGCGGGAGAATCACTTGAACCAGGAGGTGGAGGTTACAGTGAGCCAAGATGATGCCACTGCACTCCAGCCTGGGCGACAAGAGCGAAACTCCATCTCAAAAAAAAAAAAGAACTGGGTCACATGGTTTGCCACCACTCACCCGCCTCTCCCCTGTCTGGGCAGACTGGTGGGCTCTGTGCCACTAAGATGTTTACCTGAGACTAAAGCGGCAAGCGCAGACACGGAGCTGGATCACGTCAGGAAGGACTGTGAGGTGCACAGAGGATTGGACAGATCCAGAACCACAGGGAGAACCTTTCACACGCAATCTCAGAATTTACAAGGTTGGCTCAACATAACCAAGCAAGGACATAGAAGATTTAAACATTACGGCTGGGCATGGCAGCTCACACCTGTCATCCCAGCAGTCTGGGAGGCCAAGGCAGGCGGATCACTTGAGGTCAGGAGTTCGAGACCAGCCTGGCCAACATGGTGAAACCCCGTCTCTACTAAAAATACAAAAGTTAGCCAGGCGTGGTGGCAGGTGCCTGTAGTCCCAGCTACTCGGGACGCTGAGGCAGGAGAATTGCTTGAACCCAGGAGGCGGAGGTTGCAGTGAGCCTAGACCGAGCCATTGAACCCCAGCCTGGGCAATAAGAGCGAAACCTTGCCTCAAAAAAAAAAAAAAAAAAAAAAAAAGAAGATTTGCACATTACAATTAGCATGCCTAATCAAAAAGTCATGAATACCCAAATTAAGCTGTGTAACCAAGAGACAACACGTGTTCTTTTCAGACGTGCATGCAGCGGTTCACAAAAGTGTAGCGGGTACGAGACTGCAATAAAAATCTCCATAACTTCAGAAAACCAGCTGGGCCATGGCTCATGCCTGCTGTCCCAGGGCTATGGGAGGCCAAGGCCAGAGGATCGCTTCAGCCTAGAAGTTCAAGCTGCAGTGAGCTATTATTGTGCCATCTCACTCCAGCCTGGGTGACAAAGCGAGACCCCATCTCAAAAATAATAATAATTATTGTTATTTTTTGTTTTTTTTGAGATGGAGTTTCGCTGTGGTTCCCTAGGCTGGAGTGCGGTGGCACAATCTTGGCTCACTTCAACCTCCGCCTCCCAGGTTCAAGTGATTCTCCTGCCTTAGCCTCCCAAGTAGCTGGGATTACAGGCATGGGCCGCCACACCCGGCTAATTTTGTATTTTTAGTAGAGACGAGCTTTCTCCATGTTGGTGAGGCTGGTCTTGAACTTCTGACCTCAGATGATCGGCCCACCTCAGTCTCCCAAAGTGCTGGGATTACAGGAGTGAGCCACTGCCCTCGGCCACACACAAAAAAATATTTTTAAAGTATGAGCTTCAGGCTGGGCGTGGTGGCTCACACCTAAAATCTCAGCACTTTGGGAGGCCAAGGCAGGTGGATCACCTGAGGTCAGGAGTTCGAGACCAGCCTGGCCAACATGGCAAAACCCTGTCTCTACTAAAAATACAAAAATTAGCCGGGCATGGTGGCGCATGCCTGTAATGCCAGCTACTTGGGAGGCTGAGAAAAGAGAATCGCTTGAACCCGGGAGGCAGAGATTGCAGTGATCATACCTCCCGGGAGGCAGAGGTTGGAGATCGTACCACTGCACTCCAGCCTGGGCAAAAAGAGCAAAACTTCGTCTCAAAAAAAAAAAAAAAAAAAAAAAAAGAAAATATGGAGAGCCAAGTGATTGATGATAAGGCAGACGCTCAGGCCATAGTGGGGAGCAGAACCAGTGTTCCAGAAGCTTCCAGAAGCCACTGGTGCCACCTCCCAGTTACAGGTTTCCCAACCCACACCCTTCTGACTTTATGGGGACTGTTTCCCCTTTTTTGTTTTACCACCTCAGTATGTGCTCCTAAATGCTACATTTCTTTTCTTTTTTTTTTTTTTGGAGACGGAGTCTCGCACTGTCACCCAGGCTAAACTGCAGTGATGCGATCTCAGCTCACTGCAACCTCCACCTCCCGGGTTCAAGCGATTCTCCTGCCTCAACCTTAGCTGGGGTTACAGGTGCCTACTACCACACTCGGCTAATTTTTTGTATTTTTAGTAGAGACAAGGTTTCACCACGTTGGTCAGGCTGGTCTTGAACTTCTAACCTCAGTATTCTCCCGCTTCAGGCTCCCAAAATGCTGGGATTACAGGTGTGAGCCGCCGCACCCGGCCCTACATTTTCATTTTGCTTCTTTGTTTATTGAGACAGGGTCTCACTCTGTTGCCCAGGCTGGAGTGCAGTGGTACAATTTCAGCCCACTGCAGCCTCCACCTCCTGGGCTCAAGTGATCCTCCCACCTCAGCCTCCCGAACAGCTGGGACCACAGGCGTGCGCTACCACACCTGGCTAATACTTAAAAATTTTCGTAGAGATGGAGTTTCACTAACTTGCCCAGGCTAGTCTTGAACTACGGGGCTCAAGTGATCTTTCCACCTTAGACTCCTGGGTAGCTGGGACTACAGGCACGCACCACCACGCCCATCTCCATTTGTGTCCAAGTTTCTATAAATACATGTTTTCTTTCCTCCTGGGTACGTACAGAGGCGTGGAATTACTGGGTTAGATGGTAACTGTGTTTAACACTTTGAAGAACTGCCAGACTCTATTCCACAGCGGCCACACCACCCTCCATTCCCAGTAGCGCTGGATGGTTCTCATTTCTCCACAGCTTCACCAACACTTGCTCAGTTTCTGTCCTTTTGATTTTAGCCTAGTGGATGCTGCCGCATCTGTGGTGGTTTGGATTTGCATTTCCTTAACAACTGATAATGCCGAGTGGTGTCTCCTGTGTTTATTGGCCATTTGTATACCTTCTTTCCCATCCTGTGCCATTAACAACTTTCTTTCTTGTAAGAGTTTTCTTATATGTTCTAGACTGTAGTCCCTTATCTGATACGATTTACAGAGATTTCCTCCCATTATGCGGGCTGTCTCCCGCTTTCCTGATAGTGTCCTTTAAAGCACAGAAGTTTTTTTGTTGTTGTTGTTGAGACAGTTTTGCTCTTCTAGCTTAGGCTGGAGTGCAGTGGTGCAATCTTGGCTCACTGCAACCTCTGCCTCCCGGGTTCAAGCGATTCTCCTGCCTCAGCCTGCCGAGTAGCTGGGACTGGTGTGCTCCACCATGCCTCGGTAATTTTTTGGTATTTTTAGCAGAGATGGGGTTTCACCATGTTGGCCTGACCTCAGATGATCCACCCGCCTCGGCCTCCCAAAGTGCTGGGATTACAGGTGTGAGCCCCCACGCCAGGCGAATAGACTTTTCTTTCCCCACTGAATTGTCTTGGCATCCTTGTTGAAATTTCTTGACAATAAATGATTATTGTGTAACTTTTTGTAAACTATGAAGTCACTTAAAAAAATGCATGGAGGCTGGATGCGGCGGCTCATGCCTGTAATCCCAGAACTTTTGGGAGGCTGAAGGGGGTGGATCACTTGAGGTCAGGAGTTTGAGACCAGCCTGGCCAACATGGTGAAACCTCGTCTCTACTAAAAATACAAAAAGGAGCCAGGCTTGGTGATGTGCACCTGTAGTCCCAGCTACTCATGAGGCTGAGGCACGAAAATCGCTTGAACCTGGTAGGTGGAGGTTGCAGTGAGCTGAGACCTCACCACTGCACTCCAGCCTGGGTGACAGAGCAAAAATCCATCCAAAAGGAGAGAAAAAAAAAAAAAAAAAAAAAAGCACGGAAATGACTGCTGACTCAGCAGGTGACTGCTGAAATGCTGACTCAGCAGGGTCCAGATCTCTCCCTGGCCCCCAAGCGTGAAACTGACTGGCTTCTGGCCTTCGGACCAGGTGGCCTGCAGGGCCTGTGGGTTAAGGGCCATGAAACCACAGGACTGACATCCCCTCTGACCTACCCCCACCCTGGGCCTGTGCCCTGGACCTGGGGAGCTGTGGCTTCTGTGGAGGGTGGGTAAGGAGCCCTGCCCACTGGCCTCCTCTCCCACCCCACCCTCTGCACCCTGCCCTGTGGTGGCCCACTGCCAGGCCTGGCCCTGCCAAACCAGACTGGGCACTTTCATCCCCTGACTGGCACTGTCCCAGTGGGGCTGACTGCAGGGAGGGGCTGGGGGTGATGCCAGCCTCTGGGGTGGCCCCGGTGCCCTGTCATGATGGCCGCTTCCTCCAGGGCTCCCATCAAAGCAGCTCTGAGAATGTGGTCCCTCCATCTGCAGATTTTGGGATTTGCTGGCTAGAGCTGCCTTTCTGAACCACCTGGTTTCTCAGGAAGCAGCAGCCTTCCCCCTGAACCTACCCAGCCACTCCCTGGGTGTGAATTTCCAACCTGGGCACTGGGTACCATGTACAAACCTCAGAGCTCCCACTGGTCCCCAGTTCAAACAAAACCAGCTCTTCACAAAATGCACATGGCAGTCAGAGAAACTTGAGCACTGAATGGATATTCAAGGATATCAAAGATTTTTTTTTTTTCTGAGACAGGGTCTTGCTCTGTTCTCCAGGCTGGAGTGCAGTGGCGCAATCATGGCTCATCGTGGCCTAAATCTCCTGGGCTCAAGTGATCCTCCCACCTCAGCCTCCCAAGTAGCTGGGACTACAGGTGCATGCCATGACGCTCAGGTAATTTTTAAATTTTCTGTACAGATGGAGATCTCACCATATCGTCCAGGCTAGTCTCGAATTCCTGGGCTCAAGAGATCTTGCCTCAGCCTCCCACAGTGCTGGGATTACAAGTATGAGAGATCACACCCGGCCCACCATTACATTCTTTTTTTGAAATGGGGTCTCGCTCTGTCACCCAGGCTGGAGTGCAGTGGTGCGATCATAGCTCCCTGCAGCCTCGAACTTGCAGGCTTAAAGGATCCCACCGCAGCCTTCCAAGTAGCTGGGACTACAGGCTGTTTGCGCCACTGCACTCCAGCCTGAGTGACACAGTAAGACCCTGTCTTAAAAAAAAAAAAAAGGGCATCTTTGGGAGGCCAAAATGGGCAGATCCCCTGAGCTCAGAAGTTTGGGACCAGCCTGGGTAACATTGTGAGACCCCAACTCTACAAAAACATACAAAAATTAGCCAGGTATGATGGTGCACGCCCATAGCACCAGCTACTTGGAAGGCTGAGGTAGAAGACTGGTTTGAGCCCAGGAGGCCCAGGTTAGTAAGCCAAGATCGTGCCACTGCACTCCAGTCTGAATGACAGAGCCAGATCCTGTGTCTGAGACCCTCAACCCCAGCCTCACCGTCTTGTTCCCTTCCCCCCACACCGGTTTTGGTTCCTCCTACTTCCCCAATTCCTTCATCCAAATGCACAGCGAGGACCCTGGCTCCTCCCCAAAAGGCCTTGGCCCGGTCCTCCTTAGGGGGTGCAGGGGGTCCTGCTGGTCTGGACAGCAAGGCAGCCAGCGGGCAGGCAGCGCAGGCAGGAACAGATGTGGCAGCTCCCGGCATTTATTGATTGCAGCCCCCACAGAGCACACTGCCCTTCCCAGGTGGGGTGAAGCCCAGCGACCAGGGAGGCAGAGGATGCAGCATCCGCCCCGTCGGACTCCTTGTCGGGGAGAAGGCCCTAAGGAGGAACCGCGGCCCGCCTGGGCCATTCCCCCAGGGAGCCAAGCGGGGGGGCCCAGGTGCCCGAGGGACGCAGGCACAATCCCTGAAGACAGAGACCGCCTGCTGGTGAGTGGAGAGGCTTTGGCAAAACTAACTGTTAAAGCCACTGCAGGGCAGGCAGCGGTGCGCGGGACCTCGGTGGCCCTCGACCCTCACCCACAATGGCTCCAGAACCACCCTGGGCCACTCCCTCCCAGGCACTCGCTTGTGGTCTGCGTTGCTTGTTCATCCCACCCAGCTGCGGGGTCTCGCGGGGAGTTGCAGCTGCCCGAGGACATGGAAGGTCTGGTTGCTCTCAGCAGACACGAAGTGCAGAGCTAGCACTTGGGTGAGCAACAGCCAGGCTGCACCCACACTCTGCCACCCAAGTCCTCGATGGAAAGTGCTGGAAGATGCTGCTTTGGGCATCGGGGGCAGGAGGCAGGGATAATACCCCTCCCCTGGCCCAGGAGAGGGGAGAAATCAGCCTCTGGTAGCCCCTGTTCCCCTGAGGAGCTGCCAGCGGGAGAGGGGCAAGGCCACGCAGTGCCCAGCCGGGAGAGCCTGGTAGCCAGAGCGGGGGTGGTGCAGCTACAGCTGAGAGGGGACGAGGCCAGGAGGAGCTCAGCCAGCAGGTGGGGGGACAGCAGGGGCCTGCTGCGGAGGACGGGTGGCCACGGCCAGGGAGGTCGTGGCCCCAGGAGCAGGTGCTGGGCTTGGGACTCTTTGGAAGAACCTAGCGTGTCTGGCCTGGCAGCCCAGCCATTCCCACGGCTGGTCAGGATGGCACTTTGATGCCAAAGTTTTTGCGTAGCTGTTCCAGAAACACAAAAGTGAGCACGGTGTGGGGGATGAGGCGGATGCCAGCTGGGACGAGGCCCTGGAGGGAGACAGGGAAAATGAGAGACACAGAGCCCGAAGGGGCCCGCTCCCCATTGCCCAAGCCGCCACTGCCGCCACCACTGCACCTTGTAAAAGGCCAGAGGCCCGAGCTTCGCTGTCTCCACGGCGCAGTGGAAAACGCCCTGCAGAAAACGCAGTGAAACAATCAAAAAGGCTGCTTCTCACCCAAAAGGCAACGAAAATCCCCTCCCAGGCACCAGCCAGGCACGGTGGCCTGGGCATTCTCAATGTGGGGTGTGGGTGTGGGTGTGGGTGTGAGCGGCGGCTGCTGGCTGGTAACAGGTGACCACAGGTCTGCAGGCACCAGCCAGGTCAACGGCCACCCTGCCTGCTCATGCGGTACAACCAGGGCCCGAGGGTGCAGCCCGGGGTCCAGTGGGCAGAGGGGGCTGTGAACAGAACCATGAGAATCAGGGATGCAGCACGGCAGCGTCAGGGAGAAGAAAAGGGACAGAGCTATGGGCTCTGCAAACGTGGAAGCCCCATGGAGTTGGCGGGGGCCCAAGACAGGAGACCCAGAGCACCTATGAGGCACAGACTGCCATGAACGGCACCACCTCTGTTAATCTGTGAAAGAAATGTTTTTGGCCGGGCACAGTGACTCACACCTGTAATCCCAGCACTTTGGGAGGCTGAGGCGGCAGATCACTTCAGGCCAGGAGTTCAAGACCAGCCTGGCGAACATGGCGAAACCTTGTCTCTACTAAAAATACAAAAATTAGCCAGGAGTGGTGGCACGTGCCTGTAATCCCAGCACTTTGGGAGGCCGAGGCAAGCGGATCACCTGAGGTCAGGAGTTCAAGACCAGCCTGGCCGACATGGTGAAACCCTGTCTCTACTAAAAATATGAAAAATTAGCCGGGCATGGTGGCGGGCGCCTGTAATCCCAGCTACTTGGGAGGCTGAGGCAGGAGAATCGCTTGATCCCAGGAGGTGGAGGTTGCAATGAGGGGAAAAAAAAAAGAAAGAAAAGAAATGTGTTTTTTTTTGTTTTTTGTTTTTTTAAGACAGAGTCTCGCTCTGTCATCCAGGCTGGAGTGCAGTGGTGCAATCTCGGCTCACTGCAACCTCCGCCTCCTGAATTCAAGCAATTCTCCTGCCTCAGCCTCCTGAGTAGCTGGGATTACAGGCGTGCGCCACCAGGCCCAGCTAATTTTTTTGCATTTTTAGTAGAGACGGGGTTTCACCATGTTGGTCAGGCTGGTCTCCAACTCCTGACTTGTGATCTGCCCGCCTTGGCCTCCCAAAGTGTTGGGATTACAGGCGTGAGCCACCGTGCCTGGCCGAAAAGAAATGTTTTAAGACAGTCTCACTCTGTCACCCAGGCTGGAATGCAGTGGTGCAATCTCGGCTCACTGTGGCCTGGACATCCTGGGCTCAAGGGATTATCCCACCTCAGCCTCCTGTGTAGCTGGAACTACAGGCATGCACCACCAAGCCTGACCAATTTTGTTTTGTTTTGTTTTTTTGAGACAGTTTCACTCTTGTGGCCCAGGCTGGGGTGCAATGGTGTGATCTCGGCTCACTGCAACCTCCGCCTCCCAGGTTCAAGCGATTCTCCTGCCTCAGCCTCCCGAGTAGCTGGGATTACAGGCGCACGCCACCACACCCAGCCAATTTTTTGTATTTTTAGTAGAGAGGGGGTTTCACCATGTTGGCCAGGCTGGTCTTGAACTCCTGACCTCAGGTGATCTGCTTGCCTCGACCTCCCAAAGTGCTGGGATGATAGGCATGAGCCACCGCACCTGGCCCCTAATTTTTGTAATTTTGGTAGAGACAGGGTTTCAGTATGTTGCCCAGGCTGGTCTTGAACTCCTAGACTCAAGCAGTCTGCCTGCCTCAGGCTCCCAAAGTGCTGGGGTTACAGGCATGAGCCACTGCGCCGGGCCAAGAAGTCTTCTCTAAAAACAAAAACAAGGCAAAGGCATTCAAAGGCACAACCCTCTCCCAAGGCAAGTGCTGTGCAGAGACAGGCAACTAGAAGGGAGGGACACCCTTCCCCGGGTCCCCAGTGCGAGTGTCCACCCCCCGGAGAGGTGAGGGGACTCGCTGGGCTGTGCAGCCCAACTGCACAGGCAGGGCCCCACTCACCTGATACTCCCCCTTGGAGTTCATCAGGCGAGTCTTCAGCACATCCAGGGGCTGGCACAGGAACGTGGCACATCCACCCTGAGGAGGGGGCTCGTCACCAGCGGCCTGTCAGGTACGCCAGGCACCATCGCCGAATCCCACCCACGTGCCAGAACCTCCACCTGACTCCTAGGGCGGGCCAGGAACATGCTGGCGGGGGCACCAGGCTGACCCATGAGCTCCCAAAGCCCTGGCACCCCACTTATGAGCCCCAGGGGGCACTGCCAGATGCCCAAGGCCCCCGCCTCCCCCAGCCCTCGCCCCATCCTGGGTGCCCTCAGCGCCCAAGGCCGGCCCAGGGACGCCCACCCTAGCCATGCCGGCCACTTACTGCAATAAAGCTGGCGACAAAGTGAGTGAAGATGTTGTCAGAGAGGTACCCGGTGCTAAGGACCAGCTGCTTGGCCTGGTCGTAGCAGGACAGCTGCAGGGGCACAAGGGCGGTCAGGGCTGTAGGGGGGACCCCAGCTTGGGGAAAGCACACAGGGCCCCAGGCGACACCACCTGGCAATGGCCAAGCACCTGCTCCGTCTGTCCGTCCGTGAGGCCCAGACAGGGGAGGCACCTGCCCGAGGTCCTTCACAGGCTGCAGCCCTGACCCACCCGTGCCCCCCACCCTGCCCCACAAGGTCACAGCTGGTGGCTCCCCAGGAGGGTTTTGGCGCCCAGTGCCTTGTTCTATGGCCCCTCTGAAGATGGAGGTCAGTGGTCACAGGCACTGCCCACACCCACCCCACGCAGGAGGCCTACCTGGCCCACAGTGACTAAGGCCCCTCGGCTGGATGCCATGGTTGCACCCGAGAACAGTCTCCTGAGACCCTCTGCACAAGGAAGGGGTGAGGCAAGGGGTGAGGCAAGGGGTGAGGCCAGGCACCTGGCCCAAATCCCTCAGCGCCCAGTCTTCTACAGCGCTGCCCACCCTGCCTGCCCCCCAGAACCCTGCCTGTGCACAGCACCTGCCCCTCACCTTCACGAGCTACGCGGTACAGGCCATCCAGCGCATGGGCGTAGCTGCCGGGGACACAGAATGACCACATGAGACTCCCCCTGACCACCGGCTCCCACAGAGGGTCCTCCCAGGCCCCGAGGCAGGCCGGGGGTTCTCGAGGAAGCAGAGGCCTCATGGGCCTGAAGATCTCTCCCTGGGAACATGAAGCTGGTCCTGACGTCCCACAGCCACCTCGCCCGCCCCGCCCGGCCCTCAGGGAGGAGGTTCCATCGTTTCCAACAGAGTCCCTGGCTGGGCACCGCTCCTAGCATGCAGGCCTCCTGCCCGCCAGCCCCCGGGGTCCTGGGGGAACACAGTCTGTGTGCACAGCTAGAAGCCAGAACTCCCCAGGGGTCCTTGGAAGGGGCGGGGGAAGTGGCTCACACTGCAGTTGGAGCGGACCCCGGGCCCTGGAAAGACCCCAGGCCGTGGCAGGAGGGCACAGCTGCCCTGAGCTGGGCAGGGAGGCAGCGCCTCCTTCGGGCGTTTCTGTTGCATGCGCTCTCTCCATGCCTGGGGCGTTCGCCTCCGCACTCACCACCCTGGGGTGCAAACAGGCCCAGCCCCCAATCCAACAAGGCTCTCCCCACAGGAAGAACCCAAAGGTCCTGGGGGCGCAGAGTGACACCCCCGAGTCCAGAACAGCCGTCAGGACCCTCCATGGACCGTGCAGGCACCTCGGCCTGCTGGAGCCTCAGCTGGGTCACGGCAGAGCAGCCAGGGGTCCGCTCCCGCCCGAGCCTCCTGCACCTCAACCACCCCGAGAAGGCCGCCCATGACTCACTTGCGCCGCTGACCCTGGGGCAGCTTCACGTCGTTCTGCATCCTGAAACAGAAGCAGGTGGCGGGAGGGGCGGGCGGGCCGAGGGGCATGGGCAGCCCTGGCAGCACAGGGGAGCTCACGCTGGTCAGCGGGGCCCACAGGACAGGGCACGCCGGGGCTCAGGGACACCCACCCTCCTATGCCCAGGACACCAGGGTCTCAGTGGCTTATTCCAGGCTGACCCCACCCTGCAAGCAGCCCTGGCAGGCCCTGGCATGTCTGGGGACAAGAAAGCCCCTGGCCTTGCAGGTGGGGTGGGGGAACACCAACCTGACGTTGACCAAGTCTGCGGGCGTCCCCACGAAGCCTCCAGCTAAACCTGCGGTGACACAAACCCCAGAGATGAGCCGTGCTGACACACGGCGTCCTCGGCCGACCTGACCACCCCGCGCCCCTCCCCCTCCCGCCCGGCAGCTCACCGCTGACGGAGCCCAGCAACACCTTCTCGTGGAAGGGGAGAGGCCCCTGGCTGCCCTTGGCCACACGGTCCCGCACAGTCTCGTAGATGGCGAACCGAGTCAGGGAGTAGGTCATCTGGGGGAGAAGGGCCTGGCTTGGAGGGACGGGCACGCCCCACACCCCTCAGCCTCGCCACCCGGCCCAGCCAGGGATCCCCCTCAGCCCGAGGGGCCACAGGGACCCTGAGGGGCCTTCCCAAGGCCACTGTGCCAGCATGCGGCTGAGCCAGTTCACAAATCTAGAGCTGCACCCTGCTTTCTCACTCCCTGGGCCTCAGCTTCCCCACCAGTAAGTGGCGGTCTCAGGCCCAGCCCTGCAAACTGGGTGGGTGCCCATGGGAGGCGCACCCTGGGGTCACCAGCTCTCGGCCTGGTGGGTCCTTCCTTGCACAAAGTCTTGAAAAGGGGACGGAAGTAGCTTGGATGCCACTGCAGGACTCAGCCCCAGTCTGGGAGCCCAAGGCTGGCACACACCACGCACCTGTCTGCACAGCGAGGCGCTCAGGCCGCTGTAGAGTGCCAGGATGCCGTCGGTACGCACCACCCGCAGCGCCATGCCCGTCATGCGCAGCTTCACCTCCTGCTGCGTCTGCAGATGCACCTGCGGGAGTGAGTGCTCTCAGACCCCACAGCGACCCCGAGGGATCGGTGCCAGGTTCATCCAGAGAGGGGGAAACTGAGGCAGGAGGCAGTGATAAGGCCTCCCACGGCCCTGCCCGGGGACTCCACACCCGTGCCTGGAACCAGCTCACACCACTGCTTTCCAACAGCAACCACACCAGTGGACATGGAGCTGAGAGTGTCCGCGAGCCCCGCGAGCGCCCCGCGTACCACCTGAGTATTGGCTGCACTGGCCGCAGGGGCTCGCCATTCTCCTTCTGCAGATGAGGAAACTGAGGCATGGAGAGGTAACGCACCCGCTGGTGCCATCAGGATTTGGGCCCAGCGAGGAGACCCCAGAGCCCTACTTTTTATCCACCACACCACGTCTCAAGAGGGACAAACGTTTATGGCCGCTCAGAAACGGCGAGGGAGCCTGCAGGACCATGGGAGACTGAGGAGGTAGCCATAGAAGGCCTTGAAAGGCAGCAGGAGCTCAGCAGCAGACAAGGGGACGGTGTGGCTGGCGGCAGGGCATAGCGGCCTCCTCTGCAAAGCACCTAGGAGCTGTGGGCAGGCACTCGGGGGCTGTCAGCCCGACAACCTCCCATTCTGTTGGCCTCCACCACTCACAGGACCTCTGCCTCCTCGCCTGGCCAGCTGAGAGCTCCCGGCAGTAGGGGGATTGGCCAGGGCCAGACAGGAAGGCCAGCACCTGGCCCAGGATCCCAGCTCCTGGGTCCCACCCCCAGCACTGACCCCAAAGAAGTCCTTCCGCCGCTCAGTGTGACCTGCACGTGCGCGGCCCCGTAACGCACGCCCAGGGGTCGGCAAAGATGGGTGGGGACAGAGAGGGGCCTCCCATTGTGCGAGCCCAGCAGAACAGAGGGACTGGGCCACACAGGTAGCAGCCCCCGTCCCGGCCAGATGCGACGGTAGGGACTGTAGGGACATGGGACAAAGTGCTCAAGAAGCTTTAAAAGATCTTTCCGACGGCCAGGCAGAGAGGCCTGGTGAGCAGTCCTCAGGAGCACACCCTGACCACAGCGCCATATGCTGCCAGCAGCTGGCTCCTCCCGCCCTCCCAGGCCAGAGGGCAGTCCCGCCTCCCCCAGGCGGTGTTCTGCAGCCAGAGAGCGCCTGGTTGGGGAGGGCCAAGGGGCAGTGGGGCTCAGACCCCGGACAAGGGACAGCAGCACGCAGGTCCCGCCTTCAACACCCAGATGAACGTGGGAGAGGCCCTGGGGGAGGGGCACCTGTGCGGCGCCCAGGAGGAAAGGAAGAGCCCGATGCCAAGGAGGGGCTCGCTTCTTCTGCCCATGCCAGCGCCTTCCTGTCGCTGTGGCTGCATCTCACTGGCCGTGGCTGCCTGTGGCCTGGGAGCTCTGAAGGCCTCTCCCAGGACCAGTGAGGTCTCAGGTGCCCCAAGACGCCCACATCTGCTCACCTGGCCTTCACGCAGCGACCAGCATTGTTGCTCATTAGTAAAGCCAGTCCCCTCAAAGGCTGCTGGAATACAAGTCCCCTGGACAGGCTGCTAAAATAAAGGTCCCCTAGACAGGCGGCTGCCCAGTGACCACAGCCAGGTTCACAGGGCAGGGCCTGCTGGGCAGACTGTGCAAAGCCTCAGGCCCTTTCTTCTTTGTTCTCTGTGGCAAGACACGGTCAGAAAACAACGCCCCTTGGCTGTCCCTGGGAAACAAGGAGAGCTCTGTCTTATTTTGCCCCATAAGCATTAAAAAAAAAAAAAAAGTAAAAAAACGGTGGCTGCTTCTCGTGCTGAGAAACGCCCGCTTTCATAGGGCCAGGACCACACGCGTGCAGGGTCTCCTGGCATCTCTCCTGGGGGTGTGCTGGTCCTAACATCGCTTCCAGTGCCCACGCAGCTCTCCGAAGGAAGCAGCCCAAAGCCGGGGCATCGGGTCACCCCACTTGCCCAGGGACACGTCCGGCGGTGTGCTAAACACCCCTGGGTGGGGGGCGGCTTGGCCCACACCCTGGGTATGCTACAGCCAGCACGTCTCTAGATGCCAACACCTGTGCACCTCACAGAACTCCCCCCACAACTTCTAACTAGGCGGAAGGAGCGTTCTTGAATGTATGGGGGTGGGTGGCTCAGAGAGGCCAAGTGACTCCCCCAAGGTCACCAGGTATTAAAGTGTAGAGCTGGGGCTGGATCGCCACCTGCCGAGAACTGGGAAGCCGGCTGGGAAGCTGGGGAGCGCGGCTGCGCCCTGCAGGCCTCGAGCTCGGCGGCCACCACTGGAGGGCCACCCGGGATCGGCCATCCGGGCGTCGGGGGCCTCCTCGCGCTCTCCAGGAGGGAGCCCCGGGCGCGGCGATCCCCGGGTGCGTGGGGCCGGGCTGCTGCCTTTGCAGGCGTCTCGGCGGCGCCAGGGTCCCATCCGCCCCGCGTCCCGGGCCCCGGCCTCACCTTGAGCAGGTCCAGCGGGTGCGTGCAGCAGGCGGCCCCGCAGGAGGCCAGCCCCCCGAAGTACCAGCGCGACACGCGCGCCTCGGCTGCCATGGCCCAGGAGAGCCCAATCCCGGCCCGACCACAACCCGACCCCGGCCCTACCCCGGCGTGTACCGGCCGCAGCGCCCCGCGCCCCGCGCCCCGCGCCCGGTTCAAAGCGCCGCCCGCGCGCCCGCACCCCGCACAGCCAATGCGCGCGCGCGCCCCGGGGGCGGGACCGCTAGGCCACGCCCCCTGCGATTGAGGCGGGCCCGGCGCCTTAAAGCGGCCGCGAGGGGCGCCGAGCGCGGTGGGCCCGGCCTGCGGACGCGCGGGTGCTCCGGGGCTGCTGCGTGGCCGCCTCCACTCCCCCGGGCCCCTGGCGTCCTCCCTTCTCCAGGCCGGAGCGCAGGGCCGAAGGCCACCGCCCGGGGACCGGCCCCAGGCACATGGGACCGCGGCGGGCGCCCTGCCAATCCCCAGGAGGCCCGGCCCCTGGCCCTGAACCTGCACCCGGTGGCCACCCCGCCGCGCAGGCGCTGGCTCGTGAGTCACCTGGCGGGGGCCACGTGTGTGCGGCGTGGGCCCTGCGTCCACAGGTCTGCAACCCCTGCCCCCACCGAGGGCTCAGCCCCGGCCCAGCTGCAAGAGAACAGAAAACCGGCTTCGGGAGCCGGGCGCGGTGGCTCACGCCTGTAATCCCAGTTACTCAGGAAGCTGAGGCAGTAGAATCGCTTGAATCCGGGAGGCAGAGGTTGCAGTGAGCTGAGATCGCGCCACTGCACTCCAGCCTGGGCGACAGAGCGAGACTCCATCTCAAAAAAAAAAAAAAAAAAAAGAAAAAGAAAAGAAAAAAAGAACCTGCTTGGGGCCAGACTGAATGAAAACTGGGAAAAAAGGCGGTTAGGAAGGACTTGCCTCTCCCTTCCCACACACAGATGCCCGGAAGCTCCTGCTCAGTTCTGGTCTGGCTCTGACCAGACGCCCCAGGCAACCACCCTGGAAGTGGGGCCCCGGGGTGGATTCTGGGGCTCTTGTTCCCAGGAGATGCCTGCCTGCATCTGGGCCCCTGCTTGGATTCCACTTCCCTGCGAAGAACAAGGAGGCGCTGGTGTGTTCCTGGCCCAGGTGCACCTGCTGGGCAAAATGAAATTTAAGTCCCCAAGGCTGCTTTAGGGCTGGGCCACAGGGATGAAGACCTGCAGCTCCAGCTTGGTCACTGCTGTCCGGCCTCCCCCACCCTCCAGGGCGAAGGGTGAGGAGCACCGGAAAAACAACTCGTGGTCCCTGGAACCCCTCAAGCACCAGAATGTGTCCAGCCCTGCCTCTGCGCATCCAGCGATGCCCTGGCTGTGTCGGAAGCGCAAGACGCACACTTAGGATTTTCAGCTTGGCTGTGGGTTTATTGGGCCGTAACCCCAACGTAGGCAGGTAGCCAACTGGAGGAGACTGTTTTCTAGACCCTTAGGTGGCCTCTGACCCCAGAAGTCATCAGCGGAAGATTTGGGCTGGGGAGTGAGCAGCTAACCAGAGGCGGTACCCCTGCCCGGAAGTGTGTCCTGGACCTTGGTTTGGTTGGGTCCCTCAGGTGTTGCCCACACAGACCGTAACTACCTGGCAATCGAGAAGGGTGCCAGATGGACACTGGGGGTGAAAACACAGCCACGCCTGGTGGGGAAGCGGGTGGAGGTGCTCAGGAGGCAACCAGGAGAGTGCAGTGCAGCACTGCCCGCACCAAGCCTGGGCTGGGGCTCAACAGGAAGCGTGGAGATGGCGCAAATGCACCGCAGGGACTCAGAGGGATCACGCTGGGCTTAAAAGGCCCAGAGCAAACAGACTCAACCGTTAGGAAGCAGGGGAAGTGGCCCGATCTTAACGGAAATTTCCCAGCAAGAGGACAGGCTTCCTTGTCCGGGGCCATCCAGGCTCACACCTGACTGAGTCCCGCAGACTTGGCTGTGCCCACAGCGCCTGTCTCACTCAGTGTAAACCGAGATGAGTTGCATCCATCGGCTCCCGATTACCAAGAATCAAGAGGCGATGGATGGAAACCTTGGGGGAAGCAGGGCCTGGAGGGCCAGTGTCCCCTGAGTCTGTGAGACACTCCAGGAAGGAGGGGGGCGGGCCTGGGCTGCAACCTGTCCCTCCGAAGGCCACCTGCAAGACAGGGCTGAAACTGGCTGCTGGCAGAGACCCCCCAACCCACAGAACACTGGCTCCCTGCTGAAGGAAGAACTGCTCCAAAGCAGAAAGAGCAGGGCCCAGCGGGTAAGGAGCAGGAACTGAAGAGCTTTACAAAGAACAAAAAAGGCTGGGCAGGGCAGCTCTCACCTGTAATCCCAGCACTTTGGGAGGCCAAGGTAGGAGGATCTCTTGAGGCCAGGCGTTTCAGACCAGCCTGCGCAACACAGTGAGACCACATCTCTAAAAAAAATCAAAAGATTAGCCAGGCATGATGGCACGTGCCTATAGTCCCAGCTACCTGGGAGGATGAGGTAGGACGATTGCTTGTGCACAGGAGGCTGAGGCTGCAGTGAGCCTTGATCAGGCCACTGCACTCCAGCTCGGGTGACAGAGTGAGATCGTGTCTATATTAAAAAATAAAAATAGGCCAGGTGTGGTGGCTCACACCTGTAATCCCAGCACTTTGGGAGGCCGAGGTGGGTGATCACCTGGGGTTAGGAATTCGAGACCATCCTGGCCAACGTGGTGAAACGCTGCCTCTACTAAAAATACAAAAATTAGCTGGGTGTTGTGGCGGGCGCCTGTAATCCCAGCTACTAGGGAGGCTAAGGCAGGAGAATCGCTTGAACCTGGGAGGTGGAGGTTGCAGTGAGCCAAGATCGTGCCATTGCACTCCAGCCTGGGTGACAAGAGCAAAACTCACTCAAAAAAAATTAAAATTAAAAAAGATAAAAATAAGGTTCAAGACCAGCCTGGCCAACAGGGTGAAACCCTATCTCTACTAATAAAAATACAAAATTAGCTGGGCGTGGTGGTGCATGCCTGTAATTCCAGCTTCTTGGGAAGGTGAGGCAGGACAATTGCTTGAACCCGGCAGGTGGAGGCTGCAGTGAGCCAAGACTGCACCACCAGCCCAGGTGACAAACTGACACCGTTTCATAAAAATAAATACATAAATAAGTAAATAAAACATTAAAAAAAATAGAACAAAAGTGCAAGGAGCTGTAGGGGACTGAAGTTTGTGAACTCCGTGAGCTAGAGATGCTGGGAGAGCAGTCAGAAGGCGAGGAATCCTGAAAACAGGAAATGCATCCAGGGCCAGAGGCTTTTTCAAATGATGAATCTAGAACTGCAGGTCGGGGACTCACAAGGATCCCTGATGGATTCTCAAACGGATCATAAGTTATGTCGGTAGGCCCAAGGGGGTGGTTGGGGCAGACTGAGCAAGCTCACGGGACAGGGCTCCCCGTCCAGCCTCCGACTGCGGCCTGGCATCCACCGCAGTGTCCTGCTGCTTGGCATCCACAGGTTATTTTGGGGGTCCCCCGGCAGGGAGGAAAGGGCCTCTCGGTGGCTCCTGCGAGTGGCCTGGCAGACGCCTGAGCCAGGGTAGACAGCGAGGAGTCGCGGGCAGAGATTTTGCTGGTCTATCTGGCCTGGGTGCAGCCTGGATGAAGACAGCATGTCTGTCTGACCTCAAGCAGGGCTCGTCCCTGAGCTCAGATGTTCGCTGCCTTCCAGAGGGGAAAGGCAGTTGGGGTCAGCAGGGCACCAGGCAGAATGCACCCAGCTCCAGGTGGCAGTGTCACCTCCTGAGGGAAGACCATTAACCCCTCAAAATGGATACCATGGCCAATGGGGACTTCCAGGCTTGGCTTGGGACAGCCTTTCCTGGGGACAGCAGGTTAGTCAGAGAAACTCTACCAGAAGGCCTTGGAAGAGGACCTGGGCCAGGCAGGGTGTACACGCACAGTGAGCCTGAAACTCCCTGCCCCTCCCGCTCCCCCAGGAGTCCCAGCCAGTGGGCAGCTTCCAGACACACGGTGCCCCTTTCTGGTCCCATCCAAGGGATCCTTCCACCAGGAAAACTGAGGCTGGAGGGCATGGCAGCCTACGGGGCCATCACACCAGGCATGTTTCCCGAAGCAGGTGCGGAACATGGCCTGTCTCTGGCCTCATTGTGGGCCCACAGCCTGGGGGCTGGCCTTGGTCACGGGCCAGCTGAGACAGAAATTCGCTGATTCTCTCCCAGGCTTGGCTGAAAACAGGCGTGCCCAAGAAAAGGCGGCCACGGGTCCTCAAAGCAAGGCCCTGGCCGTTCCAGCCAGGCCATGGGGCCACACCCCCTGTACTCAGCAGTGGCACCAAGGGGTCTGCAGCCCGAGAGTGGCTGCCAAGGGCTGCCCAGCACTGGGCCACACCTCACCAAGTGCACAGTGACCAGTGCTCCAAGCTGACCACGGCACTCCCGGTCCCCATGTCCACAAGCCCCTCCTGCCGCTTTGCCCAGGTCCCAGGATACCCCACTTAAGGGCCCCAGAGGAACAGCTGACACCCCAACCCTGCAGATGGCAGGTGCATCCCACACCCCTCCCCAATCCCCCTGCGCAGCCCCGTGGCCGGGTTTAGGTTCAGGGGTACTTGCAGCCTAAGCTAGGGGTGGCATCGCCGGCTCCAAGGCTGCCTCGGTTTCTCAGGCGAGTGCTGAACTTCCTGTTGCCTTAAAGAGGGCCAACACTGAAAACAGGGAGGGTTCCCGCTGCCCAGGTCCTCCACACCACTGCCGTCCACCAGGCCCACTGTGGGGTCTCAGGACAGGGCCCTGCACACCGGGGACCTGATGAATGTCTGTAGACTCTCAGATGTCTGCTGAGGAGGCAGGGAACAAGCCTCCCATCCCGTACCAGCCTCGATCCCCGCACTGGCCCCGCAGCTCGGCCTGAGCACCGCACTCCACACGCTGCCCGGATCCCCGCACTGGCCCGGCAGCCCGGCCTGAGCACGGCACTCCACACACTGAGCTGCACAGTGTATTTTTCTCAGCAGCCACCAGAGGCACATTCACCGGTGGCGCGTCCTGGTGGGCCTCCGGGTGCCGTCACCAGGCAGCAGCCGCCCCTCCCTCCCGCCACAGTAGGTCTGTGCGGCCTGTCCGGCCCCGCTGCGTGGCGCAGGCAATTCTCCCAAACGGCTCCACTGGGCGCCTGGTGCTGGGGGCGGAGCCAGTGACCACGGGAGGGCGGGACCTCGCCCGGGGCCCAGGACCCCTGAACACAAGTCCTCCGAGCTGGAGGCTACTCCAGAACCACGGTGCCGCCCACCGCCTCCAGGGCCGCCTTGATCTTCTCCGCCTCAGCTTTGGCGACATTGGCTTTGATTTCCTGGGGCAGGGACTCCACCAGCTTCTTTGCCTGCCAGAGAGAGCAAAGTCAGGGACTGGGGGCCCTGGCCACCACAACGGAACCTGCCTCGGAACCCCCACCGCGGCACAGACCTGGACGAGGTTGATGCCTTGGATGTAGTTCTTGATTTCCTTGATCAGCTTCACTTTGTCCACGGGCTTCGCCTCGGTCAGGCGGACGGTGAAATGTGTCCGTTCTTTCGCTATGGGGATATCTTCTTCCACCGCCTTAGGGAGCAGGAAAGAAGGGGAGCCAGGTGACAAAGGGCTGGGGGGAGCTAACGCCTCCACTGCTGGGCCACCCCAGTCTAAAGCCCCAAAGGGAGGTGCAGCGGAGGCCCCAGCGAAGCCTGGAGTTGGAAGTCACGTCTCCCAACTCATCAATCCTTAACCAGCTGGTGCTTTTTCTTTTCTTTTCTCTTTTTTTTGAGACGGAGTCTCACTCTGTCATCCAGGCTGGAGTGCAGTGGTGCGACCTCAGCTCACTGCAACCTCCACCTCCTGGGTTCAAGCGATTCTCCTGCCTTGGCCTCGCGAGTCCAGCTGGTGCTTTTTCTCTCATGCTAGTCAGAGGCAGGTCTGCCCAATAACTCTTTGTAACATGCCTCGGACGGGAGTGGTGGCTCCGGTGGCTCACGCCTGTCATCCTAGCGCTTTGGGAGGCCAAGGCGGGTGGATCACTTGAGGTCAAGTTTGAAACCAGCCTGACCAATATGGTGAAACCCTGTCTCTAGTGGTGCGCGCCTGTAATCCCAGCTACTCGGGAGGCTGCGGCATGAGAATTGCTTGAACCCGGGAGGCGGGGGCTGAGATCGCGCCATTGCACTCCAGCCTGGGTGACAGAGTGAGACTCGGTTTCATAAATAAATAAAAACATGCTTCACAGTCCTTCCCTCAATACTCTACTCCCCTCTCGCTTAGAAAGCGTAACTTATGAGACAGGAAAGAACGACACCAAAAGTGCTTTGTAGATAAAAGCAGCGCCATTCCTTTCTCAGCCACACTGCAGTGCACGTGTGCCGAGAAAATGACAACCCGCCATGGGACTGACGGGCACGCTGCGCTTCTGACGTGGCGCATGGAGACCCAGCACCACCCGAGGGCAGGGGGCTGCGTGTCCCCACGGCCTGGGAAGGCTATTAATAACATCTTCTCCCTCCTCAAAAGCAATCCAGTTTACACAACAGGCTCTACAGTAATCCCAGCTATTCTTACCCAAACGCTCGGCCTGAATCTAATCAGCCTTTAAACTACCTTCCAGTTCTCAGGCATGAGTGATGCTGCCCCATGGGCACCCCACGCATCTGGAACATGGGACACTCTACAGTACACAACCTGGTTCCCCAGTGGGGGAAAGGGGCTGAGGGGAGGGCTCCGGTGGAGAGGTTCACGCAACCCGATGACCAAACGCAACTGGCGGCTTCAAGTTCACTGGTTTCCTTGCAAAGACCCAAGGACGGAGCTGCTTGTTACACCCCTTCGCCTGCGCCAGCCTGTACCTCGCTGCTGCTCCCTGAATTGTCAGACACCCTCTTGCCTGGTGACCTTGGTGCCTCCCCGTCCTCCGCCAGGAAGGCCGTGCTCTCTTCTACAATGTCTGCCTCCTCTTTGAAGCCCACCTTGAACTTGGAACTCTCCCTCCCACCTTGAGCCTCTTCCCTCCTTTTCCCCACAATGCTTACAATGTTCTATTTGGTATAATTTCTTCCTTTCTTTTTCCTCTTTTTTTTTTTTTTTTTTTTTTGAGACAGGGTCTTGCTCTGTTGCCAAGTTGGAAGGCAGTAGTATGATCTTGGCTCACTGCAACCTCCGCCTCCCTGGTTCAAGCAATTCTCTTGCCTCAGCCTCCCAAGTAGCTGGGATTACAGGCACCTGCCACCACGCCGGCTAATTTTTGTATTTTTATTTATTTATTTATTTTTATTTTTATTTATTTATTTTGTTTGTTTGTTTGAGACAGTCTCCCGGGTTCAAGCTATTCTCCTGCCTCAGCCTCCCGAGTAGCTGGGATTACAGGCATGTGCCACCAGGCCCAGCTAATTTTTTTTTTTTTGTATTTTTAGTAGAGACGGGGTTTTACCATGTTGGCCAGGCTGGCCTCGAACTCCTGACCTCAAGTGATCCACCCGTCTCGGCCTCCCGAAGCGCTGGGATTACAGGCGTGAGCCACCACGCCCAGCCTCTTTTTCCTCTCTCAGCTTAGTGTCTGTTTCCCTCCATTAGAAACATGGTCTCCACATGCAAAGTCGTGCACATCCGTGGCAGGGAGTAGGTCCCAGGAGGCTGCAGGATGCCGCACAGGTGTGCAGGCTGCAGACAATGACGGTAGCTGCAGAACCTGAGATACGGGACCACGGCACATGAGGCCACAGGCGAACTGGGCACCCCAGAAATGCCTCATTCTGCCCAGGACTCACCTCCTGGGCTGCTGCAGCAGGGACAGCCCCAGACATCACACCACCCATCGGCACAAGCCCGACATCCTGGATCTTCAACGTTTTCTGCAGAGATAGAGAACAGTGTCCACAGCTGGCCCTCACACCAGCCGGAACCTACTGAGGAGGGGCAACTAGCCTGGCATGGACCTTGCACCTGGACAAACACACTTTTGACAATTTACCAAACTCCCAAAATACACCAGGAACAAAACACAGGGGCCCTGAAACTTCCAGCCCCTGGGTCTGTGCCACCCTCTCACGATACCTTCAGGAGCTCGTTGAGGTCTGAGATTTCCAAGAGAGTGAGGCTGGCGATGTCCTGGACCAGCTGCTGTATCTTGGGGGGGTACTCCTTGGGGGCGTTATCCAGGGGTGCACCAGCGAGGGCCTCACACCTCTGATGGCCGCTGCTCCTCATATGTCGCACGGCACAGACACATGGCACCTGTCGCCTAGCCCCCACCCCCAATTAAAACAGACTTGTCAGTCCTGGAATGGAAGGGGCTGCAGAAACCAGAGGGGCAGGACAACTGGGGGACTGGTGGGTGCCATAAGCTCAGGCTGGTAATCACTAGGGCCGGAAATTACCTAGCTCCTTGGTCCCAGTCCAGGGTTCTCAGACCTCAAGGGGTCCGTATTGATAAGATTTGCAAGTTACTTTAAATTCTTCAAAGAGCCTTAGAAAGCCACGTGTTTATTTGCAGCCATACCACTCAAACCTCAAGTTTCTGGTTTGAATGAACTACATCAACCCAGCGGTGGCGAAACTATTACTTAGGTGCATCTTCCTGCGCAAAGCCTCCCAAAACATGGGGGCCCCTGGCCGCAAAACGCCGCACCCACGGATGGGCCTTTGCTGCGGAAAAGGCTGAGGCCAAGGGAGGAGCAGGGAATCGTCCAAGGTCATCTGGGGCCGACCCCGGCGCTTTCCACGGCCCAGGAGGGAAGGGGCGTGCGCACCGGGAGGCCTCCTCCCCGCGCCCCCGATGGGACCCCCAAGCCCGGCCTGGCCGCTGCAGGGAGGCCGGCCCCGCCGCCCTCCTCGCCCGGATCGACCCCTCAGTGCCCGGCTGCCCCCTAACCCGCCTGCCGGCCCGGACCGCCCCAGGATCCCGCGTACCTGGCAAGGCGGAACGCAGCGGCCCGAAGCCCAAGGCAAGGCCCCCACAGGGGGCGAGCGGCCGCCGGCAGCATCGGTCCGCGGGCTGGAAGGTCACACGCGGTTCCCCGGGAGGAGGCGACGCTCTAGCCGCCTCGGCCGCCGGGCATTCGAGCTGGGGAGGAACGCTCTAGCCGCCACGGCTGCCGGGCATTCGAGCCGGAAATGACGCTCTAGCCGTACCTCGCGCTAGCCTCGTCTCACCCTGAGATTACCCACAAGGCGGCGCGCTGCGCAGACGCAAAAGCGTCGTCTGTGGCGGCAGCTAGACATCGGGCGACCCTCGTCCCGCCAGGTTTTGGGGTCGCGCAAACGAGCGACGGGGGCTGGGGCTCCGGATTCAGGTGTTCTTTCTTCAGCGCTCACGGGTTTCTGTCCGTACGCGATGCGAGCGAACGTCGCGGTCGAGGCTAGGGCCCCGAAGCCCGCAGTAATCCACGTCTCCCGCCCGCTCCGGGCCCCCAGTGCCGCCGTCGCGGGCGGAGGCGCGAGGTCTGGGCTTTGGCGCCTTCGCAGCCGCAGGCGACATCCTCTTTCCTAGCTAAAGCCCCAAACGCCCAGGTGGCTTCCTGGGAGAGCACGGCTGAGCCTCCGCCTTCAGATCAGAACAGGCAGAGCCTCCAAGGGCGGCTTGGGCCCAGTGCCTGCTTATCCTGCCCGTCTCTCCACACTTCTTCTTTCCCTGTCCGTTGGAGTCCATTCCTTCCTGGAAAAGCCAAAGCCGCGCTCCCCTAAGAGGCCTGGATGTGAAGGTGAGTGAGACGCCCTGGCCTCTGGGTGCAAAGGCCGGCGCCTGCCGCTTTCAACACTCAGGAGGCGCGTTTCAGCCCCGCTGGCCCCCGGCCGCAGACTCGGAGCGCTGAGCTCCCACCGTTCCCATCACCCGACTCCCTTCCCAGGAATGAGGAGCACCCGGGAAGCTTCAGCCACTACACGAAGGAGGCGCCAAGCCCAAACTCCTCCCCAGCTACCGGCGGGGTCAGTGCAGAGCCGCGGAGGGCACACATGAACCCTGGCACGCAGCCTCAGGGAGGGGCAGGCTGGAAATGACCCTGCCTGCAGCTGGGCCATCAGCCTGACCACCTGCCCCCTGAGCAAACGTTGATGCAGGTCGGGCGCGGTGGCTCATGCCTGTAATCCCAGCACTTTAGGAGCCCGAGGCAGGTGGATCACCTGAGGTTAGGCGTTCACGACCAGCCTGGCCAACATGGTGAAACACCGTCGCTACTAAAAATACAAAAACTAGCCAGGCATGGTAATGGGGTGCACCTGTAGTCCAGCTACTCGGGAGGCTGAGGCCCGAGAATCGCTTGAACCCAGGAGGCGGAGCTTGCAGTGAGCGGAGATCACCACTCCAGCCTGGGTGACAGAGTGAGACTCCATCTCAAAAAAATTAATTAAAGAAAAAACGCTGATGCTTTCTGAAATACATTTTATTATCGCTGTACCATTCTGGGGCACTGGAGATGGCAGCTGAGAAGCAGAGAAGCTGGAGACCTGAAGCCTCCACCCTTGGCTGTGGCTGCCGAGAGAGGCCCCTGCAGAGGGAGCCCCAGGCCACACCCAGACACCACAGCCAGCTCACAGTGCGGCCAGAGGGCACAGGCTGCTTGGGGGGTGAGGGTCCCCATTCCTGCCACCTCTCACAGACCATGACCCACAGGGCTGGGGGCTTCCCCTGGGAGAAAGTCCTTCCCTCCCCATGGCCCAGCCCTGGGGAAAGAAAGCAGAGACTAACTCAGGGACTGCAGTAGGCTGAGGACAAGGGAGGTGGGCTTGGGGTGAAGGCCCCCCCTCACTCGCAGAGAAGGGACACTACCGGCAGTAGAGGACAGGGAGGCAGGACGACGGCAGTTAGAGACGAGGCGTTTCAGGTGAACTGTATGTAGTGTTACTCCGGACGTGAGCATGGCCTGGGTCAGTCGAATGAAATGAGCTGGGCCTCGCTGCCCTGTGCCGGCGGCCCCTGTGCCTGCGGTTGCTGGGCCACGGGGGGCTGCTGCTGGGGGGGACCGCCAGAGGGTGCCATCTGTGCAGGAGGAAAGCAGGCATGGCCCTGGTCCTCCCTTCCCCAGCCCAGGGAGGAAGGCTTTTGTCCCAGCAGAGCCACAGACCCACAAGTGCTTGTAATCCATGTCCACGGACTGCAGCTCATGCAGCCAGCTCATGCGGCCTTTGCCTTTCAAGTAAATTCACGGTTTTTCCTGTCTACACTTGCGGATGCGCGTATCTGCCCTGAGACTTGTGTCCTCGTTCTGTCTGCTGAGAAGGGGCCTCGGGTATGCGTCTCCCCCTGTGAGCAGACGTACGGGACAATCCCCACTGGGGCCAGGGGTCCCATTGCTAAACCGTGAAGCCTGAGGGTGCCCTGCGGGTGCCGCTGTGAGGCCCCGGGAATGGCTCACCTGCTGGTACATGGGCTGCTGCCCCGCGATGTAGGGCTGCTGGGGTGGCAGAGACGCATCCTGGCTTGGGAGGGTGGTCATGAGATTCTGTTGTGAGAAGACGTCAGATGTGAGAGAGTAGCCCTGTGACCAGGCAGGCGGGGATGTTTCTGGCTTGCAACAATCCAAAGGTGACCACAGGGAGCACCCAGAGAGTGGAGGGGGAGGAGCAGAAGGGGTGGAGCCCACCCAGTGCCTGCCAGCCTCACCAAAGGACCCTCAGCATCATCAACTGCTCCCCCACCCTGGCCCCCAGCAGGGCCTGGAGGTCACTGTACCTGCATGTTGTAAGGCTGGTAGCCCATGGAGACTGACTGGCTCCCCATGTAGCCCATGGTGCTGGACTGCGGAGGCTGAGAGATGGCCGGGAGGCTCTGTGGGGCCTGGGAGGCCACGTTCTGCGGAGGGAATGAGTGCCATGGGAGAAGGGGCTGGGGCTGGGGCTGGGGCTGGGGCTGGCCCTGGAAGGAGAGGAGCGGCCTTCCTGTGTACCTGGTAGCCCGCTGTGGGAGTAGGCTGGTAGGATGAGTAAGCGGGGCTGGCGGTGGGTCCGGCCTGGGCCTGGGGGGCCGCCTGCGCCCCAGTGGCCCCTGCTGGGTACATGTAGGCACTCACCATGCTGGGATCTGTGACAAACAAGACAGGGGAGATGGTTCAGCCAGGGCAACAGGGAGGAGAGGAAGGGACACCCTACTCTTGAGTTTTACTTTTTTTTTTTTTTTTTTGAGATGGAGTCCTGCTCTGTCACCAGGCTGGAGTGCAGTGGCACAATCCTGGCTCACTGCAACCTCTGCCTCCCGGGTTCAAGCGATTCTCCTGCCTCAGCCTCCCGAGTAGCTGGGATTACGGGCGTACGCCACTACGCCCGGCTAATTTTTTTTTGTACTTTTAATAAAGATGGGGTTTCATCATGTTGGCCAGGATTGTCTTGATCTCCTGACCTTGTGATCCGCCCGCCTCGGCCTCCCAAAGTGCTGGGATTACAGGCGTGAGCCACCGCGCCCGGCCGAGTTTTACTTTTTTTTTGAGATAGTCTGTCACGCAGGCTGGAGTGCAGTGGCGCGATCTCAGCTCACTGCAACCTCTGCTTCCTGGGTTGAAGCAATTCTCCTGCCTCAGCCTCCCGAGCAGCTGGGATTACAGGCGTGCACCACCACACCCAGCTAAGTTTTTGTATTTTTAGGAGAGACGGGTTTCACCATGTTGGTCAGGCTGGTGTCAAACTCCTGACCTCAGGTGATCCACCCGCCTCGGCCTCCCGAAGTGCTGGGATTATAGGCGTGAGCCACCGCCCGGCCAGGAGTTTTCCTTTTTGTTGTGACTTTTGGAACCAAGTTCAGGTTTCACGTTTCTAAAAAAAAGGAACATAGGCGGGGCGTGGTGGCTCATGCTTGTAATCCCAGCACTTTGGGAGGCCGAGGCAGGCGGATCATGATGGCAGGAGTTCGAGACCAGGCTGTCTAACATAGTAAAACCCTGTCTCTAATAAAAATACAAAAACTAGCTGGGCATGGTGGCAGGCGCCTGTAATCCCAGCTACGCAGGAGGCTGAGGCAGGAGAATTGCTTGAACCTGGGAGGCGGAGAATGCCGTGAGCTGACGTCGCACCACTGCACTCCAGCCTGGGCGACAGAGCGAGACTTCGTCTCAAAAAAGAAGATAAACCAACAAGGATGGGAGGAGAATCCTAGAATGGAATGAAATCAGAAAAAATGAACCAAACTGTATTTGAAATGAGTGACATGGTCTGACCAATGGGATGGGATAGTGAATTCCAGTAACTTCTGAACCCAAAATCTGGACTCCACGGCCTCAGGCTACAAATGACAAGAACTACAGACAAATGTTACACTCCAGTTAGGAGGCATCGTCTCCACAGTGGGCCAGGTTAGCATTCTTAAAACTACTTTTTGTGTATTCTAGGGCTGAGCAATTGAGTATATTGAAAACAATGCAAAAGAAAACTGTGCTATTGGATTAAAATTGCAAGTACTGGAATTAACTCATGGATTTTTTTTTTTTTTTTGAGACGGAGTCTCGCTCTGTCACCCAGGCTGGAGGGCAATGGCATGATCTTGGCTCACTGCAAGTTCCACCTCCCAGGTTCCAGTGATTCTCTTGCCTCAGCCTCCCAAGTAGCTGGGATTACAGGTGTGCACCATCACGCCTGGCTAATTTTTGTATTTTTAGTAGACGGGGTTTCACCATGTTGGCCAGGCCAGTCTCCAACTCCTGACCTCAGGTGAGCCACGCGCCTTGGCCTCCCAAAGTGTTGGGATTACAGGCATGAGCCACCGCACCTGGCTGCACTCACGGTTTTTATCATATACAAAGACGCATGTATTCGCACATACACAGACGCACCCACAACTGTGCACTTGTATTCACATACACACTTTCCAGCTCTGTCTGCTAACAACCTAGAGCTGTGAGCACACCCAGAATCTTGATCTTGGCTTCTAACCAAGATCCAGACCACCCTCCACTAAAGGGAACAAGGGCTCCTTGGAGAAATGGCTGCTTCCAGGGTTGAGAACATACAAGACGAGCACAGAGTATCTAGCAACAGAAACTCAGGAGCAACCCAAACCAATGGCCCTACGCAACAGAGAAGCCACTGACGCCTCCCATGGCCACACCTGGGAAACTTTGAGCATCAAAGTAACGGGGCTGGGCACGGTGGCTCACACCTGTAATCCCAGCACTTTGGAAGGCCGAGAAGGGCGGATCACTCGAGGTCAGGAGTTTGAGGTCAGCTTGGGCAACACAGAAAGACCTCATTTCTACATTTTTTTTGAGATGGAGTTTCACTCTGTTGCTCAGGCTAGAGTGTGGTGGTGCAACCTCGGCTCACTGCAACCTCCACTTCCCGGGCTCAATTCATTCTCTGCCTCTGCCTCCCGAATAGCTGGGATTACAGGCACGTGCCACCACGCCCACCTAATGTTTGTATGTTTAGTAGAGACAGGGTCTCACCATCCTGGCAGGCTGGTCTTGAACTCCTGACCTCATGACCCACCTGCCTCAGCCTCCCAATGTGCTGGGACTACAGGCGTGAGCCACCGCACCCAGCCCTTTTTTTTTTAATTAGCCAGGCATGGTGGTGCAATCCTGTAGTCCCAGCTACTCAAGAGGCTGAGATGGGAGGATTGCTTGAGCCCAGGAGGTCGAGGCTGCAGTGAACCATGATCATGGCACTGCACTCCAGCCTGGATGACAGCGAGACTCTAAAAATAAAGAGTGATGACAGAGGAGTGTCACCTTTGAAAGAAAAAATAAACACGTCTCCACGCTGCTGTGACTGACGATAAGCAGGAGAGTGGGGAAGAGTACCTCCCGCCAGTGGAAAGACAACAGCAGAATTAGAAGGCGCTATTTGGCAAACACCGTAATAAACACAGGCAACATTAGCAAAAAATGCTAGACCTTGAGGAGTCCCAGGGTATTTGGAAGGCCTCCCCCAAGAGACATCTGTAAAGGGCAAAACAGTCACTTCACAGTGAAAACCCCTGGCAGACCCCGTCTCAGCCGAACGGCCAGCAATGGGACTGACGGGATGCACGTCACCTCGGCTGCCACTCTGAGAAAAGCACAGCCTTATGGTCACCGCGTGGAGACACCAGACAAACCTGAGCTGAGGACGGTCTGCCGAATGACAGGCCAGTGCTCTTGGGACAGTAGATGTCACAAAACACAGAAGCTGACTGGGGAACACTCTAGATTAAAGGCGGGGGGGGGGGGGGCAAATGCCACGCAGCAGGGGGCGTGCTGTTTACAGGACACCACTGGGACAGTCCATGAGGGCTGAGCCTGCTACAGACGAGGATCGGCAGCCCAGCACCTGCTGGTTTCAGGAAATGCTCGCTGTCGCATTCAGGGGAGAGGGCAGTACCTGCCACGCACGGACTGAAACACGGCTCCAGCAGGAAAGCCTGTGTGAGTGCGTTTGCATGGAAACAGGAAAAAGCAGGGACAACATTCACATCGGGGCAACTGGGAAAACCCTTCGCACCATTCTTACTGCTTTTCTGTAAATTCGGCTAAAATAAAGACGAGGGATAAAAGGCATGGTCTCTGCCCCGACCCGTCCTTACCAGCCGCAGTGCTGGGCATGCTGGGGTAGGGGCCAGCGGCAGGGGCCGGCTGGCTCATGTACACGCCGTGCATTGGGGAGCCCTCCACCGAGCCGGCAGGGCTGAAGGTGCTGGGGAAGCTGGCTGGTCCCGAGGGCTGGTAGAGCACACCTCCGGCTGCGGGCATGGCCTGGAGCTGGGGACAAAAGAGACAGCGGTGAGAGTTGGTCCTCAGCCCACAAGCCTCTGGGTGGCGGGAGGATGGCACATGCCTGGGCGTAGGGCAGGGGGAAGGCGGGCATCTGCGCGCGCATCTGGACCGTCTGCTTCTGCTGCTCCAGCCGCATCTGCCGCTCCTTCTCCTGCTCCTGCAGGCGCTGGATGGCCAGCTGCCTCTGCACCTCCAGGTACTCCTGTGCGGCAAAAACATGCTGGTTATGCTGCGAGGTCCCCCAGCCGGCCCCGGCCTGTGGCTGGGCAGCCACTGCACCTGCTTCTTCTGCCGCATTATCTCCAGCTTCTGGGCCAGCTGGATCTGGCGCTGGCGCTCTGCCTCCTCGGCTGCCCGGCGAAGCTTCTCCCGGTGCTCTTCGCGCAGGGCACTCAGCGCCCCCCGGGCATCGCGGATCTGTGCCAGCTTGTCCTGCAGCCCCTCATAGTACACTGTGGGCAGATGACAGAGCAACCCTGACCACTCCGGCACAGTGCCGAGAAGCTCCTGGGTGGAACGGACACGCAGATGGGCCGCCCTGTGCCCAACCTTCTGCAGAGGGCTCTGAAGGTGCTGGGCTCTGGGGGAGGCAGGCAGAGGGTCCTGGGCAGGGCAGGGCAGGGCAGGGCAGGGCAGGGCAGGGCATGGTCATCACTGAGACCACCTCCTGTTGACACTCTCTGGAGGAAGCCACGGCCCCAATGAAGGACTCACAAGAGCTCAGCACCCTCAGGGGAGGCCCTGGCCCAGGATGGCGCTCACAACACCTGGCTGCCCCTGAGCCGAGGCCCCGTGGCGCGGGCACCTACGCCTGCGCTCGTCCAGCTGGTTGAGCAGCTCCAGCAGCTGCGGGTGCATGCCGTTGATGGACTGGAAGAGTGAGAGCACGGCCGAGTCATTGGTGATGCTGCGGCCCCGCATGTGGTTACTCTTCATGCGGTTCACGAAGGTGGTGACGGCGTTCTGCAGCGCCTTCAGGAACTGCTCGTGGCTCTCCTCAGACTCGCCATTGTGGAACTGTGGCTGCAGGCAGAGCAGGGTTCTGGATGAGTGCGGCCACGCCCCAGCCAGCCTCCCTGGTGGGGCCTGGGATGGAGGCACCCAGCTATACTCAAGCCTGGAGCAGAGTCCATCTGCTCCTTATGCAAGCAGCCCCTTCTACAGCTGAGGAAGGCGAGGCCCTGGAGGCGGGGTCCTTGTCCAGCTGCAAGCCCTGGTCAGGACGGAGCTGGCTCAGGGCCCCACTGCCAGCTCCCTCTCCAGGGACCTGTGCTCTGACAGCCAACCAGCCCACAAGCCCCAGGCAACGCCAAGGACTCATCTGATGGTTCTAGGCTGCTCTGGAATATTCAGGTCCATGTTAGGTCCACAGAGAGTGGCCCGAGCTCTGGACCACAGCCTGGTGTAGAGTTTCCATTGGGAGAGGCCACAAAGGGCAGGGCAGGGCAGGCCAGGGCTGGGCTGGGGCAGACACCCTTGCTCTAGCACGGCCCTCTGGTTAGGGCAGGCACCTGTGCCATGTGCCTGGCGCTGTGGGCCAGGAGGCCATGTTTTGCCCTGGCCCGTGGAGGGAGCCACAGCTTACCTCACTAAAGGGGCCACCAGAGGGAGGAATGGGCTGAGAGTCTGTCTCCGGGAGGGGGTTCTGGAAGAGAGAGAATGAGTGGGGCCTCCAACCTGTCCCGCATCCACCCCTTCCAAGGGACCCTGCCACTAGGAATGCCGGGAGTGGCCCCCTCACCTCCACCACGTTGGTGGGGGCTGCGTGCCCTTCCCCAGGCTGTGCAGCCGGCTCCGTCAGGGGCACGGGCGCAGATGGCGTGGGGCTCTTGCGAGCCTCCTCCTGCTTCTTCTCCCAGTAGTTCCGGTTGAGATACCGTGCGAGCTGCAGGCAATGAGGGGGTCACTCCCAAGGCCAGAAACCGTGAGAGGATGCACCCCATGCTGGGCCTTACCTCAGGGTCGATGTCCTCAGCCAGAGGCGCCGACGAGTTCTGGGGAGAAAAGGGCATCTGAGTCTCACAGGTGACAGAGCCAGTTGCTTCGGCAGGGACAGGGATGTCCCCAGTGCGACAGATCCTGGAGACCAGAGCCGCAGCCTGGGCCCTCCCTCCGTGCCCTCCTCTGGTTCCTGGCATCTGAGCAGCCATCTTTTCTCCTCTTCCAGATGCTTAGAACTCCACAGAGGCTGACAGCACTGCCGTCCTACAAGGCTCCTAACCTTGCTATGGGAGGAACAGGGTGGCACTGGGCCAGCCCTGGGGCCTCAAGGTGGACACTGGACAGCCCCCACGGTCCAGCGTGTGGGGCCCCAGCCGACAGCCCGGAAGGAAGGGAAGAAGGGAAGGGGTGGCTCACTGGGGCAGGGCTGTTCTGCACCCCTGGGCCTGCAGCGGCCTGGCCACTCCACGGAACCTACAAAATGACTTTCTCAACCTGCTGTCCCCGACCCAACCCCCTGCAAAACAGGCTGCCTCTTCACCCTCTACTGAGAGCGGGGCTGAGGCCAGGGAGAGGTGACGTGGATGCCCCAGAAAGCAAGTCCTTCAGTTCCTGTGGGGCGGGAGGGGTGTGGAAGAGACGGGGTCTCACCAGCAAGGCGCCTCCCCCACAGCCTGTCCCATGTCCTCAGTCCCAAGGGCCGAACCAGGGACCAGGAGCAACGGGTGCCTGGAGCCGTGGGGCTCTGCCCTGATGTCCGCCCGTGTGCTGGGGCTGTCCTCTCTGGGAAGCCCGGGGACCCGCATCCCCCACCAACCTGACTAAATCAGCTCAGGGACCCGCGTCCCCCATCAACCCTACTGCCTTCCAGGAGAGGGAGCTCCAGCCCAAGGGCCGCTCACCACAGGTGAAGAGTACAGGCTGCTGGCGGGGGGCGCTGAGGAGGCCGAGGGCATGGGCTCCGCCTTGGGGTACGAAGTGTACGTGGACTTCTGTCTCTGAGGCAGAATCAGAAGGGGCGTCACTTGGGTGCACGTGACGCCCCTCCGGCCCCACCGCAGCACATCCAGGGGAGCTGGGCCCCTCCTGAGGCCGCCCCGCCCCACCCGGCTTACCAGCCTCTCCTTCTCCTCCGCCTCTGACTGTGACAGCGCCAGGGCCAGCTGCAGCTCCTCCTCCTCCTGCAGGGCCGTCTCGTCCCTCTTGGGGGGCAGCTGAGGACAAGCGGGGAGGGTGAGGGGGGGCGCCGGGGAAGAGGTGCCCACGGGACGGAGGGGGCTGAGTACCTGGGACTGCTGAGACAGGGGGCTGGTCAGGTACTCGGGGGGCAGCTCAGTGGTGGAAGTGGCCTTTCCCTCCGCTTTCCTGTGGGCACAAGGAATGCTGCAGGTCACCATGCGCTGACACCGCCCTGCCCCCGCCAAAGCTCTCAACCACACCTCTGCGGGCTCCTCTAAGTGTCCCCACAGAGTGAGGACAGTGGTTCCACAGCCACAGGTGTCCGAATGGCCACACTCCAGAGCAGAGCAGGGCAGGACTCGAGGGCATCACACCAGCCACAAGGGCTCGGGTGAGTCCCTCAGGGTAAGCCCCAGTTCCTCTCCTGAAAATGGACATTCAGGACACCAGCCCGGCCTGCGAAGACCTTCCTACGGCACTCGGGAAACCAAACACAGCACCGCCACTGTGGGACGGGCCCCACCCAAGAAGGGGCAAACAGGTCAGTGACTGTCATGCCCAGTAAGCTCTTCCGGGGCGCCCCAGGCAGTCCAAGGGCCGCAGGCTCACAGCATGGTCGCAATTTCCAACCACGCACGCTGACCTTTGACCTGGGGCTCTTTTCTTTTTTTTTTATTTGAGATAGAGTCTTGCTCTGTCGCCCAGGCTGGAATGCAGTGGCGCCATCTTGGCTCACTGCAATCTCCGCCTCTCAGGTTCAAGTGATTTTCCTGCCTCAGCCTCCCGAGTAGCTGGGACTACAGGCATCTGCCACCAAGCCCGCTAATTTTTGTATAAAATACAAAAATTTTAAGTATAAAATACTTAAAAAGTAGAGACGGGATTTCACCATGTTGGCCAGGATTGTCTTGATCTCTTGGCCTCGTGATCTGCCCGCCTCAGCCTCCCAAAGTGCTGGGATTACAGGCATGAGCCACCGTGCTCGGCCGACCTGGGGCTCTTTCCTAAGAGAAAAGTCCACACCGAGGCAGACCTGCACAGCCCCCAGCACAGGGAAACGGCAGCAAGTGTGTGTGAAGGCAGGAATGGCGCTGGGATGCCCTGCCATGGAGCCGCTGGCTCACAGCAGACTCACGCTTGTGGGCAGTGGCTGCGACGGACGGGACTTGACGTGGCTCAAGGCAAGTTCTTCTCAGTTACAAGAAGGAAAAGGAACTTTCCGGGCAGCGGCCCATCACCGGACATGGCTGGCTTGGATGGGATGTCCTGAGGAGGGCATGGCCTCACTCCTGAGCTTCCCGAACCTAAGCAGGTGGGAGCCTCAGACCTGAACAGGGGGCCAGGTGGCCACGGCCTGACCTCCCAGAAATGTCCACGGAGCGAGACAGGGAGGCAGTGACACGTTCCAGGAAAAGGGAACCAAGCAGGGAGCACGGCCCACATACGAAACACACGCAACCCAGGCCAGACCCACAGCGACGCTGCTGGGACCACGGCAGAAATGGAACGTGGACCACAGAGCAGAAGCCAGCACTGGGTGGCAGCGCAGTCCCGAGTGACTGCTGTGGCCATGAGAGCACTGTCCCTCTCAGAGATCACAGGCGAAGATCTGAGTGCCAAGGGGCATGACATCTGCACTCATGCAAATTCAAAATAAAACCTGTGTGAACACACGCACGCGCAGGAGAGGGGAGGCAGAGTAAACTCTGCGACAAAACACCGACCGCCGAGGCACCGGCCGCGGCCCCGCAGGTTCCCACCGCTGAGGCACTGGCCGCGGCCCCGCAGCTTCTCTGTGCTACTCTTGCAACTTTTCTGTAAGTTTTATTCCGAAAGTTGAAATGCAAACAAACCCAAACCCAAACCCAAGCAACAGGTTTGTCGGGGCAGCCTCGGTCCCTGGAGCCGCGGCGCCCTGTCTCTCACACCCACCTGCCCTAGTGTGGGGCAGGGTCCGAGGGCATGCGGCCACCCTGGGTTTCCCTTGACCTTCCAGCTGCTGTGCTGTGAGGGTCCTCTGGGGTCTGCAGGCCTCAGGCACCATGGCCAAGAGGGACAGAAAACCCAGCCTGGAGAGCCTGCCCCACCTGCAGCCCAAATGGGGGGCGGGGACTCACCTGTTCAGCTGCTCGTAGCAGGGCTCACACACGCGCACCTCCTTCTCGATGCCAAACTTGGGGATGGTGGAGTACTTGGAAGAACACTTTCCACAGAATATCTGCCCACACGCCCGGCAGTGGTGCTGTAAGATGGGGCGGGCGGGCCTGGTCACAGGCACTGGGGGACCCTGATGCGCCACCCGGCCCAGAACCACCCCGTACGATGCCGAAGCTGGGCCTCACAGGTGGGGGAAGGCAAGGGACAAGCAGAACAAGTGCCTGGGAAGACCCTAAGGCCGGGGAACCTGGACATGCTCCCGGGAGTCTCAACGCCAGCCACCGTTTTGGGGAAAATAAGGTAAGTTAAAAGTAAGGGCAAGGAAAAAATACACATCAATTCTGCTGATAAAACAAGAGCTTTTGTGAGTGCAGTGGGTGCTGGAAGCTGCTGACACCCCAAACCCCAAGCACTGCCGGTTGCCAGCCTGGAGGGGGTTTTGATGTGAAGATGCCTCGAGGGTAAGAATCCAGATGGGCTAAGCCACAAAGAGAAGGGGGCCCCACGGCCCTGGCAAGCAGCAGAGTGACTGTGGCAAGGCCTGTAGCCCTAGGTTTAAAACATTATAATTCCAGAGTGAGGCTGGGCCCGGCCCAGGCAGTGGCATCAGGCCCTTACGTGGGCCCTCACTGTCCCCCTCCTGACGCCACACTGCCACCCGCTGCGAGCTGCACTCACCTCCTGAACCACCCACCAGGAAGGAAAGGCCCAGCAGGGACGGTGGCCTTGTGCACGGCAGGGGACCTGGTGTCTGGCCGGGGCTGTAGAGCCCCCCAGGTGGGAACTCACCTTACGGGTCATCACCCCGAACTGCACCCTGCAGCGGTGGCATTCCTCAGCGTCCACCCAGTCTGGGGCCTGAGGAGGGGCAGCAGTCAGGACCACACGCTTCCCGCCCCACCAGCCCCAGAGGCACAGAGCCTCCCCTGCCCCACAGAAGGCAACGGACCCAGAGAGGACCCCAGCACGAGCGAGAGCAATGCCCCGGGCGGCCCTTCCCAGCGGCGTGGCCTGGGGTGAAGCTGCCGAGGCCTGAGGAAGGGACTTCCTTCCTCATCAAAGGTGCTTGTTTTCCTTTCCCGAGCCCCCTAGCCACTCTAAAGGCCCTCAAGCCACGTCTCCACCTCGCCCTGCAGAGACAGCTGCTACGCCTCCGCCCAGGACACACAGGCATCCTCAGGTCCCAGACAGACGAGAGCTCAGCCACCAACCCTCAAACAAGCCGGGCTCCCAGCACTCCCCTTCACGCTTCCTGAGCAGCCCGACTCCAGAACCCCTGGCGGCCGCCCACACTCACTCTCTCGGCAGCAAACATGGCATCGCTCTCTTTGAATTCTGGAAAGACGTGCCCTGGAGAGATGAAGCCATAGTCACTGCCTGCTCCCACCTGGCCTGCAAGACTTCCGGGAGCCCCTTCCTCACTCTCGGCAGCTGCAACGCAGCAGTGACCGTGCACCCAAGTGAAGGTGTCTGGGGGCACCGAGACAGCCTCCTGCCCCCAAGATTGGGTGTCCCCATGGGGCCTCTGTCCTCACTGTGGCGGGAGACAAGAGCCAGGCCCTGCTGCCCTCTTCCTGAGACACTGCTCCCACTCCATCAGGGCATGAGGCCCCTGCGTGGCCCCGCCTGCTGAGTGGCTCCCTCACCCTCTGCTCTCTGGCCAGGGCTCCCACTGATCCTGAGGACAAGACCTTGAGCTATTCTTGACACACGACCCCAGAAAAAATCCAGGAGAGCTCCCACCCCAGGAAGGAGACAGGAGCACAGACCACCAGCATCCACCACCCCAAAGTTGAGGGTCCAAGGCAGCTCGTGCAGCGCCCCCTGCGTTCTTCCCGTGTTCTCCACACTGGTCCTGCCCACCCTGCAGCCACAGGGCAAGCGTCCAACTCCTGCAGCGGGGACGCACCACCCCTGGAGCCTGCCCCATTCCCCACGCTCTCAGCCTCGTCTTCAGCAGACTCAGGGCCACAGAGAACCCGCACAGATGTGAGCAGCCATGCCCACCTCTCTCTCACTGAGTGGGCCCTGAGCACCAGCCAAGACTCCCAAATGCATCCTGAAGCCCCCACCTCTCTCTACACAATCCCCTAGTTCTCCACGGCCACAATGGCCGAGAGGGACCCTTAAGAAACACACCTTGGCAGCCACGACCTAGACGAAAACCCACCAGAGGCCTCCTGCTGCGCTGACAGCAACCCTGAACTCCAGCCCAACAGCCTGGAGGCCCTCGGCGCACAGGCCCGGCTGCACTCTCCTCTGGCACGCTGGCCACCTTTCTGCCCTGGGGCCTCAACCCTGAGTGTCTGCCCACGGGTGCTGCCTGCCTGCTCACGCCGGCTCTGGCTTCTGTTCCAGTCTCGACACTTGGGACAGCTCCTTCAGAGGCCTTCCCTGACTGCACAGCCCAACCCGGCCCCCAGGAGTCCTGCCACTCTGAAACAGGCTGTCTGCTGCCTTTTCACCTGTGTGTTGTCTGCCATCACTGCCTGCCCCTGCCCGTGGGCCGTGGGTCCAGAAAGGCAGGAGCCGGTCTGAACCCGCCCTCACATGCACGGTCTTCCCTGGCTCCAGGCCACCGCCCTCCTCCCTCCCAACACAGGGAACAACCCATCTTCCCAGGCCCCTCGCCACTGTGCCCGTTGAGCCTGACTGCCCAGCAGTTCCAAGCCTCAACCTGGTCCCAACCTCAGTCCTGACTCACCCTCCACCTTCATGATCTGGTAGGTGTCCTGGACCACCTTGTACTTGGGCTCGTTCCGGAAGGCATGCGCCCAGGCCTGGATCAGGTACAGGATCTTGTTACGGACGTTTACCTCCACTTGTCTCTGCAGGCAGGGAGAAGGGGGTGAGGGTCGCAGGACACTCCAGGCGCCAGAGGCCTCGGTGTGAGGAAGCAGCTGGCAGACCTCAGCCTCTGAGCAGATGGGGCTGACACAGAGGCCAGGGAGGGCCCCCCGAGTGGGGCGTGGGGGCCATGCACCAACCTGTTCCCAGACCCTGAGTTCAAACCTCACGCCTGCCTCTACTTGCTGGAGCCAAACAACGCCGCGTCTCTGTGCCCCTGACCATCTGTCTCTCCCTTTCCCCACGGGACCTGCCCACCCCAGGATCCCCGGTTCCCGTCAGCCTCCAACAGGCAGGACCCGGCAGGCCTGACGGTGGCAGCGTGGTGTTGGGGCTGAGAACACAGGGGTACTGCGGGGCTCTGGCCACGCCCCTCCTTCCAGTCACAGCCGGGGAGACGCGGGGGGCAGCCGCTCCAGAAATGCCTCCAAATTCAGAGCGGGCTCCAGACCCCCTGCAGCCATCCTCTCCCCCGGTTAGAGCGCAGCCTGGCCTCGCGTCTACGGCCCTCTCGGGGACGCCGTCCCGGTGTGACGTGCAGGACGGCGTGCGATCAGAGGCTGCTGCAAGCAGGCTCCGGGGCACTTGCACCTCAGCCTAAGCTCCTTTCCAGAACCCCTCTGCATCCTCAGCGGCGCCTTCCCTTCACAGCCCTGCCTCACCCCAGAGGAGCGAACCGGCTCAGGATCTGCAGCCTGACTGAAGGAGCTCAGGAGCACCAGGGTCGGGCAGGGCCAGACTCCGGCACCTTCCGCCTCTCAGCCAGGACAGGACGGGACAGGAAGCCAGCCAAAGTGGCCAGTGAGGGCCTTTGAGAGGCCTGGCTGTCCACCGGGATCCCCGGGCAGGTTCTCAGCTGTGTGAGTCCAGGGAGTCTCCTATGAGACCCAGGTCTGGCCCACAGGTTGGGACAGAAGGGGAGCAGCCTGACTACATGGGACACTCTTTCTCCTTGACACCTGCAACAGCATCCCCACTGCATCACAGTCCACATCACAGTCCCTGCAGGTGTCCCCAGCACAATCCCTGCAGATGTCCCCGGCACAATCTCCTGGGGATCTGGAGGGCTTTTCCTCCTCTGCCCAGGAAAGCATGAAGCCCTCGCTCTCCAAAACAGCTCTTATCCCCGCCAGACACATCCGATCTTACAAGCCCCCGCTCAGAGCCCTCCCAGGCCCCTGCCTGTGGGATGTGGCCAGCCTGCCCTCCGGACCACAGCCACTCTCACACACGATAGCCACCACCTGCCCTGCCCACCCAGTGGCATCTACTCACCTTCCCTAAGACAGCAGGTGCCCAAGCCCTGCCTCCCGGAAGCTTCCCCCAGGCCCCAGGGTCGCTGTCACCTTGGTCCTCCAGACACAGCACCCCAGGCCGGCTCCTGCTAAACCCTGACCTCCCTGGATTGGGGCTCACGGCCCTGTCTCTCCGACTCATGAGTGCGAGCTTGCGCAGTGCAGGGACCACCGATCTGCACCTGCACATTTTCCGCCACACCTGGTGCTGTTCTGTCATCAGTGCCCAGTAAACACCCGGAGAAGCAAAGGTGCCAGCCTGGGTGGCCACCCGCATGCCCCCGTCTCACCCACCTTCAGCAGGTCCTTCAGCTCCTCCATGGTCTGCTTGTTGGCCACCTCATCATGAACTGTCTGGCCACAGTTCTTTACCACAGATTCCATGACCTGCAGATGCCCAGGAAGGGAAGGGTTGGGCCAGTGGTCAGGGCAGGGCCCCTCCTCCTCCCGGACAGACCCACCTCCCTGTGGGACAGCAGAGCCCTTCGACAGGCCCGTCAGTGGCCGGTGGGGAACCCGGTGGGACAGCAGAGCCCTTCGACAGGCCCGTCAGTGGCCGGAGGGGAACCCGGTGGGACAGCAGAGCCCTTCGACAGGCCCGTCAGTGGCCGGTGGGGAACCCGGTGGGACAGCAGCCCTTCAACAGGCCCGTCAGGCCAGTGGGGAACCCACATCTGAGACTCAGCAGCCTGCACAGCACCGCTCCGTGACGCCAAGTCTCACTGCCAAGCACAGCAATGACATCCGCCTTCTGGTGTTTACTCACGCAGGACCGGCTGAAGAAGTGGTGCCCACTCCCTCCCCTATCTCCTGTCTCTCCCTCAGCGTGACCCTCTCCTAGGTGGCACTGTTCACACAGGCACTCAAGGCTGAGTGGAAACTCTCCTGCTTGATGTATGCCCAGGGAGGTGGGCAAGGCCACAGGACAAACTCTTCTCATGCTGTCGTGACTAGTAGGGGGTAGGGACCCTGGGGGCCACTGAGGCACGGGGGTCTGCTTACCTCCAGGGCATACAAGGCGACGTGTGGGTTCTTGTCGTTGACTTTCTTCTTGATGGAATTCACAGCATATTTTGCTCTGAAAAGGAAACATTGATAAAAGCAGAGAAAAACGGGAAAAAAATAGTCTCAGCAACTAAGATGAGAAAAGCTCATCTGCTGCCAGGTGCAGTGGCTCACGCCTGTAATCCCAGTGCTTTGGGAGGCCAAGGCAGGAGGATTGCTTGAGCCCAGGAGTCTGAGACCAGCCTGTGCATTACGGCAAAAACCCATCTCTACCAAAATACAAAAAATCAGCCGGGCGTGATGGTGAATGCCTGTAGTCCCAGCTACTCAGGAGGTTGAGGTGGGACGATCGTTTGAGCTTGGGAGGCAGGGGCTGCAGTGAGCTGAGATCACGCCACTGCACTTCAGCCTGGGTGACAAAGCAAGGCCCCGTCTTAAAAAAAAAAGTCTGTCTGCCATCTTAGTCTTTGAGAACCCCGAAGCAAATACAAACATAACCAGGTATCTGCAAGCTGTACAGAGAAAACCCCTTAATCCTCCAAGATGTCAAAAAATCCTAGCATGTAGCCCATGCAGTTCTCCACATAAGAGCCTAACACGGTCAGCTACGTCGTGGAGACCCAACGGGCACCAAGCGAGCCCAGCTTAGTGCACGGCTGCTCCTCCGCATCAGGGCACAGGCCCCGCTAACTCACTGTGTGTCCCCTTGGCGGATCAGGTCGCAGATCTGCAAAATGGACTCCCAATCTGTCTCCAACAGGAGCTGGCTGGTCGCCTTGTCTGAGAGAGAAAATGCCATGAAAGGGAGGGGTTATCCTGCTGGACGCCCCGTGCAGCACCCCAGCTTGGCAGCAGCTGGGGGGGACTCTCTCCTTCCCCTTTAGACATTTGGACCAAATGAAAAAGCATGACAGAATCCTCCTGAGCGTGCTGATGGGCAGGGAAGTGCCATCCTCCCCAGGGAAGCAGCAAACAGCGTAAGAGCACACCAGGTGCTGGTCCAAGCCCTCCCACAACCCGCGAGCGAGGTAAAGACACTCAGCAGAGAGGCGAGGGCACTGCCGTGAGTCACACAGCTCACCAGAGACAGAGGCTGATTCACTCTTAAACATCAGGCTCGGCTGCTTCTCAACAAAGAACCCTATCACCCGTCCCTTGGAGTCCCCGTTCGCCCAGATGCTCCCGGTTTCAATGGGACCTTAGCTTGGGCAAGGGCTAGAGAGGCCTGCAGTGTAGACTCCAGGCCCCTTGCTCCAAGCCAAGTGCTTTGGAAATAAGGGCAGAACGGGGCTCCAAGGAGGACTCGCCAGCATACCTGTCATCATACCACATCACTGCTGTCTCCAACAACTGGCCCCTCTGGGGGGGCAGCTCCAGCTCTGCCCACATCGCCTTTCCCGGATACAGAAACGATCTAACAAGCCAAGCCACGTCCACTTTCTATACTGATTCAGTAGTTAACCTCTGGATTCATCCCTGAAGCACTGAACTACCTGTGTGGCTGAGATACTCAGTCTGCTTGCTGGTTCCCTTGGCAAGGAAGGTGTCTCACTTGAAGTCTCCTTGAAAACCCTACTTGACAAAAAGGCAAGCTTGGGCAGCCCATTCGACCACCCAAGCTCCTACCCCCAAACATTAGACGCATTTTCCACGTGCTGCTGGGCACGTGCACATCAACATTCGTTTCCCTCCCAAAACGCGTCAATTCCAGGAGGCTCAGATAGGATCAGCTTTCACCTCCAAAAACGTGAGAAAACGCCTTCCTAAACCATTAGGCACTTCCCGAAGCCAGTGTGGGAACAAAAGGTGGGTCTGGGACCCGCAGCCCCCAAGAGAGCTCGAAGGTCCCAGAGAGAACACTGCCGGCTCCACCCTTCGAGGCCCAGTGTTTTGGGTCAGAAGCCCAAGTGCGAGCCTAACATCCGACTGAGTCACCCACTTTCATGACTCAGGCCTTGTGGCCCACTCGGCCGGGTGCTCGTCGGTCAAGAGGAAATCGGCCGAATGCCCGGGCCCGCGGAGGAGCGAGGTCGCCGAGCGCCCCTGGCGCCCTGCGCGGACCCTCGCAGAGCCCCATTTGCCAACGCCCGACGGACGCCGACCCCACGGCCGCGCCGAGGGTCCAGGATCGGCGGCTCCGAACCCGGGAGGACAGCGGGCCGGGGAGAGGCGGGCAGGGCGGCCGGTCCGCGCCCCTCGGGCCCTCGGGGCCGCGCTGACTCAGCGCCGGGCGGAGGCTGCGGGCTGACCAAGGCCGAGCCGTCGGGTGGGGACGCGTTACCTAGGAGACGCTCGAAGGTGCCGCTGCCTCGCCCCATGGCGACCTCCAGCCCAAACCCGACGCCGCGGGCGCTCCCCTGCTACGAGCTGGCGCGCCCCCCGACTTCCGCTTCCGCCTTTTCCCTCCAGTGCGCGCACGCGCACGTCACCGCGCCGGCCCTAGAGCCGCGAGGAGGCGGGGTCTTCCGCTCTCCCGCTAACGCTGCGCGCTAATTGGACGCGCCCTTGGAACAATGAGCCCTAAGAACCAATGAGAAGTCCGAAGGTGAGAACTATCCAATGAGAGTGGCCGGTGGGCGGGCCTTGAGCCGCGGCGCCGAGCTACGGGTGCCGGGTGGAGCGAAGCACGGAATGTGTCTCCTGCTGGGGGCCACGGGCGTCGGGAAGACGCTGCTGGTGAAACGGCTGCAGGATATCCTTCCGCGCGGGGACGGGACCGGGGCGCGGGGGGCACCCGGAGTGGGGCGGGGACTCACCCTTTAGCTGCTCGGGTCCTTGACCGCTTCGCACAGGTGAGCTCCCGGGATGGGAAAGGCGACCTGGGGGAGCCGCCCCCGACACGGCCCACGGTAGGTGTCCGCCCCCGCGGGTGGAGTTGCGGGGGGTCAGTTCTGCGCTTGGCGAAGAGCTCCGGGCTCCTCTAAGTGCACGCCGAGGCGCAGCGGGTCAGGTCGTGACTTAAGGCCAGCCTTCGGGAGCGGGGGACGGCCCGAGCTGAGGATAATTGGCGCGGGATGAGGGGGCCTGCCGCCCTCCACGGGCACTTCCTCTCCCCTCGCAACGGCTTCCTGTGGCTGGTCGCCCCCACAGCGAGTCCAGCTACTGATGGGCGTCGGTCCCTGCTCGCCGTTCCTGCGTTAGGGAGAATGGGTCTGCGGGGTTCAGGCCACCGTGTAAGGTGTGGGCACGGTGCTCTTCAGGAGTTCACAACGGGACAGCGGTTGTATTGTTCTTTTTGCATCGTGGTTTTTCCTATAGGTGGGCACCAATCTTACTGACATCGTGGCACAGAGAAAGATCACCATCCGGGAGCTTGGGGGGTGCATGGGCCCCATCTGGTCCAGTTACTATGGAAACTGCCGTTCTCTCCTGGTGGGTTGTAATCCTATATGGGCTTCCTTTAGGGAAGTGTGTCTACATTTCTGTGACGTCCAGTCCCCAACCTTGCTGTGTGTAGAAAGGGGTTTGGGTTATTTAGTGACTATACTACTCATGGAAATAGGTCTTAGCTAGTGTTGCTTCCTGCTGGGCACCCTGTCTGGTTTCTGGTGCTTGCGCTCCCAGGCCCCCGGTAGGAGCTCACAGAGGGCTTGCTGAGGGCAGGGCTGCTGCTCCGCAGAGAACAGACTTGGCCCTCTGTGTCACTCCCCGGTACGTCTGTGTTTATGTTGGACTTATACGTACCTCTGGTTGGTCTCATCTTGATAAGGCCTGTGCCGCGGATACCAGTATGGAGAACTGATGGCCACATGAGGACAGAGACGAGTGACACCAGGTCGTCTTCATAAAACTCGATTCCCTCTGCTTCTGCTTGTTCCCAAAGCTTTGTTTAAAGCTACTTTGGGCCGGGCGCGGTGGCTTACTCCTGTAATCCCAGCACTTTGGGAAGCTGAGGTGGGCGAATCACGAGGTCAGGAGATGGAGACCATCCTGACTAACATGGTGAAACCCCGTCTCTACTAAAAGTACAAAAAATTAGCCAGGCGTGGTGGCGGGTGTCTGTAGTCCCAGTTACTTGGGAGGCTGAGGCAGGAGAATCACTTGAACCCTGAACCCTGGAGGCGGAGTTTCAGTGAGCCGAGATCGTGCCACTGCACTCGGAGCGAGACTTCGTCTCAAAAAATAAATTAATTAATTAAAAAATGCAGTTTTGCTCTCCCAGTGCCAGGTCTGTGAGGCCCAGGGGAGGAAGTTTGGCAGCGGGGCATTGCTGCTGTCTTTTTCTTTTTCCCCAGTTTGTGATGGACGCCTCTGACCCCACCCAGCTCTCTGCATCCTGTGTGCAGCTCTTAGGTCTCCTTTCTGCAGAACAACTTGCAGAAGCATCGGTGCTGATACTCTTCAATAAAATGTACGCGTCCCTGAGCTGAGAGGGAGCACAGCGGGGGCGGGGGCTCCCTCGGGTTACAGCCGGAAGCATGGCTCGGTAGGGAGGTGGTGCAGCTGGGGGTCCGGGGCAGGTGTGTGGCTGCCACTGCTCTGATGGGGCACCTCTTTCTCTCCAGCGACCTACCCTGTTACATGTCCACGGAGGAGATGAAGTCATTAATCAGGCTTCCAGACATCATTGCTTGTGCCAAGCAGAACATCACCACGGCAGAAATCAGCGCCCGTGAAGGCACTGGCTTAGCAGGGGTGCTGGCCTGGCTCCAGGCCACCCACAGAGCCAACGATTGACTGCACGGCAGAGGCGCAGCTGGCCTGAGCTGGGGAGAGGTGGCAGAGGGCAGTATGGCTTTGCTGCCAATAGTTTCTTCTCACAGGGGCAGAATAACCCAAAGTAACCCTACATGATGGGGCTCTGTGCTGAGATGCAATGATGTGTAAACTGAGGCATGTGGAGATGGAAGTTGACATCTGGCCTCTGAAAAAAGTGTCCCCAGGGGCTAGGCATGGTGGCTCACACCTGTAATCCCAGCACTTTGAGAGGCCGAGGCGGGTGTATCACCTGAGGTCGGGAGTTCGAGACTAGCCTGACCAACATGGAGAAACCCTGTCTCTACTAAAAATACAAAATTAGCTGGGTGTGCTGGTGCATGCCTGTAATCTCAGCTACTTGGGAGGCTGAGACAGGAGAATCCCTTGAACCTGGGAGGTGGAGGTTGCAGTGAGTCGAGATCATGCCATTGCACTGCACCTGGGCAACAAGAGTGAAACTCCGTCTTAAAAAATATAAGAAATAAAAAAATAAAAACCTGTCCCCAGACTGGATGAGCAGGGCCTGCAGATGGCCGAGTGTTCTGTATCTTAGAGTGGTGCTATTGGGGTTGGCTCACCTCCTTCCTGGAGACCTGCTGGACTGCCCCCAAGGCGTATGGACTGCACAGTGCCACTGAAACCTGGCCTCTTGCTGTAGCACAACCTCCAACCTGCTGAGCCGCTGGTACCCTGACCCTGCATCTGCCACAGACGGCATGAGGCAGGTGAAGTGAGTGTGGTAGTAAGAGCCAGGCCTCGAGTTAGAAACAAGCTGGTGGCCGGACGCAGTGGCTCACGCCTGTAATCCCAGCACTTTGGGAGGCTGAGGCAGGCAGATCACCAGATCAGGAGTTCGAGACCAGACTGGCCAACATGGTGAAACCCTGTCACTACTAAAAATACAAAAAATTAGCTGGGCGTGGTGGCTTATGCCTGTAATCCCAGCTACTCGGGAGGCTGAGGCAGGAGAATCGCTTGAACCTAGAAGGCAGAGGTTGCAGTGAGCTGAGATCGCGCCATTGCACTCCAGCGTGGGTGACGAGCAAAACTCGGTCTCAAAAAAAAAAAAAAAAACAAGAGCCAGCATTCTCACTGGTTCACTTGTTCAGTGAACAGGTATTGCCGTGAAACGCCCCACAGGTGTGCCAGGTGGGGCTCAGATGAAGCACAGGAAATGGTGGCCGTGCCTCCCATGGTTCCCCAGTGCCCTTCCTTGACTTTGGTTCTCAGCCATGGCCACTTGTGGGAGTGTTGATTGACGGGTCAGTGTCCTGCAGCTGCCAAAACAACACAAATTTGCTCTCTTAGTTCCGGAGGCCAGAGTCCAAAGCTGGGCTTTCACCAGGGTAGTTTCCTTCTGGAGGCTCCGAAGGAGCATCCGTGCCTTGCCTGCGTAGTGGCTGCGGTGCTCCTCGGCGCCCCTGGGCTGTGGCCTGCAAAGCCTGTTTCCACCTCCACCTTCACGCAGCTTCTCTCCTGTGCCTCTGTGTTCTCTTACAAGGACATCTGTCGTTGAAAATCCAGGATGATTCCTCATTACATCTGCAAATGCCCTATTTTCCAAACAAGGTCACTCTTGCTTGTTCCAGGGGTTATAATTTGGACACACCTTTTAGGGGCCGTCATTTGACTACAACAATTGAATAAGAAACCCTATAGTCCTGAGAATAGATGTGAATTTTCTACAGATGTTTTCCCAGCTGGCAGCCTAGGCTCCTTCGGTCATGGAAGGAGCCTCGCACCCACCACCCTCCTCCGTGGCACAAACCTGCTGCACTTTGCTTGTGGGGAAATGGGTCTTTATTCCTGTGGAGGGCTATGTGCGATGCCTGGGAAAAGCTCGCAGCACGGCGTGTGCTTCAGGGTGGCTCGGGCTCCAGTCTCTGCTTTCCAGTGTGTCATGGGCTCTCAACTGTACACAGCCTGTGCCCTGTTGGATGCCACCTTTTTTTTTTTTTTTTTTGAGACAGAGTCTCACTCTCGCCCAGGCTGGAGTGTAGTGGTGCAATCTCGGCGACTCACTGCAACCTCTGCCACCCAGGTTCAAGCAATTCTCCTGCCTCAGCCTCCTGAGTAGCTGGGATTACAGGCGCCTGCCACCGCACCCGGCTAAATTTTGTATTTTTAGTAGAGATGGTTTCATCATCTTGGCCAGGCTGGTCTTGAACTCCTGACCTCGTGATCACCTGCCTTGGCCTCCCAAAGTGCTGGGATGACAGGCATGAGCCACTGCGCCTGGCCTGGATGCCACCTTCTTAGACACCACATGAATCCCCACTGCGCCTGGCCTGGATGCCACCTTCTTAGACACCACATGAATCCCCATGCACTGCTCCCCCTGCCTCTTACCACCACCAAACAGCTACTAGACACCTGAGGTGTCTGTCCTGTTAGTACCATGGGGCGGAAAGATACAATACCTTTTTTCACCCATAAGGGTGACAGCCAACACACCTAACAAACTACAGGTGAGCAAGAGAAAAGCATTAACAAATTTACTTAATTATTTGAGGCAAGCTCTCACTCTGTCTCCGAGACTGGAGCACAGTGGTGGGATCACAGCTCACTGCAGCCTCAACCTCCCAAGCTCAGTCAATCCTCCCACCTCAGCCTCCTGGGTAGCTGGGATTACAGGCATGCACCACCACGCCTAGCTAATTTTTTGTATTTTTGGTAGAAACGGGGTCTTGCTGTGTTGCCTAGGCTGGTCTTGAACTCCTTGCCTCAATTGATCCTTCTGCTTCAGCCCCCCAAAATGCTGGGATTACAGACATGAGCCACCATGCCCGGCCTAAAAGCATAGCAAATGTATTAGTTTTACATGACAGCCGGGCACGATTGCTCACACCTGTAATCCTAACACTTTGGGCGGCCAAGGTGGGCAGATCGCTTGAGGCCAGAAGTTTGAGACCAGCCTGAGCAACATGGTGAAACCCCTTCTCGACTAAAAATACAAAAATTAACCCGTCATGGTGTTGCCTGCCTGTAATCCCAGCTACTTGGGAGGTTGAGGCAGGAGACTCGCTTCAACCCAGAAGGTGGAGGTTGCAGTGAGCTGAGATCATGCACTGCACTCCAGCCTGGGTGACAGATTGAGACTCCATCTAAAAAAAAATAAGTAAAGTTTTACATGACGCAGGAGCCTTCAGCAATAAAGACCCAGGGAAAACCTTTATTAATTATTTATTTTTGAGATGGGAGTCTCGATCTGTCACCCAGGCTGGAGTGTAGTGGCACAATCTTTGCTCACTGTAACCTCTGCCTCCCAGGTTCAAGCGATTCTGCTGCCTCAGCCTCCCGAGTAGCTGGGATTACATGTGTGTGCCACCACGCCCAGCTAATTTTAGTATTTTTAGTACAGACAGGGTTTCACCATGTTGGCCAAGCTGGTCATGAAGTCTTGACCTCAGGTGATGCGCCCACCTCGGCCTCCCAAAGTGCTGAGATTACAGGCGTGAGACACCGTGCCCGGCGTGAAAACCTTTATTCTTATATTTAGGTTTGACGAGTGAACAGGCATGCAGAAATGTGGTTGGACACACAGGCTCTGGCCTAACGTCCGTCTAACTGGTGATGGACACAGTGGGGAAACCCAGCAAGGCCACTGTGCACAATTCCCCTTCCCCTGAGGATAGGGCAGGACCCCTCGGGAATGAGGGTCTTCCAGGGAGGAGGGAGTGACCTTGCTAGGTTTTATGGCTGGCTTTGGGAGAGAGGAGTTCTAGTTTCTATGACCTGCTGTGAGAAAAAGAATTGTGGTTTCTGGGACTCACTTTGCGGCAGAAAAGTAGGCAGGAACCAGGAGGGAAGGACAAAGACCTGGCTTCTGAGGCCTTCCAGTCTCCTCTGGGTCAGAGTAGTCTGCATGCCAAGGTGCCATACTTTGGGGTTTAATGAGCCCTGACAGCAGGTCCTTGCAGATTTCACAGGCAACTTGTGATCCCAGTAATTGGGTTTCAGTCCCCCAATTTCAGAGGACTTTAGCAAAGCCTGGTTGAAATGGCCAAGTGTCGGCCGGGCACGGTGGCTCACGCCTATAATCCCAGCACTTTTGGAGGCCGAGGCAGGCAGATCACGAGTTCAGGAGATCGAGACCTGGCCAACACGGTGAAACCCTGTCTCTACTAAAAATACAAAAACATTAGCTGGGCGTGGTGGCAGGCGCCTGTAGTCCCAGCTACTCGGGAGGCTGAGGCAGGAGAATGGCGTGAACCTGGGAGGTGGAGCTTGCGGTGAACCGAGATGGTGCCACTGCACTCCAGCCTGGGCTACAGAGCGAGACTCCGTCTCAGAAAAAAAAAAAGAAAAGAAATACCCACCGTGACTTTTGCTGTGAGGCATGAAAATATAAGGAGGTAGGAGCCTGAGGTGCCTGTGGCCACCCGGCTGGAGGTGGGTGGGCCGCGCTTGTCAGCTTGCTTGGCGGAACGTTCCTTTAGTTGGGAGGGAGTGCCTTTCCTGAAGCAATCCTTGGGCTGGACATGCTGATCCTGAATGAGTCCTAAGAGTACGCGTTTCCCAATACCCGGAGAAAACAGCAAGCCTGTGTTCCCAGCCAGCGCTGGTGGCAGCTGGGTTCCAGGCAGGTGGAGCCGACGTGGTCTGGAGCTGGCAGCCACACTCTGGCACCTCCTCAGGCGGTTTTCAAGGGTGGGTTCCAGCCAGGGAGCCCTATGCAGGCGTGGCATGGTGCCACGGGAGGACGGTCTCGGGGTGGGTGGATAAGGACCCTCCTTGCCTGCTCCTGACAGGCCGTGTGCTGCAGGCCACTTTCAATAACCCACGTTCTCAAAACCATCAGGTCCCCACTTCGCTGGCACACAGTGTCAATTGGGGTGTCCTGCAGGGTGGGTGAGGGGTGCTGGGGACTCCCCTGGCCTTGTCACCCAGACCCCCACCCAACCTTAGGGTCCCTGCACTCAGCGGCTGTTCTGGGGTGTAGGGACCAGCCCCACAGGGTCGGTGGGTCTCTCCCCATGTGCAGAGATGAGAGAGTGTAGAAATAGAGACACAAGACAGAGATGAAAGACAGCTGGGCCTGGGGGACCACTACCACCAAGTTGTGGAGACCGGTAGCGGCCCCGAATGCCAGGCTGCACTGATATTATTGGATACAAGACAAAGGGGCAGTGTAAGGAATGTGAGCCGTCTCCAATGATAGGTAAGGTCACGTGGGTCACGTGTCCACTGGACAGGGGGCCCTTCCCTGCCTGGCAGCCAAGGCAGAGAGAGAGAGAGGAGAAGGAGAGAAACAGCTTACATTATTATTTCTGCTTATCAGAGACTTTTAGTACTTTCACTAATTTGCTACTGCTAACTAAACGGCAGAGCCAGGTGTACAGGATGGAACGTGAAGGCGGACTAGGAGCGTGACCACTGAAGCACAGCATCACAGGGAGACGGTTAGGCCTCCGGATAACTGCGGGCGAGCCTGACTGATGTCAGGCCCTCCACAGGAGGTGGAGGAGTAGAGTCTTCTCTAAACTCCCCTGGGGAAAGGGAGACTCTTTCCCGGTCCGCTAAGTAGCGGGTGTTTTTCCTTGACACTAACGCTACCGCTAGACCACGGTCCGCTTGTCAACAGGCGTCTTCCCAGATGCTGGCGTTACCGCTAGACCAAGGAGCCCTCTGGTGGCCCTGTCTGGGCATAACAGAAGGCTCGCACTCTTGTCTTCTGGTCACACCTCACTCACTATGTCCCCTCAGCTCCTATCTCTGTATGGCCTAGCTTTTCCTAGGTTATGATTATAGAGCGAGGATTATTATAATATTGGAATAAAGAGTAATTGCTATAAACTAATGATTCATGATTCATATATAATCATATCTAAGATCTATGTCTGGTATAACTATTCTTATATTTTATTATACTGGAACAGCTCGTGTCCTCAGTCTCTTGCCTTGGCACCCGGGTGGCTTGCCGCCCACATGGGGCCAGGCATGCTGGACCCCCCTCAGTGCACATGCCAGAGCCCAATTCTCTCCTGAGTCTGGGGAAATTGATGCTGCTGAGGACACCACTGTTCTCAGAGTCGTCTCTGCTCGTGGACTCTTCTCAGCGCAGATGTAGCACCTGGATAGGAATTTTTTTTCTTTTCTGTTTTAGAGATGGGGGTCTTGCTCTGTTACAGCCCAGGCTGGAGTGCAGAGGCACAATCACAGCTCACAGGCCCAGACGGTGCAGCGGCCAGGCAGAGGTACTCCTCACTTCCCAGACGGTGGGGCGGCCTTGACCTCTCAGGTTTGAGTGAACCTCCCATTTCAGCGTCCCGAGTAGCTGGGACCACAGGCATGGTGCCACCACAGCTGGCCTGAATTTTCTTTAACAGTTTGGAGTTCCCATCAAACTAAACGCTAATCAAAGGATAGCATTATACGGTATGTGAAATTATAACATTAATTTTTTTCTTCAAAAAAAATCACATCAATAAATGTGTGATAGGTTGGCTGGGAGAAAATCTGGCTAGTCTGGGAAAATTCTTTGTAGGAAAGTTGACAACTAGGGTGCTGCGAGACCTGTGTGTACAAGTAGGTGACCCATCTGGGATCACTGGTTTTGTCAGCACCCCGATTTTGTGCAAATTCAGTTTTCCCTTTATATGGAGAGAACAGCACTGCCCCATGGAGAGCGGAAGGCCCAGGGAGGTCCATCCATGGCCTTCGCCTCTTAAACATTGACCCTGACATGCCCACATCACCTCCTCCTGAAGATTCCAGAAGTAAAGGATAAGTAAGAAAAGCAGGACGGCACTTTGGGAGGCAGAGGCGGGCGGCTCACCTGAGGTCAAGAGTTTGAGACCAGCCTGACCAACATGGAGAAACCCCGTGTCTACTAAAAAATACCAAATTAGCCAGGCATGGTAGTGCATGCCTGTAATCCCAGCTACTTGGGAGGCTGAGACAGGAGAATCGCTTGAACCTGGGAGGCAGAGGTTGTGGTGAGCCAAGATTGTGCCATTGCACTCCAGCCTGGGCAACGAAAGCAAAACTCCATCTCAAAAAAAAAAAAAGTAGGAGGGGTGAGCTGGTCTCTCCTGGAACCCCAGCACTGAGGGAAGCCAAGGCAGGCTAATCTTGAGCCCAAGACTTGGAGACCAGCGTGCCACTGCACTCCTGCCAAGGTGACAGCAAGACCCTGCCTCAGAAAAAAAAAAAAAATGCCAAGTACAGTGGCTCACGCCTGTAACCCCAGCACTTTGGGAGGCCAAAGCAGGCGGATCCCTTGAGTCCATAAGTTCGACACCAGCCTGCGCAACGTGGCGAAACCCCATCTATACAAAAAGCACAAAAAATTATTTGGGTGTGTTGGTGAGCACCTGTTGTCCCAAGTACTTGGGAGGCTGAGGTGGGAGGATTGCCTGAGCCCAACAACTTGCTGCAGTGTGCTTATGCCACTGCACCCCAGCCTGGGCAACAAAGAGGCCCTAAAAACCACCAGGGGTTTCCCTTCCAGCAGCTAAAACCTGAGAATCATGGATGCAGTGGAGAGCATGAGCGCTTTCCCAGCCCTGTGGGATCCCTTTGCTTAGCCATACACGGGCCGATCTGACACCCAAAACCAAAGGCATTGAGCGAGTGGGAGTGCCACCCGCTGCCGTCCCAGCCCTTTCCCAGGGAAAGGCCACCCCCTTCCAGCTGCTGCTTGTGATCTGGGGCTGAGTTCTGGCTGCTGCAAAAACAACATCCCAACGCGAGGGCTGGGGCCGCCAGGTCCATCACAAGGTGGGAAACATGCCCATAAGAGGAAAACAGCCCTGACTTTAAATATATATTCTCCAATTTAAAACTTTTAACTAAAAAGTAAACTTTAATGTCGAAAGTGCAAACTTGGGGAAGGCAGAAAACATCACACACAAGGCTGTCACTTCACACTTGGAAGGTTGCACAGCGGCCGGGCAGAGGCGCTCCTCACTTGCCAGACGGGGTGGCGGCCAGGCAGAGGTGCTCCTCACTTTCCACACGGTGTGGGGGCCGGGCAGAGGTGCTTCTCAGTTCCCAGATGGTGCTGGGCTGTCGGACTCCATTGCTGGATGTGTGACTTGGGTTTAAGCTTCTCCCTTCTGCTCTCATCTGGAAATGCTGACAGCCTGGGCATTTCCTCCTTTGGCACTGGAGACTGAAGCCTGGCAAGGCCCTGCCCTCAGCAGGAACTCCCCCTGGGCCCCACTCTGTGACCTTGAGCCCAAGACAGGATTTTTCCTTTACCTTCTTCCAGCCACTTTGGGCCTCCCGGCTCTCTCAGAGCCCTGTTAGGTAGGTGACAACTCTGTTCCCACTGTTTTTTTTTTCTTCGTGTATTTTTAGTAGAGATGCAGTTTCACCATGTTGGCCAGGCTGGTTCGAACTCCTGACCTCAGGTGATCCACTCGCCTCAGCTGCCCAAAGTGCTGGCATTACAGGTGTGAGCCACCGCGCCCGGCCCCCGGTTCCCACCTTCTTAAGTGTATGTGTTGTCATCATGTTTCACCCCAACCAAACCTTGGGTGGGCAGCCTCTGTAGGGGACCACTCACAGCTGGCCTGTAGTCACGGTCCCCTGCAGAGCCCTGTCCCGATGCGTCGTCCCTGCCCGTGGCCTGCTCTGCCTGATGTGCACTGTACGCTCGGCTCTGCTGACTCCCGGGGGCCTCCGTCACACACTGAGCCAGCCTCATCAGCTGTCTCGGTATTTGGTGTTCAGGGACAGGGATCCAGCCCTTCCTAAGGTCCACCTGGGCTGAGACTCAGAATGGACGTTCAAAACAAAGAGATGGAGCTGTGAGTGACACCGGGCCCCACGGGCCGTCTGTCAACCAGGCCTTGGCCCTAGTCCATCGGGCACTCACCCCCTGCAAGATGTGGACCCACTAGTGCCCAACGTGTGAACAAGTAGCTGGAGGCCTCACCCCACACTGCTGGCATGGCCTGCCTCTCTCCTACCCAGGTGTAGCAGCTCCTGGTGCCAGTTGCCCCAGAGCGTGGCCAGGCCCCGGGTGTCTCTCCATCACAGCTGCGGCTCTGGCTTCTTCCGGGAAGTGAGGTGGGGTCGCTCCCCGTGCAGCTGCTGCTGCCGCTGCTTCAACGCTCTGTAGGCCTGCACGGCCCGCTCTCTCTCCTCCTCCACAATCCGCTGGCGGGCCAGGGAGGCGGTCAGAGGCTGGGACACACCACCGGGGCTCAGAAGCATCCGCAGCATCTGCGATCTCCTGCCAGGCTGAGGGAGAGAGGGGAGGGTGAGGCACAGGCTGGGAAAGGAGGGGATGCAACAGAAAGCCTCACAGCTTCAACAGCTCTCCCGCCAGCGAGAACACTGCACTCTCAGGCCACACACCAGACAGCGCACACGTTGGCTGAGGGTTTTTTTTTTTCTTGACACAGGATCTCGCTATGTTGTCCAGGCTGGTATCAACTCCTGGGCTCAAGCAATCCGCCTGCCTTGGCCTCCCAATGTGCTGGGATTACAGGTGTGACCCACCGTGTCCAGCCTGTCCAAGGCTTCTGTTCCCTGGCAGCACTGGGGGACAAACTCAAGTTGTCCCCGTGCCCCACTTACCTGGTCCTTGCTTACGCTCCTCTGGGGCCTGGCAGTCAGCTCTGGGGGCTGCAGGACAACCTCACCAAACTTCACCGTGTCTGGAGGAGCAGAATACAACTGAGGACTGCTGCCCACAGCCACTGCACCCCTGACACCCAGAGCCACCACCCGCCCACCTCCCTCCCATAGGGCTGGGACAGAACACCAACTCATCCAGTGGTCTAATGGCTGTGGACCCCAGGGGAAACCACAGGTGCCCAGTGCAGCCAGGGCTGGTGGGGAACAGAAGGCCTGCGCCCAGGCCCCACCCGGACCACTGCTGACACCATCGCTTTGGGAAGAGCTACCTCGGAGCAACTCCTGCTCCAGCCTGTCTGCCGCCTTTTCCTCCTTTTTCCGTCGGACTTTATCTAGTCGCCGCTTCTGGAACCTGGGGAAGAAAGCACATGTCACTCAGATTCCTAAATTCTCTTTCCACCCAGGGAGGAGGCAGAGGCCGCCCCACCCACAAGGGATCCCCTGTGGCAGAGCAGGGACCCAAGAACAGGTGGCTGCCTCCAAGTCCCCGCTCCCCTTACCACCCCAAAACCCACAGCTGCCCACCAAAGAAGGCTCTGACCCCAACAGGCCCCTCACAGGTCCCCCAGTGGTTCTCAGCTGGGGACAGCTACCTGCCAGGGAACATCTGACAATGTGTGCAGACACGTGGGCAAGGGCTACTGGCACCTTGTGCACGAAGGCTGGGAAGGCTGCCAAAGACCACCCAACAGAGACTCATCCAGCCCATCCGGTGCTGCTGTGTCTAAAGGGCCTAACAAGCATTGTATATCACGTCTCCCTCAATGTGAATCTGGAAGCTTCACCTTCAGCGACAGCTCTGGAGATCACCGTGGCGCCAGGCTGTATCTGGGCCACGTTCTCTGTGATGAACTTTCACTGGCTAAGGTAACTATAAGTAATACAACAATCCAGAAACAGGGAATCTACAGAGCTGAAAGCAACCTCTCAAACCTTCAAAGCTTTTTTTTTTTTTTCTTTTTTTTGAGATGGAGTCTCGCTCTGTCACCAGGCTGGAGTGCAGCGGCACGATCTCAGCTCACTGCAACCTCTGCCTCCCGGATTCAAGCGATTCCACTGCCTCAGGCTCCCAAGTATCTGGAATTACAGGCATGCACCACCACGCCCGGCTAATTTTTTTTTTTGTATTTTATTAGAGACAAGGTTTCACCGTGTTGGCTAGGATGGTCTCGATCTCCTGACCTCGTGATCCACCTGCCTCAGCCTCCCAAAGTGCTGGGATTACAGGCGTGAGCCACTGTACTCGGCCAAAGCTTTTAGAGAATTAGGAAGGTGTAGTCTCTTGGACGAGAGACATTCTGTTCTAATGGAAACAGAACCCCTGGGCACGTCACCCTCAGACCGACCCCCTCAGGGCTGATTCCCACAGGGCTAGGGCTTTCTGGTGCTTTTCCTGTGAAAGCAAGGACCAAGCGAGGTCTCCGCAGAGTTCCCAGGTTCCGCAGCCTCCTGGAGGCCACACCCTCACTGGCTCCCAGCTGGATGCTCCGACTCGCCAACTCCCAGGGCTCTGGCTTGGTCTCCCTGAATCCAGGCTGCCCCATGGCTATGAAACAGGGTACCTGCAGAGGGCCGTCATGGGAACCCAATGTCTTCCCTCCGGCTCCCAGGGCAGACCCCTCCCCCTCCCGCCTCCACTCACGCTTTTTTTGCTTTTTTCTGCTCAGACTTCTCCTTGGGAGCTGCCTGCACCTCTGGCTGCCGGATGGCCTGGTTCTTGCTGAGGAACAGCACATGCTGGGCCTCTTGCTGCATGCGGTGGATATAGGCCCCGTCAGACTCCCCCTTCCTCTGTTTGAACTTGGGGACTGCGATGTCGGGCTCCTCTCCCTTTGCTTCCTTCTCCAATGTCTTTCTGAAGGTCACCTGGGCTGAGGACAAAGGGAGGCCTCAGAGGAGGCAGGAGGCAGACAGTGGCAGGCAGGTGACCCATGCTCATTTCCCCTCCCAAAGCCACAGGAAGGGAAGACCAGGCTGGCTGGAAGCACCCCAACGACAGCAGCTGAAGAGGATGTAGAATGCCCGGCCCGGCATCCCCGGGGACGTGACCCCCCAGCCCAATGGCACCTGTCACAGATGTCCACTGCAGCACAGCTGAAAAAGGAAAGCAGAAACAACCTAATGTCCACCCCTAGGTGGCTGGTTGAATGAATTCTCCTCTGATCACCCACAGACTCCATTGCACAGCTGCCGAAAGAAGCCCAGTGGAGCTACACAGAGAAACGTGGGCAGACCTGCCGGGCGCGGTGGCTCATGCCTGTAATCCCAGCACTTTGGGAGGCCAAGATGGGCAGATCACAAGGTCAGGAGATTCAGACCATCCTGGCTAACACGGTGAAACCCTGTCTCTACTAAAAACACAGAAAAAATTAACTGGGCATGGTGGTGGGCGCCTGTAGTCCCAACTACTCGGGAGGCTGAGGCAGGAGAATGGCGTGAACCCGGGAGGCGGAGCTTGCAGTGAGCCGAGATTGCGCCACTGCACTCCAGCCTGGGCGACTGAGCGAGACTCCATCTCAAAAAAGAAACGTGGGCAGACCTATGACATCCACTGAGAACGCAAGCGCAGGACCCCGGGCGAGTGTAGAACACAGGAGGCGGACAGTGCCAGGCAGGTGGTTGTGTTCATAAATATGTGAAGACATGCATATTGCCAGGCATGGTGGTTCACACCTGTAATCCCAGCACTTTGGGAGGCTGAGGTGGGCGGATCACCTGAGGCCAGAGTTCGAAACCAGACTGGCCAACATGGCAAAACCCAGCCTTTACTAAAAATACAAAAACGAGCCGGGCATGGTGGCACAGGCCTGTAATCCCAGCTACTGGGGGGGCTGAGGCACAAGACTTGCTTGAACCTGGAAGGTGGAGGTTGCAGTGAGCCGATATTCTGTCTCCAAAAAAAAAAAGGCCAGGCACAGTGGCTCACACCTGTAATCCCAGCACTTTGGGAGGCTGAGGTGGGGAAATCACTTGAGGTCAGGAGTTCAAAACCAGCCTGGCCAACATGGTGAAACCTCGTCTCTACTAACAATACAAAAATTAGCTGGGCTTGGTGGCGTGTGCCTGTAATCTCAGCTACTCGGGAGGCTGAGGCAGGAGAATTGCTTGCACTGGAACTGGGACAGGGGAGGCAGAGGTAGCAGTGAGCTGAGATTGTGCCACTGCACTCTAGCCTGGGCTAGAGGGAGACTGTCTCAAAAAAAAAAAAAAAAACCACACACAAAAAATTAGCTGGGTATGGTGGTGCGTTACCTGTAATCCCAGCTACTCAGGCGGCTGAGGCAGGAGAACTGCTTAAACCCAGGAGGTGGAGGTTGCAGTGAGCCCAGATCACGCCACTGCACTCCAGCCTGGGCGAGGAAGCAAGACTCCATCTCAATAAATAAATAAATAAACAAACAAACAAAGGTGCCAATTCAATGCAGCACGGTTCAGAACGTGCCATGTGCTACCCAGGCCAGTGCGCCTCCTCCCTGCACCTTCCTCACCTCTATCTCACTATCCCTTTGGCAGCCATATAACCCCCAACAAGAAGCCTACAGTTTATACACAAATTATAAAACAGCTTTGCTGTAAAACCAGTGCCACGTTTGGGAAGAGAAATGTGTCTATAAGCAAAATATACACACAGTGGACTCCGTTTCCCAACATGCCCAGAGTGTTACCTCTGGGTTGCAGCGGTGGACATGTGGACACCCTACCCAGACTTGGGGGAGGAAGGCAAGACTTCTCAGAGGGGCCTGATGGAATTTCCTCCTTCAGCTCCTGACTCCACCCACTTCTCTCTACCATTGCTTCAGCACTCTTGTCCCAAGAATCATGGCTTCTCCCTGGCAGTAGCCCCGCCAGTTGCCAGGTCCACTCTCCCTCACTCCATCATCGCTCGGTGACCCTTTTTTTGCTTAGAGTAAACATGAATTGGCCGTGCCCTGCTAAAAACTCTGATGAATCTTCGCTACTTTTGGGGAGAAAAAAACGCCGCTCCTTAGCATGGATCCTGAGGCCCCATAACGGGTCCTCCCCGCCCACCCCACAGCCTCCTTCCAAGCCTCGTCTGGAACCACAGCGCCACCAGCTGCCAGCCACTGCTTTAGCTTTGGCCACGCTCCCCCACCTTCTGAGCACCGGGTCTTGGCATATTTCCTCTGCCTGAAACGTTCTGAAGTATTTGGGCGATTGGGCGGGTTGAGACACACAAAGCTTCACTGCCGCCCAGTATGGGCCTGCACACACCTGCTTTCTTCCTCTTCTTGTTACTGATCGGGTTTTTCATCTCTTGGCGGCTCCTCATAATCTCCCGGAGCCGGAAAGGAATCTCCTGTTCGTCCTGGTTCTTGGGCTTGCAGTTCACTTTCTTCTTCTCTTTGCTGGGAGAAAGAACACGGGGGTGAGACCCGTCCCAAGTAAAGCACAAGCAGAATCAGTAAGAGAAACAATAGTTGGGTCTGGCAATAGAATCTACACGGGCTGGCCGGGCTTGGTGGCTCACGCCTGTAATCCCTGCACTTTGGGAGGCCGAGATGGGCGGATCACGAGGTCAGGAGATCGAGACCATCCTGACTAACACAGTGAAACCCCGTCTCTACTAAAAATACAAAAAATTTGCCGGGCGTGGTGGCGGGCGCCTGTAGTCCCAGCTACTCGGGAGGCTGAGGCAGGAGAATGGCGTGAACCCGGGAGGCGGAGCTTGCAGTGAGCCGAGATCGCGCCACTGCACTCCACACTCCAGCCTGGGCGACAGAGTGAGACTCCGTCTCAAAAAAAAAAAAAAAAAAAGAATCTATCTATACAGGGGCCACATCTGGCTTCTGTGGTGCGAGCCGGTCCAGCAGTCCAGGGAGCAGGGATCTTTCCTCTCGGTCTCACTCAGTGGCTGTCCCTGAACCCCTTCCTCACGGGACGCGAGGCCGAAAGGCACTCCGAAAGCCCAGGAGGCCTTTCCGCCCTGACCTCGTCCAGAACCACAAAGACGGGACACTGGGACGCGGGAAAGGCAAAACCAAGGACTCGCTCGCGCCTCCATTCATTCAACCGATCCTGGCGGAGCGTGGGCCGCGGGCACAGACAGAGGAGGGCACTGAGCCCGACCTGGGGAAGGGGTCCGAGCGAACGCTCCCTAGGGGGTCCCGGGCGGAGCCTTCAAGGCGTCCCCTTCTCTGGGGAAGTGTGGCGGCCTCGCGGGGCAGCGCAGTCACCTGCGAAGCCCGGGCCACGGGGCTGGGCGCTGCTTCCCCAGCGGCTGCACTTGCTGCCGCCCCCGCGCTCGCCGGGGACTCCCAGGACCCGCCTGCACCCTGGACACCGCTGCTCCGCGACCAGCTCCCGCCATCTCCACGCCGGGAGGCTCCCTAGCGAAGCCACTTCCGCCTTCCTGCATGGTTCCGCCCCACCGATCGGCACTTCCGCTTCCTGCGCTCAGCCTCACGCTGGCTGGAGCGGCGCGACTTCCTGAAGGTCCGGGATTGGCCGGAGCGCCCGCCGCTCACGGTCAGGGGTTGCCGGATCCCGTCCGCGGGCGATGCTGCTGCGGAGGGTGGTCGAGGGAGGCCGGGCGGTAGCCGCCGCGGTCCGTGGCTCGGCAAGTACCAGGACGGGTCTTGGCAGCGCCGAAGGGCACGTCCGAGAGGCCGCTGTCCGGGGGCCCGCACGTACCGGGAGGAGCCCCGGCCCCTCCACCCGCATGTGGGGACGGAGCCGGGAGGATCGCGCGCTGGCCGCCGCCGAAGGACCCCTCGCTCCTCTCCTCCATCGGCTCTTACCGAGTCCCCGCCCCGGAATCTGTGGAGGGGCCGCTTAGCCTTGGGAGAGGAAGCAGCCCGGTGAACGGCCACTTTCCTGTTTCTCAGTATCTGCCGAGCGCCTGTGTGCGAGCCCTCCTGGGCTCTGGGGACTGGCCGTGGACATGGAGCGGATGATGCCCCTCGCAGGACTAGTTAAATAAGTGAAGTTGGTAGCGTGTCAGTCCGTGATCCTGGGTAGATAGAGCAGGGCAGCGACGGAAGACTGCCTATAGGACATTCACGCTGGGATGAGAGGGGCCTGAGAGGCCTGGGCTTTGTGACAGGGAAACTTGGATAAAGGGTGGTGCGATTCTTCCGGTTGGTCCCTCAGAGGTGGTGGGGCTTGGTTATACTGGTAGAGGTGCTGGGCTGGCCAGGAGCTTACAGGGTTACACCTCTCGCATACTGGTGTCCACAGAGCAGCCATCTTAGCTGGAGGTGTCGAGTGCCTCCCCCACCCCCCACCATGTGCTTGAGTGCACACCCGGCGCCAGGCCCTGATCCTGGCACTTCTTGTGAATCACACCGTGTCATACCCATGACTTCCATTGCACAGTGGGGAAACTGAGTCTAGAGAGGTGAAATAACATGTCTAAAGTCACAGGAAGTGAAAAAGCTGAGGACATGGAGCCAGTTGCCCAATGACAGGAGAGCTGAAATGTCCTCACTGCTGGGGGTAGACCGGGCCTCACCAGCTTCCTGGAGAGTCACATGTTTGTCTGCATCCTCAGGGGGCTCGCCGGTTCTCCAGCCCGGACTGCTGCCAGAGGCTTCCTGGAGGTGGCAGCTTTCTTCAAAGGCACCATCCCGGAGCGCAAGCCCCTGATGGGCGCAGAAAATTCGGGACAGACCACGTAGAGGTGGGCTCCCAAGCAGGTGCGGACGGCACCAGGCCGCCCAAGGCATCGCTGCCACCTGAGCTCCAGCCGCCCACAAACTGCTGCATGAGTGGCTGCCCCAACTGCGTGTGGGTGGAGTACGCGGACAGGCTGCTGCAGCACTTCCAGGACGGTGGGGAGCGGGCCCTGGCTGCCCTGGAGGAGCACGTGGCTGATGAGAACCTCAAGGCCTTCCTCAGGATGGAGATCCGGCTGCACACCAGGTGCGGAGGCTGAGCCATCCCTGCTGGACTCCCTACCGCAGGACGGAGTCCAGGACGCAGCCGCAGCCTCCTTCCTTCACACCCCCTCACAGACTCCTTGTGTCCAACGGGAATAGGAAGAATTAGTTACTGACTTCACCTGAGAAAAAAATAAATTCTCTATGGTGGTTTCACAGGAGGTTTTTGTTTTGGGGGTGGTTTTTTTGGCAGTATGTCTGCCAACCAGAATGGCTGCTGATTTGGCCTCAACAGGAGGCTTTTGTGTGGTTGTCCGTAAGGCTTGTGTTGCATCTTCAAAGCGAGCAGGTCCAGGTCGGCATTATGCACCTCCGGAGCTCTTGCAGCCATCACCCTGCCATGAGGGTAAAATAAGACCCCCAGCCGAGTGTGGTGAAAATAAGACCCCCAGCCGGGTGTGGTGGCTCACACCTGTAATCCCAGCACTTTGGGAGGCTGAGGCGGGCAGATCATGAGGTCAGGAGATGGAGACCAGCCTGACCAACATGGTGAAATCCCATCTTTACTAAAAATACAAAAATTAGCCAGGTGTGGTGGCAGGCGCCTGTAATCCCAGCTACTCAGGAAGCTGAGGAACCCAGGAGGCAGAGGTTGCAGTGAGCTGAGGTCATGCCACTGCACTCCAGCCTAGGTGACGAGAGTGAAACTCTGACTCAATAAATAGGACCCCTTTTCGTTGAACAGTCAAATGACAGTGACCCCAGTGCCCCTTCCAGGCCAGGTCCCACCTTCCCCCAAGTCCTGGCAAAGGCCTGCTCTGGTTGCTCTCAGCGTGCAGCAGAGGGAAGGCCATCTGATCTCATTGAGTCACTGTGGCAAAGCCTTTGGCAGGCACAGAAGCCCACAGGCAGCCTGGAAGTGCCCATCTGTCCAGCTGCCATCAATCCCTGGCAGGGGTCCTCGGGTGCCCTTCCACCAGCCTGGCAGGGGCTGCAGATCAGCCCTCAGTGGCCCAAGCACTACCTGGAACCAGTCCTTCCAGCTCCTTCAGCCGCAGCTCCCAGGGGAGTTGGTAAGAGCAGCAGGACGTGGCCAGGCGTGGTGACTCACGCCTGTAATCCCAGCATTTTGGGAGGCCTAGGTGGGTGGATCACCTGAGATCAGGAGTTTGAGACCAGCCTGGCCAAACGTGGGGAAACCCCTTCTCTACTGAAATTACAGTAATTAGCTGGGCACGGTGGCGGGTGCCTATAATCCCACCTACTCAGGAGGCTGAGGCAGGAGAATTGCTGGAACCTAGAGGTGGAGGTTGCGGTGAGCTGAGATGGCACCACTGCACTCCAGTCTGGGCGACAGCAAGCAAGACTCCATCTCAAAAAAAAAAATACTAAAGTTAGTGGGGCATGGTGGCACACAACTGTAGTCCCAGATACTCGAGAGGCTGAGGCAGAATTGCTTGAACCTGGGAGGCAGAGGTTGCAGTCAGCTGAGATTATGCCACTACACTGCAGCCTGGGTGACAGAGCAAGACTCTATCTCAAAAAGAAAAAAAAAAAAAACCGGCCAGGCGCGGTGGCTCACGCCTGTAAAGCCAGCACTTTGGGAGGCCAAGGCGGGCTGATCATGAGGTCAGGAGATTGAGACCATCCTGGCTAACATGGTGAAACCCTGTCTCTACTAAAAATACAAAAATTAGCTGGGCGTGGTGGCAGGCGCCTGTAGTCCCAGCTACTCAGGAGGCTGAGGCAGAAGAATGGCGTGAAGCCGAGAGGCGGAGCTTGCAGTGAGCTGAGATCACGCCACTGCACTCCAGCCTGGGTGACAGAGCGAGACTCCGCCTAAAAAAAAAAAAAAATTAGCAAGGCTGACATGCCTAAGTTTAGCAATCCTGAAAATGTGGATTATTCCATAAGAAATCTAAGAAAACAAGGAAAGAAAACAGTTCTCAGTGGCAGTCAGGGAAACCTGCCATAACCAAGTGGCCTGTTCTCTAATGTCACCTACATGGGTTTTTAATCTTTGCAGATTCATGTGTGTAAGTACAGGATGTGGGATTTGCAACCTTATGTGGTCCTCCCTGCTCACCTAAGATGTAATCTACAGCTACCCTATTATCTAAGACAACCTGAGCCGGTGAATGAATTCCTCTCTGCTGGGCGGCCTTGCCGACGCACTTTTCTCAGCAAGAATTCCCGAAGTAAGATTCCTCATCCTGTGCTCGTGGGATGCCACTCCCCACCAAGTCGCCCAAAGACCCAGGTCCATATTTTTGGTACCCAGGATCCCCAAAGCAAGTCCGCGGACTGCTTAGTTCTGTAGCCTCCGCCTCCTGGGTTCAAAGCCATTCTCCTGCCTCAGCCACACAAGTAGCTGGGACTACAGGCGCGTGCCACCACATCCAGCTAATTTTTTGTATTTTTACTAGAGACGGGGTTTCGCCATATCACCCAGCTGGTCTTGAACTCCTAGGCTCAGGTAATCCACTTGCCTCGGCCCTGTAAAGTGCTGGGATTGCAGGCATGAGCCACTGTGCCCGGCCAACTGCTTAGTTTTCATGAGTTGTTTAGTTAGTGAGAGCTATAAACCAAAAGTATCTGAGACAGGCCTCAATGAATCTACTTACTGATTTATTTGAGATGAAGTTTTGCTCTGTGGCCCAGGCTGCAGTGCAGTGGCGCGATCTCGGCTCACCACAACCTCCACCTCGCGGGTTCAAGCGATTCTCCTGCCTCAGTCTCCCAAGTAGCTGGGACTACAGGCGTGCCCCACAGCGTCTGGCTAATTTTTATATTTTTAGTAGAGACGTGGTTTTGCCATGTTGGTCAGGCAGGTCTCCAACTCCTGACCTCAAGCCATCTGCCCACCTCAGCCTCCTGAAGTGCTAGGATTACAGGTGTGAGCCACCATGCCTGGCCAATTTATTTATTTTTTATTTCAATACTTTTTGGGGAACAGGCAGGTTTTGGTTACAGGGATGAGTTCTTTAGTGGTCAATAAGTTTGGAAAGGTTATTTTGCGAAGGTTGACGACATGCCTGTGACAGCCTCAGGAGGTCCTGGCAACATGTGCCCAACGTGGACACATGTTGCTTTTATACTTTTTAGGGAGACATAATACATCAATCAATACCTATCATATGTACATTGGTTTGGTCAGGAAAGGAGGGACAACTTGAAGGGAGGGGGCTTCCAGGTCATAGGTAGATTTAAAGATTTTCTTTTTTTTGAGACAGAGTCTCGCCCTGTCACCCAGGTTGGAGTGTAGTGGTGCGATCTTGGCTCACTGCAACCTCTGCCTCCCGGGATTAAGTGATTCTCCTGCCTCAACCTCCCGAGTACCTAGGATTACAGGCACCTGCCACCATGCCCGGCTGATTTTTTTTTTTTTTTTTTTTTTTGAGACAGAGTCTCACTCTGTCGCAGGCTGGAGTGCAGTGGCGCAATCTCGGGCTCACTGCAACCTCTGCCGCCCAGGTTCAAGCGATTCTCCTGCCTCAGTCTCCCAAGTAGCTGGGATTACAGGCACCCACCACCACGCATGGCTAATTTTTGTAGTTTCAGTAGCAACGGGCTTTCACCATCTTGGCCAGGGTTGGTCTTGAACTCCTGACCTTGTGATTCACCCGCCTCAGCCTCCCAAAGTGCTGGGATTACAGGCGTGAGCCACTGCACCCGGCATGCCTGGCTAATTTTCGTATTTTTAGTAGAGACGGGGTTTCACCATATTGGCCAGGCTGGTCCCGAACTCCTGACCTCAGGTGATCCACCCACCTCTGCCTTCCAAAGTGCTGGGATTACAGGCATGAGCCACTGTGCCTGGCTGGCTTTCAGGCTTTTTGTCTTTGGCTTGAAGGTGGGGTTTCACTGGGGACCTGCCCGTATCTGCCTAGGCATTCGACTGCCTCCTGCCACCATCAGGCATAGCTCACTGCAGCCTCAACCGCCAAGGCTGAAGTGATCTTCCCATCTTAGCCTACCAAGTAGCTGGGACTACAGGCAAGTGCCACCATGCCCGGTTCATTGTTTTTTGTCTGTGTCTGTATGTGGAGATGGGGGTCTTCCTACGTTGCCCAAGTTGGTCGTAAACTCCTGGGCTCCTGCCTTGGCCTCCAAAGTGCTGTGATTACAGGTATGAGCTACCATGCCCAGCCTACAAAACAATTTTTAAAAACTTAGCTGGGCATGGTGGTGTGTGCCTGTAATCCCACCTACTTGGGAGGCTGAGGCAGGAGGATCACTTGGGCCAGGAAGTCAAGACGGAAGTAAGTCATGATTGCCTCACTACACTCCAGCCTGGGTGGCAGAGACCCCTGTCTCTAAAAACAAAACAATCACACACACAATCATATTCATAGTTCAACATGAGCACTTGAAGTAATTAAAGACCCCAGGGCAGCACACAGAATCTGCTTAGCCTGTAGATAGAGAACACAAGAAAAGCCATGGCAAAAAACTACGTATGTCCGGCCGGGCACGGCAGCTCACGCCTGTAATCCTAGCACTGTGGGAGTCTGAGACGGGCGGATCACTTGAGTCTAGGAGTTTGAGACCACCCTGGGCAACATAGTGAGACTCTATCTTTACAAAAAATACAAAAATTAGCCGGGTGTGGTGGTGAGCACCTGTAGTCCCAGCTACTCAGGAGGCTGATGTGGCAGGATTGCTTGAGCCTGAGGAGGTCAAGGCTGCAGTGAGTTTGTTTGTTCTCAAAAAACAAACAAAAAACAGTTTATAGTCTTTATACACAGCCGCTTTGGGAAAGCTCCATTCCTTAACTTGTGCTTGTCTTGGTCTTCCTGTGTGTAGTTACTGCTGTAGAAAAGTATTAATAGCTTCATTTTTTTGTTTTGAGACAGAGTCTCTGTCGCCCAGGCTAGAGAGCAATGGCACAATCTCTGCTCACTGCAACCTCCACTTACCGAGTTCAAAAAATTCTCCTGCCTCAGCCTCCCCAGTAGCTAGGATTAAGGCACCTGCCACCACGCCTGGCTAATTTTTTGTATTTTTAGTAGAGACAGGGTTTCGCCATGTTGGCCAAGCTGGTGTCGAACACCTGGCCTCAGCTGATCCACCTGCCTCAGCCTCCCAAAGTGCTGGATTACAGGTGTGAGCCACCGTGCCCAGCCTAATAGTCTCATTTTGTTTCTTTTCTTTTTTTCTTTTCTTTTTTTGAGATGAAGTTTCGCTCTTGTTGCCCAGGCTGAAGTGCAATGGCACGATCTTGGCTCACTGCAACCTCTGCCTGCTGGGTTCAATCGATTCTCCTGCCTCAGCCTCCTGAGTAGCTGGGATTACAAGCATGCACCACCACGCCCGGCTAATTTTGTATTTTTGTAGAGACAGGTCTTCTCCATGTTGGTCAGGCTGGTCTCCAACTCCTGACCTCAGGTGATCCGCCCACCTTGGCCTCCCAAAGTTCTGGGATTACAGACGTGAGCCAATGTGCCCGGCCTAATAGTTTCATTTCATGTAAACATAAGTAACTTCCAAGCAATTACGTAGAGGGCTAAAATTGTACCTGGTATTTAAGTCATCAGAACCGGTTCTGCAAGTGACTGTGTTTTGCATTATTGTGAAGATATGAAAATGTGGTGAACGACAATTTAAAGAGTGTTCCACATCACCGTTTAATTTCTTTTTTATTATTTATTTATTTTTGAGATGAAGTCTTCCTCTGTCGCCCAGGTTGGAGTGCAGTGGCGCCATCTCAGCTCACTGCAACCTCCGCCTCCCGGGTTTAAATGATTCTCCTGCCGCAGCCTCCCTGGCAGCTGGGACTACAGGCGCCCGCCACCACGCCCCACTAATTTTTTTAGTTTTAGTAGAGATGGGGTTTCACTATATTGCCCAGGCCGGTCTCAAACTCCTGACCTCAGGTGGTCCAGCCACCTCGTCCTCCAAAAGTACAGGGATGAGCCACCATGCCTGGCCTATTTTACTATTTCAGAGTTGAGGTCTCGCTCTGTCACCCAGGTTAAAGTGCAATGGTACAATAATAGCTCTCTGCAGCCTTGAATTCCTGCAGCCACCGATATTTCACTTCTGCATTCCAGCCTAGGTGACAGAGCCAGATCCTGTCTCTCAAAAAAAAAAAAAAAAAAAAAAGATATGGATTGCAATCTTGTTTCCTCTGGGGCTGAGTGAGGGATTGAGCCATGTGGGACAAGAGGTTTTTGACTTGTTCCATTTATTGCAGCATAACTTGAATCCAGCCGTCCTTTCTGGACTAGTGATTTTTGCCAGTCTCATGGCTAGAGTTTTACAATCAAGGCTATAGGGTCTTTGTTTAGGTCTATTTGGAGCTTTATGTATTTTCATGTGATTGTCTTTGTATATTGTCTGTGATACATGATACCAAAAAAGGAGTACTCATACATTTTATTTTATTTTACTATTTATATTTTTATTATTATTTTTTGAGACAGAGTCTCACTGTTGCCCAGGCTGGAGTGCAGTGGTGCAATCTCAGCTCACTGCAACCTCCACCTCCTGGGTTCAAGCGATTCTCCTGCCTCAGCCTCCTGAGTAACTGGGACTACAGGTGCATGCCACCACGCCCAGCTAATTTTTGTATTTTTAGTAGAGACAGGGTTTCACCATGTTGGCCAGGCTGGTCTTGAACTCCTGATCTCAAGTAATCCACCTGCCTCGGCCTCCCAAAGTGCTGAGATTACAGGCGTGAGCCACCATGCCCGTCCAGGTTTTATTTTTAATTTTTCAAAATTTTCATATTTCTTCAGAGATAGGGTCTCTCTCTGTCCCCCAGGCTGGAGTGGTTTGACCATGGCTCACTGCAGCCTCGAGCTCCTAGGCTCAAGGGATCCTCCTGCCTCAGCCTCCCAAGTAGCTGGGTCTATAGAAGTGAGCCACTGTGGCCAGGCACGGTGGCTCACACCTGTAATCCCAGCACTTCGGGAGGCCAAAGTGGGCAGATCACGAGGTCAGGAGATTGAGACCATCCTGGCTAACATGGTGAAACCCTGTCTCTACTAAAAATATTAAAAATTAGCTGGGCGTGGTGGTGGGAGCCTGTAATCCCAGCTACTCAGGAGGCCGAGGCAGGAGAATCACTTGAACTCAGGAGGCAGAGGTTGCAGTGAGCCGAGATCAGGCCACTGCACTCCAGCCTGGGCAACAGAGCGAGACTCAGTCTCAAAAATGAAATAATAAAATAAGAAGTGAGCCACTGCACCTAGCTAATTTTTTCTATTTTTTGTAGAGATGGGGGGGTCTCACTATGTTGTCCAGGCTGGTCTTGAACTCCTGGCCTCAAGTGATCCTCCTGCCTCAGCCTCCCAAAGCGCTGTTTGAGAGCCACTGCTCCCGGCCGAGTTATGGGTTTTTATTTATTTATTTATTTATTTATTTATTCATTTGAAACAGAATCTCGCTCTGTCGCCCAGGCTCTAGTGCGGTGGCGCGATCTCGGCTCACTGCAAGCTCCGCCTCCCGGGTTCACGCCATTCTCCTGCCTCAGCCTCCCAAGTAGCTGGGATTACAGGTACATGCCACCACGCCCGGCTAATTTTTTTGTATTTTTAGTAGAGTCGGGGTTTCACCATGTTAGCAAGGATGGTCTCGATCTCCTGACCTTGTGATCCACCTGCCTCAGCCTCCCAAAGTGCTGGGATTACAGGCATGAGCCACCACACCAGGCCTGAGTTATGGGTTTTTAAAGGTGCAGAGGCAGAGGTCACAGGCAAGTCATAAATCAGTACATGGAGGTTGTACACTGGTTTTGCCATAAATAGCAAGGAGATCTTGAAGCCAGGGACCACGGGTCATAGGTGGATTCAAAGGTTTTCTGATTTGGTGCAGAAGCGAATCTTTGTCTAAAACTTTGGGATCCGCAGGAAAGAATGTTAGCTCTGGGTTGTGGGCATGGCCTCCTCCAGGCCCCTCAGGATGGGCATAGCCTCCTCCAGGCCCCTCAGGAAGAAATTTAGGTAAGAGAAGGGTGGTCAGAGGCCAGTCCTCAGCTCCCGCTCATGTGAGGTCTGTGTGCCAGCACGCCCCTTTGGTGGGAGTCCCTGTTTCTGGAAAACAACTGAGGAGCACCTGCTAAGATGGCATGGTTTGCTTCTGTGGAGACTCTCGGGACTCTGGCTTCCATCTGTTGTTCTAAGCTCCTGTGACCTTCTTGTGACCTTCCTGTGGATCGGCTGCTCATTTCCTTCTCTGGGCTGGCTGGGGGCCTGGCTTGCCCTTGAAGGAACTCAACATTGTCCTTGCTTCTGTGCTTGGGAAGACCCACAGGCCCCTAAGGGCGGGGGGGGGTCCTTGTTTGGTTTCAGGAGCAGCAGGTGCAAAGGCCCTGGGGTGGGAGGGGTGAGATGTGAGGCCACAGCAGCGGGTGAGGGCCAGGCTGCAGAGGGTTTTGGGGACCATGAAGGTGGGCCCTTCAGAGATCAGGCAGGGTCAGGAAAGGCAGTAGGGAGGCCCAAGACAGCAGACACTGTGGTTGCTTCCATCTGGAAGATGGGCAGCTGCAGGAGCCTGGCTGTTCAGGGTCACACTTCTCTCCCTGTCCCGGCCCCATCTGCTGGGTGTCCTTCCTTGGAGCCCTTGACAGCACCTGAGCCCCTCCTCTCCATCCCCTGAACCTTGGTGGTTGTGCCCCCCCTCGGGGCCCAACAATCTCATTAGGGTGGCACTGAGACGCCTAATCAGCTCATGAAGCAGCGAGATAAAGGCCGGGGCTGGCACCCTGCGGAGGGAGGCCCAGCACTCACAGCACAGCCCCCTGAGACCCGCCCTGCACTTGGTGAGTAGTGGCCAACCCCGCTGTCTTTCCTGGCAGCCACTTCCCCCAGTGAGTCAGTGGGGGTCTGCTCATCACCCAAGGGGCAGAGGGAGCTGACAGGCTTTTACCACCGTGGCTGAGGTCTGGGTCTGCAGATGCCTACCCGCCACCCTGTTATTCAGAGGGGACTCCCAGCCAACCTCCTCCTCTGCTCCCCCATGGTAACCAGTGCTTCCACCATCCCCAGGCCAGTGATGGTCTGGGAACCTCAGGCCACGTGGGCTCAGCTGACCTGAGTGGACGCCAGTCACAGGCTGGGTCGGGCCAGGGCAGCGCAGGCAGCGGTTTCCACATGGATGGCATCTGATGGTTGGAGCTCCATCAGGGCCCAGAGCTGCCCAGGACAGCCCATGTCCCAGGGCTGGAGAAGCAGCTGGACGGGGCCTGTGCTATCTAGGATATGAGGATTGGGTGCCATGGGATCTGAGCAGCTGGGACCACCGGGCTCCTGAGTGCTGGTTTTGCACAGGCTGGTGCTGGTCCCAGTCCCGGGGACAGAGGCTGAACCTTAGTGAGGGAAGGTGCCATGGCAGGGTCCACCCCAATCCCAGGTGCCCAGCACCCCTTGCAGAGCCCGCGTCCCCAAAATGGGCCACCTGCCCTTGCTTTCTGATCACTCTCACGCCTGAAGCTCGGCAAACAGCTGGTAGTAGCCCAGGGCTGGAGTCAGGAATCCCAGCCAAAAAGACCAGGGGCAGGAAAGGGGACCCCAAGAGGTGGTCCCTGGGGCATCCAGTGCGGGCAAGCAGCCCCTCCTGTCTGTGTCATGTGCCTCCTTCCAGAACTTTCCGGCAGCATGTGCAGCTGACAGCAGCTCGATGGGAGATTAGGAATTCCCCTCTGCTGTTAATAGGCTTAGGGGAAGCTGAACTGCCCTTGGCCCAGGTCACTGGGGCTTAGGGCATCTGGGGAGAGGCTGTAGGGAGAGGAGGAGGAGAGGCCACCCTGTGCAGCAGTGCAGGGACACTGATCTCGTCCAGAGCGGCCGAGGCCCTTCAGCCACGCCACGCCACGCCAGGCGGGTGACCCTGCTCCCCGAGCTGACTCCAGACACAGAGAGGGCCTGGTGATTCCCCCAGCAGGGGGAACACATGCCCGGCACCCTCCGTCCCCAAGCCCCAGCTTGTCCCTCTATGAAGTGGGGTTGGGGAACGCAGGGCTTCACAGCTCAGCACCAAGTCTCTGAGACAGGCCCCTTTCCCAGGGGCGCCGTGCCTGGGGACCCTGCCCCCCATTTTGTGGGTCATTCTCCATCAGCACTGCGGGGTGCCCGTCATGGTGCTGAGGGGCTCAGGGATGCCTCCGTGAGTGGGTGAAGGGAACTGACAGCACCCCAACTGCAAAGCACAGACAAGAGGCAGAAAGCAATAAACCCATCAATAAGAATCAGAGGGGTTGGCCGGGCGCAGTGGCTCACGCCTGTAATCCCAGCACTTTGGGAGGCCAAGGTGGGTGGATCACGAGGTCAGGAGATCGAGACCATCCTGGCTAACATGGTGAAACTCCATCTCTACTAAAAAATACAAAAAAAAAAATAAATTAGCCGGGCGTGGTGTCGGGCGCCTGTAGTCCCAGCTACTGGGGAGGCTGAGGCAGGAGAATGACGTGAACCCAGGAGGTGGAGCTTGCAGTGAGCTGAGATCGTGCCACTGCACTCTAGCCTGGGCAACAGAGCGAGACTCCGTCTAAAAAAAAAAAAAAGGTGAGATTCCAGCCACAGCTCTGGAATAGGATCCTAGGGGGCTACTTTGGCAGGTATTAAAACTTTTTTAGGCCGGGCGCGGTGGCTCACGCCTGTAATCCCTGCACTTTGGGAGGCCGAGGCGGGTGGATCACAAGGTCAGGAGTTTGAGACCAGCCTGACCAAGATGGTGAAACCCCATCTGTACTAAAAACACAAAGAAAAATTAGCTGGGTGTGGTGGCGCATGCCTGTAATCTGAGCTACTCCGGAGGCTGAGGCAGGAGAATTACTTGAACCCGGGAGGCAGAAGTTGCAGTGAGCCAAGATCTCGCCACTGCACTCCAACCTGGGTGACAGAGCAAGACTCTGTCTCAAAAAAAAAAAAAAAAAAGAATCAGAGGGCAACAGCCCGGGAGACGCCCACCAGCCTGGAATCAGGGCTAACTCGACGCGTGATGAGAAGCGGCAAATCAGAACCTAAGGACACAGTGGCTGCAGGGCGGGGGTTCAGGGGAGACCTCCCTGAGCGGGAACTTGAGATGGAGGCAGCCCACTAACCATCAGGAAGGGCAGCTCAGAGGCAGGCTCCTCTGCTGGGCCTGGCAGGCCCATTCCCAGCAGGAGCCACAGAGGACTTTCATCAGAGTAGCAGCTGGGCCGGGTGCGGTGGCTCACGCCTGTAATACCAGCACTTTGGGAGGCTGAGGCGGGTGGATCATGAGGTCAGGAGTTCGAGACAACCTCGTCAACATGGTGAAACCCCGTCTCTACTAAAAATGCAAAAATGCAAAGATTAGCCGGGCATGGTGGCAGACGCCGGTAATCCCAGCTGCTGGGGAGGCTGAGGCAGGAGAATCACTTGAACCCGGGAGGCGGAGGTTGCAGTGAGCCGAGATAGTGCCACTGCACTCCAGCCCAGGCAACAAGAGCAAAACTCTGTCTCAAAAACAAAACAAAACAAAAAAAAACCCAGAGTAGCAGTTAAATGCCGACGGGAGTCACGCTTCCCTGGGGTGGGGAACGCAGGGGAAGGGGCAGGAAGTTGTCAGTGGTCACCCACAGGGAGGTGGTGAGGACTCCAGGCTCAGGACCTGCCACAGGTTGGGAGGCTAGGTTTGCTGTGGATTGTGGGCCGGGGCGAGGGAGGCCAGGACAGGGGGGAGTCCGGAGCTGTGTGTGGCCAGCGTTGCAGGGGGGCATCCACTAGGCAAGGGGAATGGGAGCGTGCGGGTGGACCCAAGCAAAGCTGGCAGGCTGGTTACCCCAGGGCGGATTGCAGGGGCTGCTGTCTGGATGACGCTGGAGCTGGCGGGGCTGGGTCTCAGCCCCTCCACCGGTGGGTTGAGACCCCCACAAGGGTTGGAAGCAGGAGGGCTGACTGGGACCCGGGCCTGGTCTGCCCCCAGACCGCAGCAGGAGGGAGTCCAGGAGCCAAGGTTGCCGCGGTGTCTCCGTCAGCCTCACCATGAACCTGGAACCGCCCAAGGCTGAGTTCCGGTCAGCCACCAGGGTGGCCGGGGGACCTGTCACCCCCAGGAAAGGGCCCCCTAAATTTAAGCAGCGACAGACCAGGCAGTTCAAGAGCAAGCCCCCAAAGAAAGGCGTTCAAGGGTAAGCAGAGCTGGGGGATGGGGCCTCTGAAAGGGAGGAGGCGGTCCTGAGGCTGCACAGGAAGGGGAGGGCGGGGCAGAGCCTGGGGCCACTTCACTGGGTGAGTGGTCCCAGCCTCACAGCTGGGGAAGGTAGGGCGGTGCCTGAGGGCCTGAGCAGGGATGGAGGAGGGGGAAGGGGAATTGGGGGCTCCTGTCACCCGCTCCAGATGCTACTGCCAACCATGCTTGAAAATACAGCCACTGCCGGCCAGGCGCGGTGGCTCAGCGCTTTGGGAGGCTGAGGTGGGCAGATCACCTGAGGTCGCGCCCGGCCTAAAAAAAAGTTTTAATACCTGCCAAAGTAGCCCCCTAGGATCGCGAGTTTGAGACCAGCCTGACAAACATGGAGAAACCTGTCTCTACTAAAAATACAAATTTAGCCAGGCGTGGTGGTGCACGCCTGTAATCCCAGCTACTCAGGAGGCTGAGGCAGGAGAATCGCTTGAATCCAGGAGGCAGAGGTTGTGGTGAGCTGAGATCGCGCCATTGCACTCCAGGCTGGGCAACAAGAAGAACAAAACTCCGTCTCAAAAAAACAAAACGGCCGGGGGCGGTGGCTCATGCCTGTAATCCCAGCACTTTGGGAGGCCGAGGCGGGCGGATCACGAGGTCAGGAGATCGAGACCATTCTGGCTAAGAAGGTGAAACCCTGTCTCTACTAAAAAATACAAAAAATTAGCCGGGCGTGGTGGCGGGCGCCTGTAGTCCCAGCTACTCGGGAGGCTGAGGCAGGAGAATGGTGTGAACCCGGGAGGCAGAGCTTGCGGTGAGCCGAGATCACGCCACTGCACTCCAGCCTGGGCGACAGAGTGAGACTCCGTCTCAAATAAATAAAAAAAATACAACCACTGCCACCCAGGGACAGCCATGGCACAATGCACCGAGGAGTGTCCACTCACACATGCGCACACACGGGCATCTCGCTCCCATCAGTGCACCGAGGAGTGTCCACTCACTCGTGTGCGCACACAGGCACCGCGCTCCCATCAACGCACCGAGGAGTGTCCACTCACACGTGTGCGCACACACGGGCATGACACTCTTATGCACAAACACGCTCACACCTCCACATATGCACGTGAGGCACACTCACAGACAAGCCACCTTCACAAATCTACACTCAGACCATGCACCAACCACGCACCCCCCCGTACTCCCCCAGGGCACGCACCTGCCCAGCATCCTGGGACTTGCACCTCCTTTTCTAGGCCTCAGCCCCATGATGCTCTGGGCAGCAGACTCACCCTGGGTCTGTGAGGGAAGCCTCCTCAGATGCGCCAAGCCCTGGGAGGTTGGGGAGGAGGCGGGTCTCTGCCCACTGGGCTCCCAGCCAAACACCTCATCTCCTAGGAAGGCTAGAGATGACCTCGGGCCTCAGGCTGACTGAGCCAGGACTGGGCCCGGCCATGTCCCTGAGTGCTCTGTCCTTGCAGGTTTGGGGACGACATCCCTGGAATGGAAGGCCTGGGAACAGGTATGACGGCTGCCAGTACCAACCCGAGGTCTGCCCAGGTCCCCCCAGGCACACCCAGCACGCCCGGGGCCCATTGCAGCCCACCTCGGCCCCCACCTCCCCTGCTTTTCACTTAGGGACCCCCAGCCTGTCCATCACTTCTTCCCCCAACACTGAGCTCCAGATCCACTGGATCTAGAGGGTGGGGCTGTCCCCATTTGGGACACTTGCACCAGGTGAGGGGAGGGGTTTGGGAAAGAACAGAACCCCTCGCTGCCTCCTCCCCCTTCAGCAAGCCCCACCCTCCTCTGGTTCCCTCCCCTGGACCTGCTGCACCCACCCTCCTTCCCCCACAGCCAGTGTGTCCCCAGAGGAGGGCCCCACTCCAGCGTCCGCACGTCCCCGCTCAGCACACTGTAGGGCTACACCTGGGCTGTGGGAAACAGGGCCACAGGGGATGGGGGGGTCCCTAGGCCGTGGGATCCTCTCTGATCCGTGGCCCGTTTCTCCCACAGACATCACAGTCATCTGCCCTTGGGAGGCCTTCAACCACCTGGAGCTGCACGAGCTGGCCCAATATGGCATCATCTAGCACGAGGCCCTGCTGAAGTCCAGACCCTCCCCCTCCTGCCCACTGTGCTCTAAACCCTGCTCAGGATTCCTGTTGAGGAGATGCCTCCCTAGCCCAGATGGCACCTGGACACCAGGATGGGACTGCAACCTCAGGTCTCCCCCTACATATTAATACCAGTCACCAGGAGCCCACCACCTCCCTCTAGGATGCCCCCTCAGGGGCTGGCCAGGCCCTGCTCAACATCTGGAGATACAGGCCCACCCCTCAGTCCTGCCCACAGAGAGGCTTGGTCGGTCTCCACTCCCAGGGAGAACGGGAAGTGGACCCCAGCCCGGGAGCCTGCTGGACCCCAGATCGTCCCCTCCTCCCAGCTGGAAAGCTAGGGCAGGTCTCCCCAGAGTGCTTCTGCACCCCAGCCCCCTGTCCTGCCTGTAAGGGGATACAGAGAAGCTCCCCGTCTCTGCATCCCTTCCCAGGGGGGTGCCCTTAGTTTGGACATGCTGGGTAGCAGGACTCCAGGGCGTGCACGGTGAGCAGATGAGGCCCCAAGCTCATCACACCAGGGGGCCATCCTTCTCAATACAGCCTGCCCTTGCAGTCCCTATTTCAAAATAAAATTAGTGTGTCCTTGCCTGTCTGTGGCATATTTGTGCATGGGACAGGGCCTGTGGTGGGGTCACTTGAGCCGGAGCACATGGGGGAAGGGGTGGGCAGTGGGGCAGGAGGGGCTGGCCTGCCTGAGTGGGAAGACAGCCCTTGGGCTCACACTCTCACTGAGCCTTGCTGGTGGCCCCAAGACACGCAATGTCAGGCCATGGCTGGGTCAAGGCAGAAGGCCTTGGTGCACACCCAGGGGCCATAGTCAATGAAGCATGCAGGTGGCTGGAACAGGCCACACAGAGAAGGTGAGACTGGACATGGCTTACACCACACGCCGTGAGGCCGGAGCTCCTACTCCCACCTCACAAGAGAGAAACTGAGGCACAGTGACACTAGCAACTCCCCCAGAGCACCCAGCCAGCTCGTCCTTAGACAGTGCCCACTAAAACTGGCTGTATCTGGGCACAGTGGCTCATGCCTATAATCTCAGCACTTTAGGAGGCCAAGGCGGGAGGATCACTGCAGTCCAGGAGTTCAAGACCAGCCTGGGCAACATAGCAAGACCCTGTCTGTATTTGAAAATAACAATAGGCTGGGTGCGGTGGCTCACGCCTATAATCCCAGCACTTTGGGAGGCTGAGGCAGGCAGATCACGAGGTCAGGAGATCGAGACCATCCTGGATAACGCGGTGAAACCCCGTCTCTACTAAAAATACAAAAAAAAAAAAAAAAAAAAATAGCCAGGCGTGGCGGCAGGCGCCTGTAGTCCCAGCTACTTGGGAAGCTGAGGCAGGAGAATGGCGTGAACCCAGGAGACGGAGTTTGCAGTGAGCCGAGATCGTGCCCCTGCACTCCAGCCTGGGTGACAGAGCGAGACTCCGTCTCAAAAAATAAAACAAACAAACAAACAAAAAAAAAGAAAATAACAATAATGAGGCTGGGCACCGTGGCTCACACCTGTAATCCCAGCACTTTGGGAGGCCAAAGTGGACAGATCATTTGAGCTCAGGAGTTCGAGACCAGCCTGACCAACATGGAGAAACTCTGTCTCTACTAAAAATACAAATTAGCCAGGCATGGTGGCCCATGCCTGTAATCCCAGCTACTTGGGACGCTAAGGCAGGACAATCACTTGAACCTGGGAGGCAGAGGTTGTGGTGAGCCAAGATCGTGCCATTGCCCTCCAGCCTGGGCAACAAGAGCGAAACTCCATCTCAAAAAATAAAAATAAAAAAAATACAAAAAATTGTCTGGGCGTGGTGGCGGGCCCCTGTAGTTCCAGCTACTCAGGAGGCTAAGGTGGGAGATTGCTTGAGCTAGGGAGGCGGAGGCTGCAGTGAGCTGAGACCCTGCCACTGCACTTCAGCCTGGGTGACAGAGCGAGACCCTGTCTCAAAAGAAAACAACAAAAACAAACATGCCCATTTGTAACCAAGATCCCACTCCTGACACCACATCCAGGGGAAGCAAGAGCTCTGCAAGCTGGCCCAGCAGCAGGGGCCCTCACAGTAGCCCCCTGTTCACATGGACCAGTCCATTCGCAGCAAGGGCCAGATCTGACTCCCCACAGACCCTCTGGGATTCCGCTTATGTGAAAGCCCGAAACAGGCCCCGCTGGCCCTGGCAATGTAGTCAGTGCAGGGCTGACTTGGGGTTGAGCGCGCCGCCAGGGGCTGGAACTCCCCGATCGGACCTGCGGTGGTTCACGGTCTTCGATGGGTAAGAATTCCCTACGCTGCCTCTGAAGATTGGTGTCTTTACTGTATGAATGATACACCCGAATAAAACATTTACTATCTCCCCAAAAATGCACTCGGGAGGGAGAGGCCTGGACCTTAGCTCCACCATCACGAGCCCAGAAGGGGTGGCGGCCCCAGGGGAGGGAGGTGCCAGGAGGTGGGAACTGTGCGGCTGGGGTGGGAGTGGGGGCTCGGAGGTGAGGGTCAGCTTCAGGATTTCCTCCGGCCCCGCGTGCTCCTCCCGCCAGTCCCGTGGCTTCGCCGGGCGCCCTGCGTTGGGGGCTGGCATGGGGGACGCGGAGCGAGCGAAGTGAGCGAGCTGGGTAGGTCCTGCGGCGAAGTCACCCGAAGCCCGAGCGAAATCAGGCGGCGGCGGCGGCGCAGGCCGCGCTTTTTAGCCGGGCGGAGGCGCCCCCTGTATCCCTGTGCGTGGCGGTCTCGGACCTCGGGGCGTGCGCTCAGCCCCGGGCGGGCTTGGCAGCGGGCGGGGCGCCGGGGCTGGGGCTCTGGGGGCCAGCGCGGTCCTCCCCGCGCGCTCCGGGGCCGTACGCCGCCCCCCTGCGGGCAGCGAGGGCCCCGAGTAGCCGGGCGGCCAGCAGGAGCTCCGCGCCCTGCAGCAGCACCACCGCGATTGCGTAGCCGCCCGAGGCAGCCAGGTTCGCGCGCAGCCACCGCCGGAGCGGCGGGCCGCAGCCCTCCAGGTACACCACTCTCTGAGCTGCGTCCGCATCCAGGCGCAGGACCCCGAAGCCGCACTGGTCGTTGACAGAGGCTCCATCTTCGCGGGGGTCGATGCAGCAGGAGGCGGGAAGGCTGCAGGCCTGCACCCCGGGGGAGCTGCAGTTAAAGTACCTGCAAGGCGCATGGAATCGTCAGTTCTGGCGGGGAGGGCCCGCTCTTCTGGGACCAGGCACAGAGGCGAATGTCGCCTACCCACCTTCACCCTTCCATGGCCACACAGGCACATGCACACACGTGCATACGCCCTCCTATTCGCACACACCTGCACACACGGACACACACAGCACCTGGCTCTCTATAACGTATCCCTGTGCACGGCAGTCCTCTGCGCTTGCAGGTAGGGGTGGTGGCTGTGTTGACTAGCAGGAGGATATTTAGTGAGACGGTTGAAGGGGGAACAGACAAGCATTGATAAGAGGACCTCCCTCCGCAGAGGCTGCTGAGCTCATTGAGAAGGTAGAGTTGGAGCAGGGGAGGGTGGATGGAACTCTGGCAGAGGCTTCTGGAATGGTCCACAGGTCTTACTGGGAAGAGCAAGGGCTTGAGAGGCAGTACCTGGCAGTGACAGAAAGCAGGGGTGGGGGAGGAGCTCCCAGGGTAGCTAGGGAGTGTTGATCTCATCACAGCCCAGGTCAGGCAGTCCCCAGGTGCCCTAGGCATCCACTGATGTCTGGGGCTCTGCACACGGGCCCAGCAGACCTGCAGGCTCATCCCCATGCCCTCTCCACTCTAGAAGAGTATGCCCCACTTAGGCAGGGGATGGGGACGAGGCCAGCAGCAGACGTGGCATCACGACACTCTAGGGGGACTGCCACCAACCCAGTCACACGTGGCCAAAAACCAACCTATGTGGTGCTTTGCAGAGTCTGGAAGGACCCGCCTGTTAGCCACTGCTGGGTCCCAATGGCCAGTTTTCAGGGTTGCCTATGACTTCATCTCTTGTGTTCAGCTGCTCCTGGATACATGCACCAAGAAGGCTTGGGAGACAGAGTGCATATCGTCTGTCCTGGGTGTGGCATGGAGAGTAGGTGCTGCTTGGGGTGTGCATGCACTGGGGATAGCTGATAAAACAGACAGCTACCCTCTTTACAGTGAGCCGAGATCGAGCCACTGCACTCCAGCCTGGGCGAGAGGGAGACTCCGTCTCAAAAAAACAAACAAACAAACCAACAAAAAGACAGCTACCCTTGAGCAGAATATAAGAAAATCCTGCACTGGATCCTAAATGCACGGCGTTTAATGACACTCACGGTGGAGGGAAACTGTGGAGTCAGATTCCAGAATAATGTCCTGAATTCACCTAAAAGTCATTTTCTTTTCTTTTTTTTTTTTGAGACAGAGTCTCCCTCCATCGCCCAGGCTGGAGTGCAGTGGGGCGATCTCGGCTCACTGCAAGCTCCGCCTCCTGGGTTCACGCCATTCTCCTGCCTCAGCCTCCTGAGTAGCTGGGACTATAGGCGCCCGCCACCACACCCAGCTAATTTTTTCTATTTTTTAGTAGAGACGGGGTTTCATCGTGTTAGCCAGAATGGTCTTGATCTCCTGACCTCGTGATCCGCCCGCCTCGGCCTCCCAAAGTGCTAGGATTACAGGCGTGAGCTACCGCGCCCGGCCTTTTTTCTTTGAGATGGATGCTCGCTCTGTTGCCCATGCTGGAATGCAGTGGTGCTGTTTTGGCTGCAACCTCCACCTCCTGGATTCAAGTCATTCTCCTGCCTCGGCCTCCTGAGTAGCTGGGATTACAGGTGCCTGCCACCATGCCTGGCTAATTTTTGTATTTTTAGTAGAGATGGGGTTTCACCATGTTGGCCAGGCTGGTCTTGAACTCCTGACTTCAGGTGATCCGCCTACCTCAGCCTCCCAAAGTGCTGGGATTACAGGTGTGAGCCATCGTGCCCAGCAGAAAAATGACTTTCTAAGTTTGTGGGCTCAGCTTCTCAACTAAGCTCCTGGGTAGTCCTCCTGGCCCTGGCGGGGGGAACAGAGTCACCCTGCACGTTCTGGGGGCCGCAGGGCTGATTGGGGCCCTGAGCCCATAGAACAAGGAGAGGCAAGCACCCCTATACCTTGTGTGCATGACACGTGTGTGTATGAACATGTTTGAGTGTGAGTGTGTGCCTGAGTGTGAGGCTGTTTTGTGTGTGCACAAGAACATGTTCATGTCAGTGTAGAGGAGTGTGTAGGTGTGTGTCCACACACGTGAAACCTGTGAGCACGAGACGTGCCAGTGTGGATATGCGTGTACATGTGGGTATACGTGTGCATGCATGTGGGCATGCACGAATGAGTATGTACGTGTGAGTGACTGTGTGTACACGCACAAGGGTGTGTGGCCTCTGCGACCCTGTGGTGGCCCTGTCCCTCGCCCACTCCAAGACTCACAGGTTCTGCTGCCAGTCCTGGTAGGAGGCAGCTCCGCAGCACCTCAGCCCGAGCTGGACTTGGTCGAGGAGGAAGCGCAGGTCTGGGTCGTCCTGGTAGTGGGCGATGGCCACACGCAGGGTGTGCTCCAGGCTGTCTTGCAGCGGGCCCCAGAGGGCCACCACCAGGGCCCCCGCCACGGCCTCAAGCACCAGGAAGGCAAGGATGCCCCCAGAGAAGCCACGTAACAGGCAGGTGTTCTCACAGAGGGCGCCCAGGTAGCCAGCCAGGCTCACTGCGCTGACCACCAGCCCTCCCAGTGCCAGCCCCAGCATGGGGTCTGCGGGCAGGGGCCCCCCCAGATCACTTCCCAGAGACCCCTTGACAGCCAGGCCCCAGAGCCCGATGGCCAGGGCCAGCAGCCCCAGCAGGGAGAAGGGGAAGTTGGAGAGGAAGATCAGATACTTGACGCAGCTGCTCCCTGGGGAGAGGGAAGGGGCTGGTCCTTTCTTGGGGGTGCCACTCAAGGCCTGGTGCTTGGTCTCCGGGGGACAGCAGCTGCAGCCCCAGGCCTCCGCCTGGTCCTCCCTGGGCACTGGACCTAGGCAGCCTGAGGTGGGTGGCCTGTGCACAGAGAGGGGCTTCTGGCCTGCAGTTTCCTGCAGAGGGAAGAGGAACAGGGTGAGACCGCATTCACCCAGACTCTGTGACAACTGGTGAGGGGTCAGGGAAGAGCATGGTGGCAGAGCCTTCGAGGGATGGGAGGATGCCGGATGGCGGAGGGCAGCACTGGAGCTCAGAGATGCGGACAGCCAGGGGCAGGGGGCCCTCAGGGCCGTCCCGCTCGGCTGAGCAGCAGAAGGGGCAGTGAGGGTCCCAGCTCTGGTGGGACCCCACCTTTAGAACAGGGTGATGAGCAGACTCTGAAAGGCTGTGGTGAAGACCAAGCAGGGCGGTGCTCAGTGAACACACCCACTCCCTCCTGGTCCTATGCGTGGGTGTCTGCGGCCTCCCCGGGTCAGGGTCGCCCTGGCTTTCCCGCAGCACACAGGCGGGGCTGCGTCCCCAGAGTTTGAAACAGCATCTGCGTGGATCAGTCTGTGTGTGCCTGCAGCATGGAACTTGTGTAGAGGGGCTTCCTCACCAGCCACAGGGGCTGGCCCACATGGCTGCCCTTTTCTTTCCCCTCTGAAACCAGTCCTCACATCCCAGCACCCATTCTTCGGCCCCACCAACGGCCCGCACTGAGTGTGGACACGGCACTGGACCCTGCTGCCGAGGACAGGACAGTGCCCTGCCCAACAGGCTCCCAGGACAGGGAGGAGGGTGCCCAAGAGCCCAGGAAGACCGCCTGGAGGCTGCAGGGCCTTCAGAGGGGACCCCCTGGCCCACTGGCAGGAAAGGCTTGCTGGTCTCTCTCTGTGGGGGAAGAGGCAGCCCCGCAGGTGCCCAGTTCTGCCGGGAAGAGTTTTTTTAAAAAGGAGAATAAGAAGCTATGGCCGGGCTGGACGTTGTGGCTCACGCCTGTCATCCCAGCACTTTGGGAGGCTGAGGTGGGTGGATCACCTGAGGTCGGGAATTCGAGACCAGCCTGAGCAACGTGGAGAAACCTCATCTCTACTAAAAAAAAAAAAAAAAAAAAAATTAGCCGGGCGTGGTGGCACACACCTGTAATCCCAGCTACTTGGGAGGCTGAGGCAGGAGAATCGCTTGAACCCAGGAGGTGGAGGTTGCATGAGCAGGAGGCAGAGGTTGCATGAGCAGAGATCGCGTGACTGCACTCCAGCCTGGGTGACAGAGCGAGACTCCATCTCAAAAACTAAATAAATAATAAAAAGCAGCCATGGCTGTGTGCTGGGCAAGGATCCCATTCCAATCCAGTTTCACCAGGAAGAAGCTGATCACAGCATCAGGCTCTCAGCTCACTGCAGCCTCAAACTCCTGGGCTCAAGCCATCCTTCCTCCTCAGCCTCCTGAGTAGCTGGGACTACAGGCACTGCAACCATGTCCTGGTAATTTTTTTTTTTTTTTTTTTTTTTTGAGACGGAGTCTCGCTCTGTCGCCCAGGCTGGAGTGCAGTGGCGGGATCTCGGCTCACTGCAAGCTCCGCCTCCCGGGTTCACGCCATTCTCCTGCCTCAGCCTCCCAAGTAGCTGGGACTACAGGCGCCCGCCACTACGCCCGGCTAATTTTTTGTATTTTTAGTAGAGACAGGGTTTCACCGTTTTAGCCGGGATGGTCTCGATCTCCTAACCTCGTGATCCGCCCGCCTCGGCCTCCCAAAGTGCTGGGATTACAGGCGTGAGCCACCGCGCCCGGCCGTCCCGGTAATTTTTTAAAATTATTTTTTGTAGGCCGGGCACGGTGGCTCATGCCTGTAATCCCAGCACTTTGGGAGGCCGAGGCGGGTGGATCACGAGGTCAGGAGATCGAGACCATCCTAGCCAACATGGTAAAACCCTGTCTCGACTAAAAAAAATTAGCTGGGTGTGGTGGCATGTGCCTGTAATCCCAGCTACTCAGCAGGCTGAGGCATGTGAATTGCTTGAACCGAGGAGGCGGAGGTTGCAGTGAGCCGAGGTTGTGCCACTGCACTCCAGCCTGGTGACAGAGCGAGACTCTATCTAAATATATATATATATATATATATATATAATATTTTGTAGAGACAGGGTCTCGCTACATTGCCCAGGCTGGTCTTGAACTCCTGGGCTCACGCAATCTTCCCTCCTCAGCCTCCCAAAGTGCTGGGATTACAGGAGTGAGCCACTGTGCCCGGCCCCAGAGGAGGGTTATTTATCACCCCCAAGACCTCAACAAGTCACTAGAAGCAAAAGGACAGGCTGTCAGTGCCTGGTTGGCCAGACTGGGGCCACTGGGGGCCAGAGGCCGTTGGAGGCTGGCTGCAAGGGACATTTGCCTTCACCCCCTCCTGCACCCTGAGCCAAAGATTGCCCCCAAGGCCCTCAGGGAGATCTGGCAGATCCCTTGACCAGAGGCCAGCATGGGGCTGAGAGAACTGCGCAGTGGGGAAGGGGGAGGGGGCTGCCTAGAACCACCCCCCTCAACCCAATCTCAGCATTGAGGTGTGGGGTGGCACCAGGGGCAGGGGTGGGTGTGAACCCAGCCCAGGGACTTCCCTTAGGACTTCAGGGCTGGGGACATCTCCAACCTCAGGGCAAGGCCACTTGGCATGGCTCACCTGGGACAGTAAGGGGCTCCTCTCCCCCTCCTCCATCCTTGACGCTGGAACAGAAAGCCCCCAGCACAGGCGCCGGGAGAGGTTCGCTGGCTCCTCTGTGGCTGGGCTGCTGGGCTGGTCCTGACTGCGGCCCTGGGCTAGTCTGTGAACAGTGCAGCCCTGGGCATGGGAATGGGGGAGGTGCGAGCCCTACCCAGATGCCGGAGTCACAGTTGAGTCATGTGAAGAATCACATTTTAGAGCTTAAGGAGGCCTCTGCTTGTGGAGATATATTTCTCCCCAGCCCTGGCTCTGTGGGTCCCCTAAGCTCAGCGCAGGTGTGACTCAGGCAGGCATGTTTGGGTGCCAGCCTTGTGGCTCTCACTGCAGCCCCCCATGCGGACTTCAGCTCTGCAGGGTCAGCAGCCGCTCCATCAGCTCCCAACCAGGGAATCAGACCCTGGTAAATTGGTTCACAACCCCAATCCCAAGAGACCCATGGGCAGCCCCAGCGCCAATCTATCCCCCGGCTTGTTCACTGCACGAATGAAACAGCGTCCCCCCACCAGATCACCTCCTTGTTTTTGTTTTTGAGACTGAGTTTCGCTCTTGTTGCCCAGGCTGGAGTGCAATGGCGCAATCTCGGCTCACTGCAACCTCGCCTCCCGGGACTACAGATGTACGCCACCTTGCCTCACTCATTTTTGAATTTTTTTTGTAGAGACAGGGTTCTGCTGTGCTGCCCAGGCTGGTCTTGAACCCCTGGACTCAAGTGATTCTCCTGCCTTGGCCTTCCAAAGTGCTGGGATTACAGGCTGGAGCCACTGTGCCCGGACTCAGCCACCAACACTCAGCAGTCCAAAGAGGTGGTCTGGGTGGTGCAGCACAGCAGGCAATGTACTGATGGAGCAGGCAGAGGGTTTCAGGCGCGCGTGAGACGCCTGGGTGGGAGCACACCGGGCAAGTTTTAGGAGGAAAGGTCACCTGGCTGTGTGGGGCAAGCGGAGATGGGGGTGGGAGGGAGGTCCATGAGGTGACAGGGCTGGATCAGGTGAGGCCTTGAAGGCCACTCTGAGTCTTCAGATCTTCCTCGGAGAAGTGGGATATGCTGCAGGTGGGAAGTCGGGGCGAGGACCAGAGCTGCAGGCTGAGCTTCTGGGCTCCAGCTTCCCTTCACCTCCCCAAAGGTGACAAACCCAACCTCATGGGCCCTGCAGCAGCTCCACAGCCAGGGTCACGGTCACAGGGACTGTCCACGGCCTCCAACTCAGTCTGTTCTAAGGATGGGTAACCTTTTTTTTTTTGAGACAAGAGTCTCGCTCTGTTGCTGAGGCTGGAATGCAGTGGCACGATTTTGACTCACCGCAACCTCTGCCTCCTGGGTTCAAGCGATGCTCCTGCCTTGGCCTCCTGAGTAACTAGGATTGCAGGCGCCACACCTGACTGATTTTGTATTTTTAGTAGAGATGGGGTTTCACCATGTTGGCCAGTCTGGTCTCGACCTCCTGACCTCAAGTGATCTGCCCGCCTCCTCCTCCCAAAGTGCTGGGATTACAGGCGTGAGCCACCACGCCCGGCCAAAGTCTGGGTAATCTTTTAATGAAACGATCATCATCTACCACTGTTATGGCTGAATTGTGCCCCTTACATTCTTATGATAAAGTTCTAGCCCCCCGGACCTCAGAATGGGACTTGGAGACAGGGCCTTTAAAGGCCATTAGGGGCTGGGCGCGGTAGCTCACACCTGTAATTCCAGCACTTAGGGAGGCCGAGGCAGGTGGATCATGAGGTCAGGAGATTGAGACCAGCCTGGCCAACATGGTGTGACCCTGTCTCTACTAAAAGTACAAAAAATTAGCTGGGCATCGTGGCGCATGCCTGTAATCCCAGCTACATGGGAGGCTGAGGCAGGGGAATTGCTGGGACCCAGGAGGCAGAGGTTGCAGTGAGCCGAGATGGTGCCGCTGCACTCCAGCCTGGTGACAGAGCAAGACTCCATCCCTAAATAAATAAATAAGTGCCATTAGCGTGGGCCCTAATCCAACATCCTTACAAGAAAATTGGGACACACGGTGGGACACATGGAGAGACACGAGGAATGTGTGCACAGAAGAAAAAACATGTGAGGTCTCGGGGAGAAGGTGCCATCTTCGAGCTAAGGAGAGAGGTATAAGAAGAAACCTGGCTGGGTACAGCGGCTTATGCCTGTAATCTAAGCACTTTGGGAGGCTGAGGTGGGTGGATTGATTGAACCTAGTAGTAGTTAGAGACCAGCCTGGGCAACATAGCAAGATCCCATCTCTACTAAAAATACAAAAAGTTAGCCAGGTGTGATTGTGAGCACTTGTGGTCCCAGCTACTGAGGAGGCTGAGGTGGGAGTATCACCTGAGCCTGGGAAGTCGAGGCTACAGTGAGCCACGATTGTGCCACTGCACTCCAGCCTCGGCGATGGGAGTGAGACCCCAGTCTTTTCTTTTTTTTTTTTTTTTGAGACGGAGTCTTGCTCTGTCGCCCAGGCTGGAGCGCAGTGGCGTGATCTCGGCTCACTGCAAGCTCTGCCTCCCGGGTTCACGCCATTCTCCTGCCTCAGCCTCCCGAGTAGCTGGGACTACAGGCACCCGCCACCACGCCCGGCTAATTTTTTTTTTATTTTTAATAGAGACAGGGTTTCACCATATTAGCCAGGATGGTCTCGATCTCCTGACTTCGTGATCCACCTGCCTCGGCCTCTCAAAGTGCTGGGATGACAGGCGTGAGCCACCGCGCTGGGATGACAGGCATGAGCCACCGTGCTGGGATGACAGGCGTGAGCCACCGCGCTGGGATGACAGGCGTGAGCCACCGCGCCCGGCCAAGACCCCAGCCTTAAAAGAAAAAAAAAAGAAGAAAACAAAGGAGAAACCACGTCTACTGACACCTTGATCTGGGATTCTAGCTTCCAGGACTGTTAGGAAGTAATTCCAGGCCGGGCATGGTGGCTCATGCCTATAATCCCAGCACTTTGGGAGGCTGAGGCGGGTGGATCACGAGGTCAGGAGATCGAGACCAGCCTTACCAACATGGTGAAACCCTGTCTCTACTAAAGATATAAAAATTAGCCGGGCGTGGTAGCGCACGCTTGTAATCTCAGCTACTCAGGAGGCTGAGGCAGGAGAATCGCTTGAACCCACGAGGCGGAGGTTGCAGTGAGCTGGGATCGCGCCATTGCACTCCAACCTGGGCGACAGAGGGAGATCCGACTCAAAAAAAAAAAAAAAAAAAAAGAAAAGTAATTCCAAACCACCACCCAGTCTGTGAGAGATTTTGTTATGTTATATTTTCTTATAACTGAGATAATTATTACAGTTAAAGAGATCGGACTTAACTGAACCCATCTTGCTTCTAACCTCCAAGCTGTCCTTGTTCATTCCTGGGTGTAGGCTGAAATAACTTCGGGAGGCGCTTAGTTTATAGTTTAGCTTTGAAACAAAGATGGTAACAGCCCTTTGCAAAACAAACTCCCTTCCTACCTGGGGACAAGACTGCCTTTTCAGGACTAACAAATTAGCCATAAGATTAGAAATTATGGTTTAGGAGTCATGTAGCTGGAGGCTACAAGATTCTAAACCTCCCAAATTGCTTCTCAGGATAACATCACTATTAAAAAACAGATCAGCGCTTGAGATATTTTGCAGACTCTGCACTCCATGGATCAGCTGGCACCACCCAGATTGATAAACTGGCTCATATCTTGTGGCCCCCACCCAGGAACCGACTCAGCACAAGAGGACAGTTTTGACTCCCTATCATTTCACCTCTGACCCAACCAATCAACACTCCCTACTTTCTGACCCCATACCCACCAAATTATCCTTAAAACCGCGGATCCCCAGCCGGGCACGGTGGCTCACGTCTATAGTCCCAGCACTTTGGGGAGGCCCAGGTGGGCGGATCACCTGAGGTCAGGAGTTCAAGACCAGCCTGACCAACATGGAGAAACTCCGTCTCTACGAAAAATACAAAATTAGCCAGGCATGGTAGTGTGCGCCTGTAGTCCCAGCTACCCGGGAGGCTGAGGCAGGAGAATCACTGGAACCCAGGAGGTGAAGGTTGCAGTGAGCCGAGATCGCGCCACTGCACTCCAGTGTGGGTGACAGAGTGAGATTCGGACTCAAAAACAAAAAAAAACAAAAAACAAAAAACTCTGATCCCTGAATTCTCAAGGACACTAATTTTTTTTGAGTAGTAATAAAACCTCAGTAACCTGTACAAGCTGGCTCTGTGTGAATTAAACTCTTTATTGCAATTCCCCTGTCTTGATAAAGTCTAGGCAGTGGGCAGGGACAATATGTTGGGTAGTTACAGTGGCACCCTGAGCAAACTAATACAATTACTAACATAATTTAATCAATTAATGTAATTTAACATAGTTTAAAAAAACTGTCACAGTAATTGTGATGTTGTGAAATATGTATACATTTAGTCTTCCGGTTTCCTGGTATCCAACTCCAAAAATCCTTAGAATCTGTGAAGTGACGTCTTTTTTTTTTTTTTTTGAGATGAAGTCTCACTCTGTCGCCCAGACTGGAGTGCAGTGGCACCAACTCAGTTCATTCTAACCTCCGCCTCTTCGCTTCAAGAGATTCTCCGGCCTCAGACTCCCGAGTAGCTGGGATTACAGGTGCCCGCCACCACGCCCAGTTAATTTTTGTATTTTTAGTAGAGACGGGGTTTCACCACGTTGGTCAGGCTGGTCTTGAACTCCTGACCTCAGGTGATCCACCTGCCTCGGCCTCCCAAAGTGCTGGGATTACAGGCGTGAGCCACCGCGTATGGCCTAATTTTGTATTTTGAGTAGAGACGGGGTTTCACCATTTTGGCCAGGCTGGTCTCGAACTTTTGACCTCAGGTGATCCGTCCACCTTGGCTTCCCAAAATGCTGGGATTACAGGTATGAGCCACCGCGCCCGGCCTGAAATGCAGTTTAAACTCGTTTGTTTTTCTTATGTTAAATTTAAAAAATACTTAAAAAAAAAAACATGAAGGTGTGATCCTGCCTTCCTGAAATTGTTTCTCTACTTACCTGTGCATGGAGAGAAGTTTGGAATGCTGTTTCCCCAATTATAATACGCTATAATACGCAGCAGTAGTTATTTTTGGGTGAGACTTCGGATGCTCGTCTTTGCTTCCTTTTTGGACTTTCCTGTGCCGCTTGGGTTTCCGAGGACGAGCAGAAGTAATCTCAGACGCAACTTTCCAAAATCCCCTCCTCCAGTTGCAGGGATGGCGGGGGCGGGTCAGCGGCGCCGCCCTGCGCATGCGTCGAGCCGTTGGTGGGGCCGGAACCTGGTTTCCCGGCCTCGCGCCCGAGGGGAGCGTATTGAGCGAGGCACCGGGACGTCGGCGGCTGGCGGAGCCGGGCGGGCGAAGCTGGAGCGGCGGTGGCGGCGGCGTAGGGAGGCCGGGGCCGGGGCTGAGGCCGCGGCCGGGTCTGCGAGGCCCTTGGGGCGGCAGGCGGCGGCGGCCCGGGGCTCGAGCCCGGAGGCAGGAGCAGCCGCCATGGCCGAGAGCATCGTGAGTGCGGCGGCCGGGCGGGAGCGGGGACGCCGGGATGAGGCAGCAGATTTGCCGGCCTCGGCCTGTGGGGGAGGCGGGCCTGCCGGCGCCGCGACTCGGCCCCTTTCTCTTCTCTCGCCAGGGCTTTCTCTGTAGTGGCTGGGCCCCTCTCGGGGACTTTCACCCCCCTCGGCTGCTTCCCGTCCGTGTCCCTCCCCAGGGGACTTACGACCCCGGTTCCCCGCCCTGGGCAGGGAAAGGCCGAGCCTTTCTAAGCAGGGAGAATGGACTGTGGCGAAGAGAAACCGCCCTCCTTCCCCACCCGTTTCCCGGCTCCAGGAGACTTCCTGGTCTAATTCCAGGGACTCCCAGCCAGTCCTGCCCCTCTCAGAGCCAGGGACACCTCTTATCCTAATCTCCCTCTGATTCTCTCCTCCTGCTCTCCCGCTTCCCAGCAAGTGCCTTGTCATGAGTCACTAAGGAGAGCAGCTCTGCAGACGGGGACGTTACAGAGCTCCCTCCCCACCAGAAGACCTGGGAAAATGAAAACACAGTAACTTGCCGGCTTTGCTCCTTACTTGGAAGGACAACTTGACAATTCCTCTTTAAAAGGAATGTTGTAAATGATGTTGATTTCACTTTTTACCTGAAATTGAAATTGTCGGCCCGGCGCAGTGGCTCACGCCTGTGATGTCAGCACTTTGGGAGGCCGAGGCGGGTGGATCACCTGGGGTCAGGAGTTCGAGACCATCCTGGCCAACATGGCAAAATCTTGTCTCTACTAAAAATACAAAAAATTAGCCGGGCGTCATGGCGCACTGTAATCCCAGATACTTGGGAGGCTGAGGCAGGAGAATTGCTTGAACGCGGGAGGTGGAGGTTACAGTGAGCTGAGATCCCTCCATGGCACTCCAGCCTGGGCTATAGAGCGAGACTGCGTCTCAAAAAAAAAAAAAAAATTGTCACACACTCCTCCTTAACGTAAAAAATATCAGTGACAAATCAGAAAACCAGTCCCTCGTTAAGTTGTGAGAAGTTTCTTCCCAAAAGTAAATGTGATGGGAAAAAAACTAACTGACCATTGGACAGGAGCATTTTGGTTAATATTAAGGAAGATTTGGGATTTCTGGGGGAAGCTTAGCAGTATTGGGTGAAGAGTAATGTTCATACTGTAGCATTGTGACAGTCTCTGCAGTTTTGCCAGGTGTTGTCTAGAATAGGTCTCCAGGCCCGGCGCGGTGACTCACACCTGTAATCCCAGCACTTTGGGAAGCCCAGGTGGGTGGATCACCTGAGGTCAGGAGTTCAAGACCAGCCTGGACAACATAGTGAGCCTAGGTGGCGTCACTGGACTCCACCCTGGGCGACAGAATGAGACTGTCTCACACACACAAACAAATGGGTCTCCAGGAGAACCTAGCACTTATTTGCAAGGCTGTTCTCTGGTGGTTCCATCATCTCTCCAGTCAGGGGCCCTCTTGGTGCCTCCATGTTTCCCAACCTGGAGATGAGTGGAATGAATATATGGCCCAGGAGAAACTTAGGAAACGTCGACTCCTTTTTTTTTTTTTTTTTTAACCTTATTTTATTTTTTTGAGATGGAGTCTCACTCTGTCGCCCAGGCTGGAGTTCAGTGGTGCGATCTCTGCTTACTGCAACCTCCGCCTCTCGGGTTCAAGAAATTCTCCTGCCTCAGCCGAGTAGCTGGGGTTGCAGGTGCTCGCCAACACGCATGGCTGATGTCTTTTTTATTTTTAGTGGTGATGGGGTTTCACCGTGTTGGCCAGGTTGATCTCGAACTTCTGACCTCGTGATCCGCCCGCCTTGGCATACCAAAATGCTGGGATTACAGGCATAAGCCACCGCGCCTGGCCTTTAAATCTTTTTAATTAAAAACATTTTTTTATAGAGATGAGGTCTCTACTATGTTGTACAGGCTGGTCTCTGAGCTCGAGGGATCCTCCTACCTTGGGGTCCCAAAATTGCTAGGATTACAGTCCTGAGCTACCATGCCCGGCCAAGAAACCTTTGACTCCTTTGAAAAATAAAATGTGGCCATGCAGTGGCTCACGCCTGTAATCCCAGCACTTTGGGAGGCCGAGGTGGGCGGATCACGAGGTCAGGAGTTCAAGACTGGCCTGACCAACATGGTGAAACCCTGTCTCTACTAAAAATAAAAAATTAGCCGGGTGTGGTGGCATGCACCTGTTATCCCAGCTACTCTGGAGGTTGAGGGAGGGGAATCGCTCAAACCCGGGAGGTGGAGGTTGCAGTGAGCCCAGATTGCGCCACTGCACTCCAGCCTGGGCGACAGAGCAAGACTGTCTCAAAAAAAAAAAAAAAAGTGTTAATCATTGGTGACTTTGCCTAGAAATAGGTTAGGAATTAGCACTGAAACCTTCTTTCAAACTACCTTTGTACTTTTAACTGAGTTAAAATAACCATTGACAAGTGAAAAGTGTTTCAGACAAGGCCATTTTTTTTTTCCCACTAGTGTATAAGGCTAGGCTCTCATTGACAGCATTGGATCTCGTTGAATGTCTCAGATTGTGAGGAATTAAAACACTCTTCTTTTGAAATTGATTTAAAAAGTTATTTTGAATTTAAGAAAGAGATCTTTTGAAAAGTTTCTGGGCTGGGCATGGTGGCTCACACCTGTAATCCCAGCACTTTGAGAGGCCGAGGCAGGTGAATAATGAGGTCAGGAGTTGAGACCAGCCTGGCCGACATGGTGAAACCACGTCTTTACTAAAAATACAAAAATTAGGGCGTGGTGGCTCACGTTTGTAATCCTAGCACTTTGGAAGGCCGAGGCAGGTGGATTGCCTGAGCTCAGGAGTTTGAGACCAGCCTGGGCAACACGGTGAAACCCCACGTCTACTAAAAAAAAAAAATACAAAAAATTAACCGGGCGTGGTGGCGTGCACCTGTAGTCCCAGCCACTCAGGAGGCTGAGGCAGAAAAGTTAGAACCCGGGAGGCGGAGATTGCAGTGAGCCGAGATCGCACCACTGCACTCCAGCCTGGGTGACAGAGTGAGACTCTTAAAAAAAAAAAAAAAATTAGCTGGGCGCGGTGGCGGGCGCCTATAATCCCAGCTACTTGGGAGGCTTGAGGCAAGAGAATTGCTTGAACTCGGCAGGCAAAGGTTGCAGTGAACCGAGGTCGCGCCATCGCACTCCCACTCTGGGTGACAGAGCAAGACTCTGTCTTGGGGGGAGAAAAGAGTTTCTGTGGATTTAACTGTATCTCACCAGTTCTTCAACTTCCCCAAGAAGCGTTCTAGTCTTATTTTCTTATAAATAGGGAAACTTAAGTTACCAAGAGGCTGTGTGTTCATGTTGTCAGGTCTGTCTCTTCCTGTGTATTTCATTTTGTAGTCTGTGTCAGAGGCTAGGCCAGAACTTTCCATCGTACAAATTATGTTTGTCTCTTGTTAAATACTGGAGTTGGCCTTGGAAACCTGGACTCCCATCTTCTGTGGTAGAGGATCAAGTAGGATGACTTCTTCACCTTAGAATTCTGCAGCCTGAACCATTTAGCTCTGTAAAGAATGGCGGTAACATGCTCTTGTTCCAGAGTCATCGTTTGAAGGAACATTCACATGTTCCCCTTCATTAGAACAGAGCTTTCCTTTTTAAGATAGCTAAGTGTTGGCAGACAGATTTTAGAAACAAATAAGTGGAAGTATTTACCTAATGCTATATATTGTGAAAACGTTTTTCTGGGGTATTGAATCTAGAATGAAGTATACTAGACGTTAGAAGTATAAAGAATTGTATTTCTTTTCTTTTTTTTTTTTTTTTTGAGACGGAGTCTTGCTCTGTCACCCAGGCTGGAGTGCAGTGGCGCGATCTGCTCACCACAAGCTCTGCCTCCTGGGTTCACGCCATTCTCCTACCTCAGCCTCCCAAGTAGCTGGGACTACAGGCGCCCTCCACCACGCCTGGCTAATGTTTTGTATTTTTAGTAGAGATGGGGTTTCACCGTGTTAGCCAGGATGGTCTCAATCTCCTGACTTAAAAGTTGAGAACATATTGGGTGGAGCCTTTTCTGCCAAGTGAAAGTTATGGGAAAATGCAGGACAGGGTTATCCTATTTTAGGAAAATCTAGATTAGGCTTAGTTACTTTACTAAAAGCGGACAAATCCCAGTAGACTGAGCCTTTATGGTGTTTTGTCCTGTATCAGTGGAAATCTTTTTTAGACAATGGCTTGTGACAGTTTTCATCTGCATAATGGTTGAAGAGGATGTTTAATGTAACACTCGTGGTAACCTCACAGAAAATAGTTATAGAATTTATGAAAAAGGAAATAAGGGAGGCCGGGTGTGGTGGTGCACACCTGTAATCCCAGCACTTTGGGAGGCCCAGGTGGGTGGATAACTTGAGGTCAGGAGTTCGAGACCAGCCTGGCCAACGTGGTGAAATCCCATCTCTACTAAAAATACTAAAAATTAGCCAGGCGTGGTGGCAGGCACTTGTAATCCCAGATACTCAGGAGGCTGAGACAGGAGAATCACTTGAACCGGGGAGGCAGAGGTTGCAGTGAGCCGAGATCACGCCATTGCACTCCAGCCTGGGCAACAAGAGCTGAAAAAAAAAAAAGAAATAAAAAAGGAAATAAGGGAATTGAAATGTTTCACTATAAAAAATCAGCTAGGCCAGGGTTGGTGGCTCATGCCTATAATCCCAGCACTTTAGGAGGCTGAGGCAGGTGGATCACCTGAGGTAGGCGTTTAAGACCAGATTGACTAACATGTTGAAACCCCGTCTCTACTAAAAATACAAAAATTAGCTGGGCTTGGTGGTGCACGCCTGTAATCCCAGCTGCTCAGGAGGCTGAGACAGGAGAATCGCCTGAACCTGGGAGGCGGAGGTTGCAGTGAGTGGAGGTTGCAGTGAGCCGAGATTGCGCCACTGCACTCCACCCTGGGCAACGGAAAAAGACTGTCTCAAAAAAAAGAAAATTAGCTGGGTATGGTGGTGGGCGCCTGTGATTCCAGCTACTCAGGAGGCTGAGGCAGGAGAATCACTTGAACTCAAGAGGCAGAGGTTGCAGTGAGCCAAGATTGCGCCATTGTACTCCAGCCTGGGCCACAAGATTGAAACTTCATCTCGGGGAAAAAAAAAATGAGCTAAATACAAGAGATGGTAATGCAGGAAATGAGAGAGAAAGAAGCTATAGAATGCACCATCAGTCTTTGCTGAGAGGAGAAGCTAGGACACTTATGCGCATGTTCCTGTCTGCCTTCCTTCCCGTCCCGCGGATGGTTGGAGCAGGTCTTTGTTTGCTGCAGAGCATGCCATGTCATCCTCCTTGTCTAAAGCAGGGGCCTGTGCTGTTGGCCAGGCATGATAACTCACCTTCACGATGGCTTTCATCAGCATAAACATCAAGTTGTCTTAGAAAGTAATGCCCTTTGTCCAGTAGTCTTCCAGATCTGCCAACCTTTTTAGGCTTGCCGTGGGGGAAAAAAAAAAAAAAAAAAAAAAAAAATATATATATATATATGTACACTTTAATATGCATATATGCACACACACGTTATTAAATTAGGATGGGGTCTCGCTGTGTTGGCCAGGCTGATCTCGAATTCCTAGGCTAAAGAGATCTTCCTGCCTTGGTCTCCTGAAGTGCACAGATTATAGGTGTGAGCCACTGTGCCCAGCTGAAAATATTTTTTCAAAACCCTACTAAATTTTACCATTAAAGACCTTTATTGCTTTTAATTTTAATTTCTTTTTTAAGTTTAAATTTTTACTTTTTTTTTGAGACGAAGTCTTGCTCTTCGTCACGCAATGGCACGATCTTGGCTCACTGCAACCTCTGCCTCCTGGGTTCAAGCGATTCTCCTGCCTCAGCCTCCCGGGTAGCTGGGATTACAGGTGCCCGCCACCACGCCCAGCTAATTTTTGTATTTTTAGTAGAGACGGGGTTTCACCATGTTGGCCAGGCTGGTCTCGAACTCCTGACCTCAGGTGATCTGCCCGCATTGGCCTCCCAAAGTGCTGGGATTACAGGCAGGAGCCACTGTGCCCAGCCTAATCTCTTTTTTTGAGACAGGGTCTCACTTTGTCACCAATGCTGGAGTGCAGTGGCACCATCTTGGCTCACTGTAGCCTCGACCTCCCTGGTTTAAGTGATCCTCGTGCCTCAGCTCCCCAAGTAGCTGAGACCATAGGCGTACGCCACCATGCCTGGCTAACTTGTATTTTTAGTAGAGATGGGGTTTCCCCATGTTGCCCACTGGTCTTGAACTTCTGAGCTCAAGTGATCCACCGCCTTGGCCTCCCAAAGTGCTACAATTACAGACGTGAGCCACTGTGTCTGGCCATTTTTAAACGTTTTTTAGGGAAAGTAAGTAATAGCTGGCGTTGTGGCTCACACCTGTAATCCCAGCACAGTGGCAGGATCACTTGAGCCCCGGAGCTCGAGATCAGCCTGGGAAATATGACACTCCGTCACTACAAAAAAAAAAATTAACCTGGTGTGGTGGTGCAAGCCTGTGGTTCCAGCTCTCGGGAGGCTGAGGTCAGAGGATCACTTGAACCTTGGATGTCAAGGCTGCAGTAAGCTGTGATTTTGCCACTGCACTCCAGCCTGGGTGACAGCAAGACCCTGTCTCAAAAAAGCAAAAAAAAAGTAACAATTAGAAAATTTCCTGTGATTCTTTTAAATTGTAGGACTCTTGAAGACTGTCTAATGTTTGTATATAGATCCTGGAACAAAGTAACATCTTTTTTTTTTTTTTTTCCCCAAAGTAACATCTTTTTTAAAGAACACAGTTCATTCATGGTTCATGGTGGGTTTTTCTCTGTTTTAAGTCTGAAGAGACAAAAAGTGTTTTACATATACTCTATAAATAGTGATTAGGAATTAAAGTTGTTTTCTGAGTGAAACTAAGAGTTGAGAGGACAGTACTCTTAAAATATCTCCCCATATGTTGATGAATCTCACCCCTCGGCATCATATTCTAGAAGGATTGAGCTGGGTATTGAAAGGTGAAGAGTGAGGTTTGGCTTTAATTTTCAGTGACCCAGATGCTAAAAGACCACAGATGGAAGCCGTAGTATTAGATCAGGACCTCACTAGGCTGTGCAGTAACCATCATGTTTTGTTTGCAACAGATAATTCGTGTCCAGTCCCCGGATGGAGTGAAGCGGATCACAGCAACAAAGAGAGAAACAGCAGCAACATTTTTGAAAAAGGTATCTGTGGCCTGGGTATTGACCCTCAGGATATTTTTCATCCTCTACTCTTACTGCCATCGATACCTTTTCTCTTTTCCTCGTTTTCTTATTTTCCCTATTCCCAAATTGCCTCTTGCATTGCCTTTCTCTATCACAGTTGGGTTGGATTGCTATAGGATGAGATGTTTGTCACAGCTGATCACTGCTCAAAATTATAGGACCAAGAGCCCAAAGGTAAGTGTAAAAATATTTCACGGCTGGGCGTGGTGGCTCACACCTGTAATCCCAGCACTTCGGGAGACCAAGGCGGGTGGATCACGAAGTGAGGAGTTCAAGACCAGCCTGGCCAAGATGGTGAAACCCCGTCTACTAAAAATACAAAAATTAGTCGGGCGTGGTGGTAGGTGCCTGTAATCCCAGCTACTTGGGAAGCTGAGGCAAGAGAATTGCTTGACTCAGAAGGCAGAGTTTACAGTGAGTCGAGGTGGTGCCACTGCACTCCAACCTGGGCAACAGAGTGAGACTCCATCTCAAAAAAAAAAAAAAAAAAGTATTTCATAAGAGTGGCCAGGCGCAGTGGCTGACGCCTGTAATCGCAGCACTTTGGGAGGCCGAGGCGGGCGGATCACAAGGTCAGGAGATTGAGACCATCCTGGCTAACATGGTGAAACCCTATCTCTAGTAAAAATACAAAAAATTAGCCGGGTGTGGTGGCGGGCACCTGTAGTCCCAGCTGCTGGTGAGGCTGAGGCAGGAGAATGATGTGAACCCAGGAGGCGGAGCTTGCAGTGAGCTGAGATCGCGCCACTGCACTCCAGCCTGGGCGACAGAGTGAGACTGTCTCAAAAAAAAAAAAAAGTATGAATTGTAGATATGACTACAGTTGACTCAAAGAATCATCCCTGGCTCCTCCCTGGTCTCCTGACCTGCATTGTGTCCAGGATTCCCATGACAGTTTTTCTTTTTTTAACCAATCACAAAATATTTCATTTACTGTGATAGTTGCATATTATGTACTTCTTAGCTTATCTTCACAGTTTCTTCCTTATTTACTTTTCCCATGGATTCCCCCAGACTATTTCTGTCTGGTGTTGTTTCTCTTCAGACTGAAAAACATCCATTAGCCTTTGTTGTAGGTAGGTTTGTTGGTCACAGACCTTTGGGTTTTTTTGACCTGAAAATGTTTTCGTTTTGCCCTGTGTTTATATGAGGGTTATTTTCTTTTTTTTTGAGATGGCATCTCACTCTGTTGCCCAGGCTGGAGTGCAGTGGCATGATCTCGGCTCACTGCAACCTCTGCCTCCTGGGTTCAAGCAATCCTCTGCCTAAGCCTCTCGAGTAGCTAGGATTACAGGCACCCGCCACCATACCTGACTAATTTTTTGTATTTTTAGTAGAGACGGGGTTTCACTATCTTCACCATGCTGGTCTTGAACTCCCGACCTCGTGATCCACCCGCTTCAGTGTGAGCCACCGTGCCCAGCCATGAAGGATATATTTTCTTTTTCTTTTTTTTTTCTTTTTTTTTTTATGAGAGGGAGTCTCGCTCTGTCTCCAAGGCTGGAATGCAGTGGCATGATCTTGGCTCACTGCAAGCTCCGCCTCCCGGGTTCACGCCACTCTCCTGCCTCAGCCTCCCGAGTAGCTGGACTACAGGCGCCCACCACCATGCCTGGCTAATTTTTTGTATTTTTAGTAGAGACGGGATTTCACCATGTTAGCCAGGATGGTCTTCATCTCCTGACCTCGTGATCTGCCCGCCTTGGCCTCCCAAGGATATTTTCATTCAATACAAATTTCTTTTTTTGAGATGGAGTCTTTTTCTGTCGCCCAGGCTGGAATGTGGTGGCGTGATCTCGGCTCAGTGCAACCTCCGCCTCCTGGGTTCCAGCAGTTCTCCTGCCTCAGCCTCCCAAGTAGCTGGGATTACAGGTGTGCACCACAATACCTGGCTAATTTTTGTTTTTGTTTTTTGAGACAGAGTTTCGCTCTTGTTGCCCAGGCTGGAGTGTGATGGCATGATCTTGGCTCATTGCAGCCTCTGCCTCCTGTGTTCAAGCAATTCTCCTGCCTCAGCCTCCCGGGTTCAAGCAATTCTGCCTCAGCCTTCCGAGTAGCTGGGATTACAGGCATACGCCACCAAGTCCGGCTAAGTTTGTCTTTTTAATAGAGATGGAGTTTCACCATGTTGGTCAGGCTGGTCTCGAACTCCTGACCTCAGGTGATCCACCCGCCTTGGCCTCCCAAAGTGCTGGGGTTACAGGCGTGAGCCACTGCACCTGGCCTCAAAACAGATTTCTGAGTTGACAGTTCATTTTTGTTCCCCACCATGCATCAATTTTTTTTTTTTTTTGAGACGGAGTCTTTCTGTTGCCCAGGCTGGAATGCAGTGGCGCGATCTCGGCTCACTGCAAGCTCTGCCTCCCAGGTTCATGCCATTTCCCTGCCTCAGCCTCCCGAGTAGCTGGGACTACAGGCACCCGCCACCATGCCCGGCTAATGTTTTTTGTGTTTTTAGTAGAGATGGGGTTTCACTGTGTTAGTGAGGATGGTCTCGATCTCCTGACCTCATGATCCGCCTGCCTCGGCCTCCCAATGTGCCGGGATTACAAGAGTGAGCCACCACACCTGGCCCTTTTTCTTTTTTTTTTTTGAGACGAAGTCTCATTGTGTCGCCCAAGCTGGAGTGCAGCGGCACAATCTTGCCTCACTGCAACCTCCGCCTCCCGGGTTCAAGTGATTCTGTTGCCTCAGCCTCCCGAGTAGCTGGGACTACAGGCTCGCACCACCATGCCCAGCTGATTTTTGTATTTTTAGTAGAGACGAGGTTTCACTATGTTGGCCAGTCTGGTCTCGAATTCCTGATCTCAGGTGATCCGCCCGCCTCAGCCTCCCAAAGTGCTGGGATTACAGGTATGATCCACCCTCACCCAGTCCATTTTAAAATTATTATTATTATTATTTTTGCCTAGGTTGGAGTGCACTGGCAAAGTCACAGCTCACTGCAGCCTTGACTTCCCGGGCTCAAACGATCCTCCCACGTGAGCTTCCTAGCTAATTTCTTAATTTTTTGGTAGAGATGGGGTTTCACCATGTTGTCTAGGCTGGTCTTGATTTCCTCAAGTGATCCTCCCCACTCTGTCTCCTGGATGCTGGGATTCCAGGCGGGAGCCGCGGTGCCTGGTCCTGTTGAGCATTTGAAGCTGTCGTTCCACCGTCTTCTTGGTCTTCTCGTCTTCGTTGACCTCTGGCTTTCAGTAGGGTGACTCTGGTGTGCCTTGCAGTGGTGTTCTTTGTATCTTAACTTGAGAGAGTTTGCTGAACTTCCTGGAGTTGCTATTTGATGTTTTTCATTAAATTTTGGGGTTTTCCCCACTCTTAAGTATTTTTCTGTTCTATTTTCATTCTTTTCTTTTTTTTTTTTCTTGAGATGGAGTCTCGCTCTGTTGCCCAGGCTGGAGTGCAGTGGCGCGATCTTGGCTGACTGCAACCTCCGCCTCCGGGGTTCAAGCGGTTTTCCTGGCTCAGCCTCCCGAGTAACTGAGATTACAGGCACGTGCCAGCTCACCTGGCTAATTTTTTTTTTTTTTTTTTGAGATGAAGTCTCACTCTGTCGCTTGGGCTGGAGTGCAGTGGCGCAATCTCTGCCCACTGCAACCTCCACCTCCCAGGTTCAAGCGATTCTCCTGTTTCAGCCTCCTGAGTAGCTGGGATTACAGGGGTGCACCACCACACCTGTCTAATTTTTGTATTTTTAGTAGAGATGGGATTTCACCATGTTGGCCAGGCTGGTCTCAAACTCCTGACTTCAGGTGATCTGCCCAACTCGGCCTCCCAAAGTGTTGGGATTACAGGCTTGAACCTCCGCGCCCAACCCTCATTTTTTTCTAGTGAGGAGCATTTGATCCTGTACCATGGGTTCCTAAGGCTGTTTTTTTTTTCCCCAAATCTCTGCCTTCAGATTATATAGCTGTTATTTTTATTGATTCATTTATGTTTTTCTTTTTAGAGTTGGTTGGATTCTCACTCTGTCGCTCAGGCTGGAGTGCAGTGGTGTGATCATATCTCATTGTAGCCTTAAACTTCTGGGCTCAAGCAGTGCTTCCACCTCAGCCTTCCGAGTTGCTGGGACCACAAGCTATTCACCTATGTTTAGGTTGACTCTTCTGCTCTCTCCCTTCTGCTGATAAGCCCGTTCAGTGAATTTTTTATTTCTGTTCTTGTGTTTTTCAGTTCTAGAATTTCCATTTGATTGTTCTTTTATGATTTGTTTCTTTACCGAGATTCACATTCCTTTTATTTGGGTACATCTACTCTGATGACCCCTCGGTGTAGAGCTCTTGCTCTGGCCCCTTGCCTGGGCTCAGACACAGATGCGCCCACCTGCCTGCTGGACGGCTTCACTGCAGTGTGTCTGGTTGTCACCTCCGATCTCAGTGTCAAATGGAAGTCCTGATTTTCCCTCTAGTCTTCTTCCTTTTTTAGCCTTTCCTTTCATGGTCCCTGCACAGGTGTTACCTCCACATAGTTTCTCAATCTAGAATTCTCAGCTTTACTCTGACCTCCTTCCTTTCTCTCATTCCATTCCTGCCCCTGGTCCTGCTCGTCAGCTGGGCCTGGTGATGACCACTGCTGGAAAGTGTGCTCTTGCCTTCATCCCCACCATCCTGTCCCATCTCATCCCCTGTCTCAGCCCATCTCTCTTGTCTCTAATTGGCACTCTAGCTTCCTCTTCAGTGTGGTGTTGAGCAACAGGGATTTTGTGGATGATGATTCCCCCTGCCTTTCGTCTGTGTGGCTTCCCACGGCCCTGTCTGCCTCGCCAGCCTCATCTCTTTCCATCTTCCTTATTGTTTATTGGCCTCTGGCCTCCGTGTTTCCAACACCCTTCCTGCCTCCTGGTCTTTGTGCTTGCTCCTACTCCCTGTGGCCTTTTCTCCCAGCTCGCGTGTGGCGGGCTTACCCACCGCTGGGTGGGCCCTGCTCAGCTGAAGCTCTTCAGAGAGACTTCTAGCCTCCCATCTGAGGTTTCTTTTCCTTTTCTGTCGTAGTGCTTATTTCGACCTTTGTTGACTTTGTCTCCCCCATTTGTTGGTAAACTGCTTGACAGCAGGAACCTTGTCTTTTTTTTGTTTTTCTTTTTTTGAGGTGGAGTCTTGTTCCGTTGCCCAGGCTAGAGTGTAATGGCGTGATCTCATCTCACTGCAGCTCCGCCTCCCAGGTCGAAGTGATTCTCCTGTCTCAGCCCACCGACTAGCTGGGACTGTAGGCGTGCACCACCATGCCTGGCTAATTTTTGTCTTTGTTTTTGTTTTTGTTTTTTTGAGACGGAGTTTCACTCTTGTCGCCCAGGCTGGAGTGCAATGGCGCCATCTTGGCTCACTGCAACCTCTGCCTTCTGGTTTCAAGCAATTCTCTTGCCGCAGCCTCCTGAGTAGCTGGGATAACAAGTGTCCGCCACCACGCCTAGCTAATTTTTGTATTTTAGTAGAAATGGGGTTTCATCAAGGTGGCCAGGCTGGCCTCGATCTCCTGACCTCGTGATCCGCCCACCTCGGCCTCCCAGAGTGCTGGGATTACAGGCGTGAGTCACCACACCTGGCCTAATTTTTGTATTTTTAGGAGAGATGGGGTTTCACCATGTTGGTCAGGCTGGTCTTGAACTCCTGACTTGAAGTGATCCACCCGCCTTGGCCTCCCGAAGTGCTGGGATTGCAGACATGAGCCACCACGCCCGGCCAGAAACCTTGTCTTTTCTAGTTCATTTTTGTGATCTGAACACCCAGAATGGAGCTGAGCACATAGAACTGCTTAATATTTGTTGAAGGAATGAGTGAATATTCCCAGCATCTAGCAAAGTGCCCTGCACAGTGGACGTTTTATGATTTAGTCGCACCATTCTGTGTTAGGTTTCAGAATTGGAATTGAGTTTTGTTTTTTTTTTTGAGACGGAGTCTCGCTCTGTCGTCCTGGCTGGAGTGCAGTGGCGCGATCTCGGCTCACTGCAAGCTCCGCCTCCCGGGTTCACGCCACTCTCCTGCCTCAGCCTCCCGAGTAGCTGGGACTGCAGGCGCCCACCACCACGCCCGGCTAATTTTTTGTATTTTTAGTAGAGACGGGGTTTCACCGTGTTAGCCAGGATGGTCTCGATCTCCTGACCTCATGATCCGCCTGCCTCGGCCTCCCAAAATGCTGGGATTACAGGCGTCAGCCACCGCGCCCGGCCGGGTTTTTTATTTTTTTGAGACAGAGTTTTGCTTTTTTTTTTTTTTTTTTTTGAAACAAAGTCTTGCTCTGTCACCCAGGCTGGAGTGCAGTGGCATGATCTCGACTCACTGCAGCCTCTACCTCCCAGGCCCAAGCAGTTCTGCCTCAGCCTCCCGGGTAGCTGGGATTACAGGTGTGCGCCACCATGCCTGGCTAATTTTTGTATTTTTAGTAGAGACGGTTTCACTATGTTGACCAGGCTGGTGTCGAACTCCTGGCCTCGTGATCCACCTGCTTTGGCCTCCCATAGTGCTGAGATTACAGGTGTGAGCCTCCACACCCGGCCAGAGTTTTGCTCTTGTTGCCCAAGCTGGAGTGGAATAGCACGATCTCGGCTCCCTGCAACCTCTGCCTCCCAGCTTCAAGTGATTCTCCTGCTTCAGCCTCACGGGTAGCTGGGATTACAGGCATGTGCCACCATGCCTGGCTAATTTTGTAGTTTTAGTAGAAACGGGGATTCACCATGTTGGTCAGGCTGGTCTCGAACTCCTAACCTCAGGTGATACTCCCACCTCATCCTCCCAAAGTGCTGGGATTACAGGCATGAGCCACCACGCCTGGCCTGGAATTGGGTTTTTACAATTGAATTCAAAAATGGAAATTGAACTTTTCAAACATAGCCATTGGCCATGCATGGTGGCTCACGCCTGTAATCCCAGTACTTTGGGAGGCCAAGGTGGGCGGATCACCTGAGGTCAGGAGTTTGAGACCACCGTGGCCAACATGGTGAAACTCCATCTCTACTAAAAATACAAAAATCAGCCGGGTGTGGTGGCAGGCGCCTGTAATCCCAGCTACTTGGGAGGCTGAGGCAGGAGAATCACTGGAACCTGGGATGTGGAGGTTGCAGTAAGCCGAGATCATGCCACTGTACTCCAGCTTGGGCTACAGAACGAGACTGTCTGAAAACAAAACAAGGATAGCCATTAACTCTTGTTTGCTTCAAAGTCTTAAATGTTTTACAAAGTTTCATCATTGACAAGACCTTTGCTTTTTTGGCCACTTTATTCATTTTAATTGACACCTTTGTGAACAGTACAAATTTCTTTAAAAGAGCAAAATAGCAAGAGGAATTTGGTAAATGATGGGCACTTTCCAAATTTGGTGAATACTCTTCTAGTAGTGTCTGGTGTGTATGGTATGTGTAGTGATACTTTAGCATTTCATTAAATTTCTGTTCTTTGGGCCTTGTTTTAGGTTGCAAAGGAGTTTGGCTTCCAAAATAATGGCTTCTCGGTTTACATCAATAGAAACAAGACCGGAGAGATAACAGCCTCCTCCAACAAATCCCTCAACTTGCTAAAAATCAAGTAAGTGTCCTCTGAGGAGGAAGCAGGGAATGGGGGGAAATGAGGTCCCCATGATCTGCCCGAGGTTGCCGAGTTTTATCCTCTTTCCTCATCACACCACTCATTATGGTCTTATCAACTGACCAGAATACACATGACCGTGTTGCTTGCCAGGAATTCAGTAATTATCCTGAATCTGCAGTTACCATTGAGCAGATTTGATTGACTTTGCAGAATTCTGGAATTTGTGTCACTGAGGAGAAAGTTATTGTCTTTGTCCATGTACGGCGTGGAGTGAGCTGCATACTCAGCTGCTTGTCTGGAGTGAAAGACCTTGAACACAGCTGTGTGCCGGGAAATCATGTTAGCCCTGCTGGCTTGGGTAGGAGTGCTGCCACTGCAGTGGCCCATGCCACCCTGTAGAGTTGGTCATTCAGGACCTTCAGGACTCAGAGACCTCTTGTCACAGCCTGGCTACTGCCTGTTTTTGTAAAGTGTTATTGGAACACAGCCAGGTCGTGTTGTTGGTGCCAGTTTTCATGTTACAAGGGCAGAGTTTAGTTGTGATAGACCGTGAGGCCTGCAAAGCTGAAAGTATTGACTGGTCCTTTACGGAACACGGGTGCTGGCTCCCATCGAAACCATCTGGGCACTTACTCACATGTGCCTTAGATCAGTTCAGTCCTTAAGGAGCTAGTGGCCAGTTTTCCTCTCGACGCTGCAGGTTGCATGTGCTGTGGCCACTGGCTCAGTGGTGGGCCTGGGACCTGCTGGCAGTTGGCTGTGAGCCTGTTTACCAGCCAGAATGATGGGCTGGTTTTGCACTTGGTCACTTTTAGATTCACAAATTACTATGTCTAGGGACACAACATGCAATTGTAGCATTCATTTGTTCTTAACAAAGATGTATTGGGCACCTACTGTTTGCCTACCCATGTGGTGAGGTGAAACGAAACCTCTTGTTGTTGATGTTCATTTCCAGAGTGACACTGGTTCATCCTTCTTTTGAGCTGGTGAGGGGTTTTGCATCTTGATATTTTTCTTTTTTTTTTCTTTTCTTTCCTTCCTTCCTTCTTTCCTTTTCTTTCTTTCTTGAAGGGTTTTGCATCTTGATACTTCCTTCCTTCCTTCCTTTCTTTTCCTTTTCCTTTCTTTCCTTTTCTTGAGACAGAATCTCACCGTGTCACCCAGGCTGGAGTGCGGTGGTGCGATCGTAGCTCACTGCAGCCTCGACCTTCTGGGCTCAAGTGATCCTTCAGCCTCAGCCTCCCGAGTAGCTGGGACTACAGGCACATTTTTCACTTTTAAATCAAATCTAGCTGGTAATTTTTTAAAAAAAAGTTTAAATCTGGAACACGTAACCATTATCTAAAGGTAAAGAGAATGACTGTGAGTGCACACTCTCTGTTCCAGCCAGAGGAACTCTCAGCTCACGACCACGCTTGTCCCGCTGCTCTTGCCCTCCTTCCTTCTCTTCTGTTGCTTGGCCTTTTTTTCTCCCTCCTCTTTTTAATTATTAAACAAAATACGTACTGAACACCTCAGAAAACAGTGTATGCCTTGATGGATGAACCTTATGTGTCACCATTGCAAGCACCAAGCAGGTCTGGGGATAAGGCATTGGCAGCCACTGCAGAAGCTTCCCTAACAGTAATCACCGGTTTGCATTTTTTTATTTATTTATTTTTTTTGAGACGGAGTCTCGCTCTGTCGCCCAGGCTGGAGTGCAATGACGTGATCCCAGCTCACTGCAACCTCTGCCTCCCGGGTTCAAGCATTTCTCCTGCCTCAGCCTCCTGAGTAGCTGGGACTATAGGCTCGTGCCACCATGCCTGGCTAATTTTTTTATTTTATGTAGAGGTGGGGTTTCACTAAGTTGGCCAAGCTGGTCTCGAATTCCTGACCTCGTGATCCACCCGCCTTGGCCTTCCAAAGTGCTGGGATTACAGGTGTGAGCCACCGTGCCTGGCTCTTTATTCTTTCGTTACTTGAGTGTCTATCCCTAGACACTGCCAGTTAGTCTTGCTTTTTAAGGAAATTTGTATGTCTTACTTCTTGTAATCTTCAGGTTCCCCTTCCATCTCTTCCCTTTTCTTGAAATTTATCTGTTGAGGAACTTGGTCCATTGACCTGTAGAGTTTCCCACCTCTGAGGTCTTGCTGATTTCACATTCACAAGACCCTCCAGCATGACCCTCTGTGTCCTGGATTTCCTGCCGATGCAAAGCGGTAAACAGAGGCCTGACAGACTCAGGCCATTCCCTCAGCAGGACCATGGGGTGCTGTACCCCCACCTTTTTTTTTTTTTTGAGACGGAGTCTCAATCTGTTGCCCAGGCTGGAGTGCAGTGGCGCAATCTCAGCTCACTGCAACCTCTGCCTCCCAGGTTCAAGCGATTCTCCTGCCTCAGCCTCCTGAGTAGCTGGGATTACAGGTGCCCACCACCATTCCCAGGTAATTTTTGTATTTTTAGTAGAGACAGGGTTTCACCGTGTTGGCCAGGCTGATCTCAATCTCTTGACCTCAAGTGATTCACCCGCCTCAGCCTCCCAAAGTGTTGGCATTACAGATGTAAGCCACTGCGCCTGGCACCCCGCCTTTTTTCTTTTCTTTTCTTTCTTTTTTTTTTTTTTTCTTGAGACAGAGTTTCATTCTTGTTGCCCAGGCTAGAGTGCAGTGGCATGGTCTCAGCTCACCACAACCTCTGCCCCCCCGGGTTCAAGCGATTCTCCTGCCTTAGCCTCCCGAGTAGCTGGGATTACAGGCATGTGCCACCACGCCCGGCTAATTTTGTTTTTGTTTTTGTTTTTTGAGACGGAGTCTCACTGTGTTGCCCAGGCTAGAGTCCAGTGGCGCGATTTCAGCTCACTGCAAGCTCCACCTCCCGGGTTCATGCCATTCTCCTGCCTCAGCCTCCCGAATAGCTGGGACTACAGGCGCCCGCCAACATGCCCGGCTAATTTTTTGTGTTTTTTTTTTTTTTTTTAATTGATCATTCTTGGGTGTTTCTCGCAGAGGGGGATTTGGCAGGGTCATAGGACAATAGTGGAGGGAAGGTCAGCAGCCAAACAAGTGAACAAAGGTCTCTGGTTTTCCTAGGCAGAGGACCCTGCGGCCTTCCGCAGTGTTTGTGTCCCTGGGTACTTGAGATTAGGGAGTGGTGATGACTCTTAACCAGCATGCTGCCTTCAAGCATCTGTTTAACAAAGCACATCTTGCACCGCCCTTAATCCATTTAACCCTGAGTGGACACAGCACATGTTTCAGAGAGCACAGGGTTGGGGTAAGGTCATAGATCAACAGGATCCCAAGGCAGAAGAATTTTTCTTAGTACAGAACAAAATGAAAAGTCTCCCATGTCTACTTCCTTCTACACAGACACAGCAACCATCCGATTTCTCAATCTTTTCCCCACCTTTCCCCCTTTTCTATTCCACAAAACTGCCATTGTCATCATGGCCCGTTCTCAATGAGCTGTTGGGTACACCTCCCAGACGGGGTGGTGGCCGGGCAGAGGGGCTCCTCACTTCCCAGTAGGGGCGGCCGGGCAGAGGCGCCCCTCACCTCCCAGACGGGCGGCTGGCTGGGCGGGGGCTGACCCCCCACCTCCCTCCCGGACGGGGCGGCTGGCCGGGCGGGGGCACTGACCCCTCACCTCCCTCCCGGACGGGGCGGCTGGCCGGGCGGGGTCGCTGACCCCCCACCTTCCTCCCGGACGGGGTGGCTGCCAGGCGGAGACGCTCCTCACTTCCCAGACGGGGCGGCTGCGGGGCGGAGGGGCTCCTCACTTCTCAGACGGGGCGGCCAGGCAGAGACGCTCCTCACCTCCCAGACGGGGTCGCGGCCAGGCAGAGGCGCTCCTCACATCCCAGACGGGGCGGCGGGGCAGAGGCGCTCCCCACATCTCAGACGATGGGCGGCCGGGCAGAGACGCTCCTCACTTCCTAGATGGGATGGCGGCCGGAAAGAGGCGCTCCTCACTTCCTAGATGGGATGGCGGCCGGGCAGAGACGCTCCTCACTTTCCAGACTGGGCAGCCAGGCAGAGGGGCTCGTCACATCCCAGACGATGGGCGGCCAGGCAGAGAGGCTCCTCACTTCCCAGACGGGGTGGCGGCCGGGCAGAGGCTGCAGTCTCGGCACTTTGGGAGGCCAAGGCAGGCGGCTGGGAGGTAGAGGTTGTAGCGAGCCGAGATCACGCCACTGCACTCCAGCCTGGGCACCATTGAGCACTGAGTGAACGAGACTCCGTCTGCAATCCCGGCACCTCGGGAGGCCGAGGCTGGCGGATCACTTGGTTAGGAGCTGGAGACCAGCCCGGCCAACACAGCGAAACCCCATCTCCACCAAAAAAATACGAAAACCAGTCAGGCGTGGCGGCGCGCGCCTGCAATCGCAGGCACTCGGCAGGCTGAGGCAGGAGAATCAGGCAGGGAGGTTGCAGTGAGCCGAGATGGCAGCAGTACAGTCCAGCTTCGGCTCGGCATGAGAGGGAGACCGTGGAAAGAGACGGAGGGGGAGGGGGGGCATTTTTTGTGTTTTTAATAGAGACGGGATCTCACCGTGTTAGCCAGGATGGTCTCGATCTCCCGACCTTGTGATCCACCTGCTTCAGCCTCCCAAAGTGCTGGGATTACAGGCATGAGCCACTGTGCCCGGCCTAATTTTGTATTTTTAAGTAGACTTGGGGTTTCTCTGTGTTGGTCAGGCTAGTCTTGAACTCCTAACCTCAGGTGATCTGCTGGCCTCAGCCTCCCAGAGTGCTGGGATTACAGGAGTGAGCCACTACACCTGGCACCCTCTTTTTTTCTTTAGAGACAGGGTCTTTGTCCACACTGTTGTGAACTGTGATTGTGCCACTGCACTGCAGCTGGGCAACAGAGCAAGACCCTGTCTCAAAAGTATATAAATAAATACGTAATCTGATTTTTTTTCCCCCTAAATCTGTCTGTTGGCTTCAAGTACTCACAGGGGCCATGTGGCTCCTGGTTTCTCCTAGTTTCTGCTCTGCTGCCACATTGGCCCGCTGGCCTCCAGTGAAGACCACTGGGTGGTTGAGGACTCCCTATCCGGGCTGTGAGACATGGGGGCCTGCCTCTTGGGTCTCGTGACTGTTGGCATCTGTCTGCCCCCACTTGTATCCCTGCCCCCTGCATTGCTGTAGATGCATCGGTGGGACCTGGCATGCGGTCTAGCTGCCTGCAGGAGGGAGATTTGGGAAGAGCCACTGACTTTGGTGCCTGCCACTTCCATGTCCTAGAATCCCGCCTGGTCATTTTGGATAGCCTCTGTCACTCACCCTCTTCTTCCATTCCATTGTTCATTTAATATCCCATGTAGAGGTTGATATTCGGTCTCATAATTTCTGTGTCTGAGTCTTTGGCAGTCTAACTCTCTGTTAATTATGTCTCTGCCCACTCTTACTTGCGTGGTAGTGTGTTACTCTTTTTTTTTTTTTTGAGATGGAGTCTTGCTCTGTCGCCCAGGCTGGAGGGCAGTGGCACCATCTTGGCTCACTGCAAGCTCCGCCCCCTGGGTTCACCCCATTCTCCTGCCTCAGCCTCCCGAGTAGCTGGGACTACAGGCACCTGCCACCATGCCCGGCTAATTTTTTCTATTTTTAGTAGAGACGGGGTTTCACCGTGTTAGCCAGGATCGTCTCAATCTCCTGACCTCATGATCCTCCTGCCTCGGCCTCCCAACGTGCTGGGATTACAGGTGTGAGCCACTGTGCCTGGCCCATGTGTTACTCTTCTACATTTGGATTTTTGGTTCTTATGACAGGTTATATTTGACCAAACTTGGTCTTGAGGAATCCTGAAGGATCCAGATTTAGCAGCTTTGCTTTTCTTTTTTTTTTTTTTTTTTGAGACAGAGTCTTGCTATGTCGCCCAGGCTGGAGTGCAGTGGTGCGATCTCAGCTCACTGCAAGCTCCGCCTCCTGGGTTCATGCCATTCTCCTGTCTCAGCCTCCTGAGTAGCTGGGATTACAGGTGCCCGCCACCACCCCCGGCTAATTTTTTTTTTTATTTTTAGCAGAGACGAGGTTTCACTGTGCTGGCCAGGATGGTCTCAATCTCTTGACCTCGTGATCCTCCCACCTCAGCCTCCCAAAGTGCTGGGATTACAGGCGTGAGCCACCACGCCCGGCCCAGATTTAGCAGCTTTTCTACAGAGGTTTGCATTTGCTTTTGTTGGCACAGGGGGGTGTGATGGACCTACAACTCCTTTGAGTTAATTTCTGTCTTTGGGCTTTCTGAACCAAATGGCATCATCCCTGGTTCTGCTCCAGATGCATGGCCCAGCAGGCCTTTAGTTACAGAGTCTCAGAGGTGACTTTGTTGGTTTTTTTTGCTGTGTACTGGATAGAGGCAGATGGGATTCCTCCTTGGTTCCTATTTTCAGCTGGTGGGTTTTTCACAGCTGTTCAGGCGTCCTTTGGTTATCTGCATTTATGTGGAAGTTTCGGACTCAGCTGCCCCCTCTGGGCAGGGAAGCCCAAGTTCTTGTCTCCCAGTGCCCAGCAAACCGCTGTAGGCCCAAAGCTGTGAGTGAATTACTGAGAGTGGCCTTGGCCCCACAAGCAGCTCTGAGTTCTGTGTTGCTGGCTGCTGTCTGAGTGCACTGCTGGGTTTGTCCCCTGGGGATTTCCTCTACTTTCTTTAGAGCTCATCAATTGATTTTAGAGTATATTTGTTAAAATTGATCTTGTGTGTAAGTCAAGTTTTTTATATTAGTAGTTAGATGGTGTTTAGGAATATGTAATCTGCTATTAGAAACAGACGTCTCGGCTGGACGTGGTGGCTCACGACTGTAATCCTAGCACTTTGGGAGGCCGAGGCAGGTGGATCACCTGAGGTCAGGAGTTCGAGACCAGCCTGTCCAACATGGAGAAACCCCGTCTCTATTAAAAATACAAAAAGTATCTGGGCGTGGTGGCACATGTCTGTAATCCCAGCTACTTGGGAGGCTGAGGCAGGAGAATCGCTTAAACCCGTGAGATGCAGGTTCCAGTGAGCCAAGATCACGCCACTGCACTCCAGCCTGGGTGACAGAGCAAGACTCTGTCTCAAAAAAAAAAAAAAAAAGAAACAGACGTCTCTGATGTGGTAATGTTTGGTAATGTTCATCACCCCCAAATTAGGGAGGAAGAGGAGGAGGAAAGAAATTAGTTGAAGAGCTGCACCTGAGCCCCAGTGTCTGTGTGTCCTTGAGGGCCTGCACTTTGGCCTCTGCTCTTCCTTCACCGTGTTGGTTTAGAGCTGTGGATCCTGCCCTCTCAGACTGTCCCCTGTGTGTGTGTCTTGTTGGCAGCAGTTAGATATCTGTCAGAGGACATGCTGCAGCCTTTCTTCCAAGGCTGGCCTGGAGGGTTAGTGTTGGCAGCCATCTCTGGTCACTTGGGACCCCAGGCGGCTTCTGTGGACTGTGAGTGGAGATGCTTGTTAGCCTCTGAGGTCAGCAGTTTGCCATGCCAGTCAAACCTGGCACCAAGTTGGCAGCGTGACTCTGACCAAGGGAAGAACACACTTCAGACTGAAAGTGATAGAAAACCAGATGTGACTTGTGGCAACCTTTTTGGAAAGCAGTACGTCAGTAGCTTCAGAGACAAGCAGAAACCCTTAAGTCTGACTCCTGGGAGTTTGCCCTTTAGAAGGAAAACCACAGGGACGTCTGTCCGTGGGCCTTTTTGGGGGGTGGTGATGATGGCAGAAGCTGGCAGATGGTGTGCATACTTGTCATTGTGGGAGGAGTGGCTGAGGGGGTGGTTAAGCAGCCTCACTGGGGAATTGAGGCAGCCATTGTCATAGCAATTAGACGTGGACTCCTTATATTTGGAGGATTTTATGAGGGGTTGTTGAAATAGAAAAGTATGTCTCTGGTAATCCCACTTTTTTTTTTTTTTTTTTTTTGAGATGGAGCCTCCCTCTGTCACCAGGCTGGAGTGCAGTGGTGTGATCTTGGCTCACTGTAACCTCCGCCTCCTGGGTTCAAGTGATTCTCCTGCCTCAGCCTCCCGAGTAGCTGGGACTACAGGCGTGCGCCACCACGCCCAGCTAGTCTTTTTGTATTTTTAATAGAGACGAGATTTCACCCTGTTGGCCAGGATGGTCTTGATCTTTTGACCTTGTGATCCATCTGCCTCAGCCTCCCAAAGTGCTGGGATTACAGGCATGAGCCACCGAGCCTGGCCAGTCACACTTTTTAAAAGCAGTGACAGCTCCTATGCGTGTCTGTGCTTACGTGTGTATGTGAACGCCGAGAAAGCAGTGGAGATACATGCAACCAGCACATGCAGTGTTGGGGGAGGAGAGAGCCTCCCAGAGGCCAGAGGAATGGCTGAGGGAGGTGGGGGCCAAGCAGAGGGTGAGAGGCGGGAGGAGAGGCCCTGAAACCCAGCAGGTCCATTGTGGCTGTGTGTGCAAGCAAAATCATTTGGGTGTATGGAGGCTTCACAGAGTTTAAGGTAAAGTTGTAAGAGATTAAATTACAGAGAACCTGCATACTGGTCTTTATAATGCCAGGAAACATAGGGGAGATGTTAGAAGAGAATTCTCATCTTAAAAGTTAGAAACCTCATTGTTTAGGCCTACAGGGGTGGTTGGCATTTGCTTTTTGCAGATATCCAAGTTGGGCTTCCATGAAGCTCAGGTGGTAAGGGAAGGCATCAGCCTCTGTTTATCATTTGAACAGGCATGGCGATTTGTTGTTCCTGTTTCCCTCGAGCCTTGCTGGGCCCTCATCTGAAATGGAGACGTCAGTTCCACCGGGCTTCAAAGTCTTTGGCGCTCCCAACGTGGTGGAGGATGAGATTGATCAGTACCTCAGCAAACAGGACGGGAAGATTTACAGAAGCCGAGACCCACAGCTGTAAGTGATCCATGAGATTCCAGGGTCCTACTTGTGGTGATCTTAATGGGTGAATAAAGGGAAATATTTATAACATGTCTTGTTTTAATAAGTATCTGATGAAGAAATGTTAAGTCTTAAGTTTTACTATCTTCAGATTAAACTTCAAGTTATCTTGTTAGCTTTTTATCGGTTTTTGTTTTTTTTTTTTAGCTTTTTATCAGTTTCCACCTCAAAATATGTTCCCATAAAAAATTTTGAAGCATTTGGGTACAAAGAGACTGGAAAGGTATTGGGGGAGTTGGGGGCCTCACACCAAGTCTTTACTGTGATGTCCCCTGGAGATGCTGATTCCCGTGCAGAGTGGGGTGTTAATCAGCAGCTGCAGGGGAGGGAGGAGGGAAGGGGCAGGTGGTTGTGTGTGCGCATCCATGTGAGGTGAGTGCTGTGTCTCTCATTTCATAGCGGTTGGATGATTTTGACCTGCCACACTAGTGTGCGCTCTCCATCCCTGCAGCAAGCATTTCACTTGCAGAAGATGCTGTGCCTTGGAATATTCCCTCCTCACCTGGGGCTATATGAAGTGCTTATGCATATGTACATTGTTTATTTTAGATTTTTTGCAATTCCTTTTAAATAAACCAGTGAGAAGGATCTGAGTTTATACTTGGCCATGTGAAATTGTCTGAGCGAAGGTTGTCTCTGCAGTGGGGTCTTTTTTAAAATGCATCACTCTGTAGATGTGACGGGGTGCTGACTTTGCGGTATTGGGATTCCAAATGCTGCATTAGCAACTTTTATGTCTTAGATCAGAGAGCCATAAATGGTGCTCTCCTGCCATTGGCATGGAGCCACTTTGTAGCCATAGCCATTAGCCGGCATGCCTCTTCCATTTGTGTCTCCTCCCAGGGGCCTGGCACTGGCTTGCTTGCATGATCTGTGTCTTCATGGCTTCATTAGCAGCTTTTGAGAGCGTGTGTGTGTGAGAGAATTCTGAGCCATCATCACTTAGATCCTGCCTATTAGGAAGCACAGAGGCCACCTCTGTTCCGCAGCACAGGGCTCATACGCATGTAAGAATTCTGACCCCACTTAGAAAGGGGTCTGACTGAGCCCCGGAGGGACGGCCGCCGGCGCCCTCGTAAACCAGCATACCTCTCCTTCAGATTGTGCGTGTTGTGCTCCCAAGGCTTCTGTGACTGAAAATGTTAGAAAGCCGTGGGACAAGGTTTTTTCATTGTTGTTATTTCCCAAAATGCATATGAAGTAGGTATTTTCCAAACTTGGATTATTTATGCACCGCTCTCAGGCCCTTTGCCATGTTCACGTACCAGCTTTGTTATTATTTATTTAACACTTTTCTTTTTTTTTTTTTTTTTGAGATGGACTCTCGCTCTGTCACCCAGGCTGGAGTGCAGTGGCGCGACGTCCGCTCACTGCCAGCTGCGTCCCCCCGGTTCACGCCATTCTCCTGCCTCAGCCTCCCAAGTAGCTGGGACTACAGGCGCCCGCCACCACGCCTGGCTAATTTTTTTGTATTTTTAGTAAAGACGGGGTTTCACCGTGTTTGCCAGGATGGTCTCTATCTCCTGACTTGTGATCCACCCGCCTCGGCCTCCCAAAGTGCTGGGATTACAGGGCGCAAGCCACCACACCTGGCCTATTTAACACTTTTCTTTAAATGGACTTGGCCAGGCGCAGTTGCTCACACCTGTAATCCCAGCACTTTGGGAGGCTGAGGCAGGTGGATCACCTGAGGTCAGGAGTTTGAGACCAGCCTGACCAATATGGTGAAATCCCGTCTCTACTAAAAATACAAAAATTAGCCAGGCATGGTGGTGTGCACCTGTAGTCCCAGCTACTTGGGAGGCTGAGACAGGAGAATCGCTTGAAACGAGGAGGCGGAGGTTGCATGGAGCCGAGATCATACCTCTGCACTCCAGCCTGGGTGACAGAGTGAAACTCCGTCTCAGAAAAAAAGAAAACAAAAAAAAAACTATTTTATTTATTTATTTATTTGAGTGGAATTTCACTCTCGTCTCCCAGGCTGGAGTGCAGTGGCACAATCTCAGCTCATCGCAACCTTTGCCTCCCAGGTTCAAGCAATTCTCCTGCCTCAGCCTCCCTGGTTCCTGGCATTACAGGTGCTTGCCACCACGTCCGGCTAATTTTTGTATTTTTAGTAGAGATGGGGTTTCACCATGTTGGCCAGGCTTGTCTTTAACTCCTGACCTCAGGTGATCCACCCATCTCAGCCTCCCAAAGTGTTGGGATTAGAGGTGTGAGCCACTGCCTTTGGCCAATAAACTACTTACATTGACTTTGAGTTCATTCACTTTTATCTTTGGTTTGTGTCATTTTTTTTTTTTTTTTTTTTTTTGAGACGGAGTCTCGCTCTGTCGCCCAGGCCGGACTGCGGACTGCAGTGGCGCAATCTCGGCTCACTGCAAGCTCCGCTTCCCGGGTTCACGCCATTCTCCTGCCTCAGCCTCCCGAGTAGCTGGGACTACAGGCGCCCGCCACCGCGCCCGGCTAATTTTTTGTATTTTTAGTAGAGACGGGGTTTCACCTTGTTAGCCAGGATGGTCTCGATCTCCTGACCTCATGATCCACCCGCCTCGGCCTCCCAAAGTGCTGGGATTACAGGCGTGAGCCACCGCGCCCGGCCTGGTTTGTGTCATTTTAAGCAGTGGATACCCATGAAGTCACAGGTTTGATGTGCGGGTCAGTTTTTTCTAATTCATATCAACATAAGTAGTAAACTTCTGGGTGTGGTGGTGTACACCTGGAGTCCCAGATACTCGGGGAGGCTGAGGTGGGAGTGCTTGAGCCCAGGAGGTGAAGGCTGCAGGGAGCCACGATCACCACTGCACTCCAGCCTGGGCGATAGAGTGAGAGCCTGTCTTTAAACAAAACAAAACAACAATTAAAATATAAATGTTTATCCATGTGCCATCTGGAATATAACTCCACGTGGGCAGGGAAACACTCTGTTAAAGTAGGACGTGCATGTGAGACAGCAGCAGCGGAACACAGACATCCTCACTGCTCTGCCTTTTTCTGCCTTGTACTCTCCTCAGATGCCGCCACGGCCCTTTGGGGAAATGCGTGCACTGCGTCCCTCTAGAGGTGAGAGTCTCTGCGGAGTAAGTTCTGGGCCAGTGTGGGGGGCTGCGGGTAGACAGCTGTCTTAAGTGCTTGCCCTGAGTCCACGCACTTGGCTGTAGTGAGTGGTTCAAAGAACTTACCTATTTATTGCCCTGGGCCTCATATTCCCCTAGTGCAAGCTGCACACAGGACGAGCCTTTATTTATGGGAGTGACCTTCTCGCTGGATTATGAATGGCTGAAGCATTTGTGTGGCTGTGATAAAGGGGCAGCATTTACAGCGGGCTCCCTGGACAATCCTTTTCCGATCTGACACAAAGCTGAGCCTGTCGGCCTCCGTGCTTATCATTGTTGATTTACTTTGCCTTGAATCTCACATCTCTTCTACTGGTTTGTCCTGGTGAGACTGAGAGTTACCGTAATAATGCCGACTGGAACTGTTAATGCTGGGTTTACAGCAGGAAGGCCAGCCCGATTTTCTTCATGAGGCATCTCTTGCCTCATCTTGTGGCATTTCTTTTTGCACAATTTTCCTGAAACTCATTTGACTTAGAGCGTTTTGTGTTTAATAGAGATTCATTTTAATCTTGAAAAGATAACTGGCACACAAAGAAAAACTTGCTTCTGGCTATGTGCAGTGACGCCTGTAGTCCCGACACTTTGGGAGGCCAGGGCCAGAGGATCATTTGAGCCTAGGAATTGTTCAGCCTGGGCAACTCTTTTTTTGTATACCCTGTCTCTACAAAAAATTTAAAAAATTAGCTGGGTGTGGTGGTTCACGCCTGTAGTCCCAGCTACTCAGGAAGCTGAGGCAAGAGAATCACTTGAGGTCGAGGCTGCAGTGAGCCATGATTGCACCACCATACTCCAACCTGGGCAACAGCATGAGACCCCATCTCTAAAACAGTTAAATTGGCCAGACTCAGTGGCTCACGCCTGTAAAGCTAACACTTTGGGAGGCCAAGGCGGGTGGATCATGAGGTCAGGAGTTTGAGACCAGCCTGGCCAATATGCTGAAACCCCGTCTCCACTAAAAATACAAAAATAAGCTGGGCGTGGTGGCGTGCACCTGTAGTCCTAGCTACTTGGGAGGCAGAGGCAGAAGAGTTGCTTGAACCCAGAGGTGGAGGTTGTAGTGAGCAGAGACTGTGCCACTGTGCCACTGCACTCCAGCCTGGGCGACAGAGTGAGACTCCGTCTCAAAACAAACAAACAAAAAACAATTAATTAAAAAAAGAAAAACTTGGTTCTGACTCAGAGTGGTAAGGGAGACCCTAGTACCTGCTTTCACTGTGGGCCTTGACTTGCCAAGGCCATGCTGCTGGCCTCCCCCTGTGCGTAGCAGAGGCTCAGCGCCTGGAGTGACCGGCACGTGTGAGACTGCACTCGCTTACTCTGTGTCTTGGCAGCCATTCGATGAGGACTATCTAAACCATCTCGAGCCTCCCGTGAAGCACATGTCCTTCCACGCCTACATCCGGAAGCTGACTGGAGGGGCTGACAAGTAAGCAACTTGCTGTAACCTGGTTGTGCGTAAATTCCTTTTTGTGTAGCTGGCAGTTGTTGCTTATAGCCAGTGAACGTGTGAATGAGAGAAGTAAAGATGAGAAGGGGTCACACGCCTTTGAAAGTTACCGTGGTTCTATATTTATTTATTTATTTTTTATGTACTCATATATGTTTTTAAGAGATGGGGTCTCACTATGTTGCCCAGGCTGGTCTAGAACTCCTTGGCTCAAGTGATCCTCCTGCCTTGGTTTCCCCAAAGTGCTGGATTACAGGTGTGAGCCACCTCGCCTGGCCAACCTGGTTCTAGAAGGGAGCTAGCAAGGCAGAGCGACTGTGCAGGCGCCTGGCTGCGTGGCCACAGTGCAGTATCAGACAGAGGCTGTCCCCACACACACCACCCCAGCAAGTTAGCATCTGTGATGGTGGCCTGTTGATTCTGTGGTCTGAGTTCATTCTCTGCTTTTCAGAAAAACAACTACCCTGTGAGAATCTCAGCTTCCCCACCTCAGTGCCTGGTAACCCTTTCCCCAGAGCCTGGCCTCTGAGTCAGCTTGGTTTTCAGCCACAGCAGGGGCTGCAGCCACTAATCCTCATGGTACCACAGTAGTTGCCCACAGGCTCAGCCAGGTGGGCAGAGGTGGTAACAGTGGCCAGAAAGGGGTGAACTGAGCATTTTGATTTCTTTTAAGCCATGGCAAGCCCTTGCCTGTATGACCTTCTCCTGTTGGCTCTCTGTACACCCTACCAGAAAGTAGCAGGCTTCAGCTATTATTTTATAATTCCTGTCAGTGCAACGAGGAGATGGTGGCTGAACTGAAGTCAGCAACATTTTGTGAAGGATGTCATATTCGCCTGATTGTAGCTTTTCTCTGACAACCTGCTGACATCCTAAAATGACTTTTTAAAAATGTTAGACCAGAAGAAAAAACCTGCTAGAAACCCACTGTTGCTTGTCAGTGGGGAAAGCTGTGGAACTCTCTGGACTAAGGAGTGGGTGCAGATTGATTGTAGTGAAAGAGACTTGGTCAGCCTTTCTCAGTCTAGGTCAAGGAACACAGTCTCTAGTGGGGGCGTGTTTGTGGCTGCTGTTAGCATGCAGATTCAGTGACGAGTCTTTGCTTCCTAGATGCTATGATACCAAAAATGGCTCACCACCAAAAATGATCAGTATGTGAGGTAATGCATATGTTAATTAGCTCAATTTAGCCGTTCCACAGTGTGGACATGTTTCAGAATATCATTTCGTACACTGTAAATATATCGTTTTTATTTGAAAAACAAAACCTCACGTCTACCTTAAAGATACAGATTTCTTTTTTTTTTTTTTTTGTCAGTTATATTTCAATAAAGCTGGAGAAAAAGAAAAAGTTCAGAGTAGGGTCCAGGATTTTCTCATTGACAGTCTTCAACAGTAGTTTTTATTTTAGCCTAAAGCAGAGTAAAGATGCCTTAATTATATATCCTAATCAGATTTTTCCCATGAATAAGAATTTTTTACAAATATCTAAGTACTGGGCTAATGTCAAAGTTTCTGACAATTTAATGAAACCTGTAGGAGCCTCATGCCCGCTCAGTGGCACAGGTGAGATCAGTAGATATTCTACAGTATTCTTGAAAGCTTTCTCGGATGTTAGTGATAGATGGTAAAAAACACCACAGTTTGGTAGGAAAGTAGTTGTGTGTTCCTGTATGGTTGAAGTATGTGGGACAGAAGCTGGGATTCGGAATGTGCTGGAACTGTAGGTAGAGCTTCCATTAGAATCATCCTTAGCCCATCTTCCCTGCTGCTGCCACGTGCTTAGCTCCTGAGACACTGTTCAGGAGGTATAAGATACTTAGCATGTCATTTCCAGCCTCTTGCTCAACTTTTCACCAATGTGATGTTTAAGTTGCTTCTCTTCTATGTAGGGGGAAGTTTGTTGCCCTGGAGAACATCAGCTGCAAGATTAAGTCAGGGTGCGAGGGGCACCTCCCGTGGCCGAATGGCATCTGTACTAAGTGCCAGCCGAGCGCCATCACGCTGAACAGACAGGTGAGATGTTCCCTGTCTGTCTAGATTTGTTTTCATGGCTGAGAAACGGATATTTCCAGAAGAGCCCCTTGGAGTGGAATGCTATTAGCACTATGCGTGGTGGATTTTCAGTACTTTTTGATGGACTGAATGATCCTTTTGTGGAAGTGGTACACTGAATATATCATTTTTAAGGCTTCTTGCTCTTGGAGATATGGAGTGCGCGCCCTCAGTTCTCTGTTTTGCTGGCTCATATGGAGGCAGAATGTTCCTGATGATTATTTAAAATCCTCAGTGGTTGTGAGGAAACTGGCTCTGAAGGTTGGTAAAGGGGCACCCCTTGGACCAGCTCTGAGCACCTGTCCAGGCTGGCTTAAGGAGAGAATGTGGCTCAGGAAGGAGGGAGCGTTCCGGCCTTTCTGGATGTTCTGCTGTCCTTGTCCCGCCTCTGAGTAGCCTGCCTCGCCTTCCTCCTGCCGCTGTGCCCTTAGAGAAAACGGCTCCTTAGAGAGAATTCCGTGGCCTCCTCGACTTTTTTGGAAACCTCCTATTCTCTATTCCTTTTTTCTTCTTGAAAACTACTTTATTTTGGCCGGGCAAGGTGGCTCACACCTGTAATCCCAGCACTTTGGGAGGTTGAGGTGGGCGGATCACCTGAGGTCAGGAGTTCAAGACCAGCCTGGCCAATATGGTGAAACCCCATCTCTACTAAAAATACAAAAAATTAGCTGGGCGTAGTGATGGGCGCCTGTCGTCCCAGTTGCTCAGGAGGCTGAGGCAGGAGAATCACTTGAACCTGAAGGCAGAGGTTGCAGTGAGCCAAAATCACGCCACTGCACTCCAGCCTGGGTGACAGAGCGAGACTCCGTCTCAAAAAAAAAAAAAAAGAAAATGTGTTTGTTTTTTGCCCTAGAGATTGTGAAAACCTGTATTTTAGGTTAAATCACAATGGAATTATTTTGAATTTATTGATAGATGAAACCCATCTCCATCCTCCTATAACCCCGTGTCCCGCCACTGGACTCTGAAGTGGTCTAAAGGGCAGAGCATTTTTTTTTTTTTTTGAGACAGAGTCTCACTCCGTAGCCCAGGCTGAATTGCAGTGGTGCAGTCTTGGCTCACTGCAACCTCAGCCTCCCAGGTGCAAGTGATTCTATTGCCTCAGCCTCCGGAGTAGCTGGGATTACAGGCATGAGCCACCATGCCTGGCTAATTTTTGTATTTTTAGTAGAGACAGGGTTTCACTGTATTGAATAATTTTTGAGGTTTAACTCCTGGACTCAAGAGATCCGCCTGCCTCACCTCCCATAGTGCTGGGATTACAGGCATGAGCCACCGTGCCTGACTGGTTTTTTTCTTAAGTAATGTTTATTGTTTTTATTTTTAAATAGAATAGCAGATTATTATTATTATTATTTATTTTTTTTTTTTGAGATGGAGTTTTGCTCTGTCGCCCAGGCTGGAGTGCAGTGGCGCCATCTCAGCTCACTGCGAGCTCCACCTCCCGGGTTCACGCCATTCTCCTGCCTCAGCCTCCCGAGTAACTGAGACTACAGGCGCCCGCCACCACGCCTGGCTCTGGCTAATTTTTTGTATTTTTATAAAATACAAAAAAAATAGAGACGGGATTTCATCATGTTGGTCAGGATGGTCTTGATCTCCTGACCTCATGATCCGCCCGCCTTGGCCTCCCAAAGTGCTGGGATTACAGGCGTGAGCCACTGCGCCCAGCCCAGATGTTTATTTTTTAAGATACAAGGGGTCTCACTCTGTCACCCAGGCTGGACTTGAACTCCTGGGCTTAAGCGATCCTCTAGCCTCGGCCTCCTGAGTATCTGGGACCACAGGCATGCACCATCACACCCTATTGGTTTGTTTTTTAAAGAACTAGGTAAAAGATATTTATGAATGGTTTGTGTTAGAAAAACAAGTGATTTCTTTTTGATGGCATGTTTTCATCAGCCCACTCTTGTTAACTCTACAGAAGTACAGGCATGTGGACAATATCATGTTTGAGAATCACACCGTCGCTGACCGCTTTCTTGACTTCTGGAGAAAGACAGGGAACCAGCATTTTGGGTACTTATACGGACGGTACACGGAGCACAAAGACATTCCCCTTGGCATCAGGGCTGAAGTGGCTGCGATTTATGAGCCACCTCAGGTAAACATGACGGGATTCAAGTTCCTGAGTTTCTGTGTTTGGAGGCTGTGGGGGACGCCCTTTCGGAGAGGCCTTGCCCTGTTCGCTTTGTTGTTTGTTCCCCCTTTGTCACACACCGGTGCACGTGCACAACATTTTCTGAGTTATTGGAGAGTGAGATCATGGCTCCTAAAACCTTCAGTGTATGTTACTAAGGATAAGGATATTTTCTTACACAACCGGTACATTTGCCACTATTGATCCAGTGTTTTTATCTCGTCTGCTGTGTCCAGGTTTGCTCATTGACTCTGTAGTGTCCAGGTGCTCAGTCCTTGTGTCATTCTGTGTCTCTTCCACCATGCAGCAGTCACTGTCTTAGGAACCATGGAGAAGGCCACAGACACACCTCAGCACCAATCACCAGAGTGTCACCAGAGTAACAAAAACTGCCACCAAAATAGGACTGATAACAATTTAAGATTTGTTTGGAGGGGAAAGAAGTGTCCTGAGGGTATATCCCGCAGGGTGTGTGCACATCTAGTCACTGTGCTTGGAAGTCATTGGAAGGCCCTCTCGGTATGATTATGCCACCAACTAGTTACACATTGTATTTCTGGTTTTTGGGAATTGGGCTGTGTGTGTATATTTATATAAATTTCAATTTGTTTTGTAATTATGTATAATGATGTAGTGTATTTTACATACATTTTATTGCAAAAGTAAAAAAGTAAGCAAATATTGAATGCTAGTTAATGATATGCATGCTGTACTATTTAGGGAGAAGTACATTTATGTCTGTAATACACTTGAAATCCAATAGAAAAATAAAATGAATTGATGGGTGACTAGAGGGACAGATAGTGCATAGGAAATGTTCATGGTGAATCTAGTGGTGGGTATATGAGTATTCACTGTAAAATTCTTTAAATTAGCTGTATGTTAGAAATTTTTAATTTTTATTTATTTATTTTTTAGAGATGAGTCTTGCTCTGTTGCCCAGACTGGAGTGCAGTTGTGCAGTCATAGCTTACTGCATCCTTGACCTCCTGGGCTCAAGCGATCCTCCTGCCTCAGCCTTCTGAGTAGCTGGGACTACAGGTGCATGCCACCATGCCAAGCTAGTTTTTAAATTTTTGGTAGAGTCAGGGTCTCGCTATATTGCCCAGGTTGGTCTTGAACTACTGGCCTCAAGTGACCCTCACATCTTGGCCTCCTGAAGTGTTGAGATTACAGGTAGGAGCCACTGTGCCCAGCCAGAAATATTTTTAAAAGTTAGAAAAGAAAAAAAAAGTGCACATTTCCAAAGTCATGTTTACAAACAAGGTATATTCATTTCCTTTTACCCTGCTTTCCTTTATAGGTAGCCCCTAGAATTTAAAACCTTTTTCTTTTTGAGACAGCGTCTCACTCTGTTGCTCAGGCTGGAGTGCAGTACTGCCATCATGGCTCAATGCAGCCTCAATTGCAGCCCTCTTGGGCTCAAGCAATCCTCCTGCCTCAGCCTCCCAAGTGTCTGGGACTACAGGCGTGCACCACCATGTCTGACTTTTATATGTGTGTGTGTGTGTGTGTGTGTGTGTGTGTGTGTATTTGTGTATATATATGTGTGTATATATATGTGTGTGTATATATATATGTGTGTGTGTATATATACATATATATGTATGTATGTGTATATACATATATAGTGTGTGTGGAGACAGATCTCGCCATGTTACCCAGGCTTGTCTGGAACTCCTGGGCTCACACAGTTCACTCGCCTCAGCCTACCAAAATTCTGGGATTACAAGCATAAGCCACCATGCTCAGCCTAAATCTTTTTAGTTGGACTTCCTGAAGTTTGATTTTTTTTTTTTTTTTTAATTTTGAGACGGAGTTTTACTCTGTCACCCAGGCTGGAGTGCAGTGGCATGATCTCCACTCACTTCAACCTCCGCCTTCCGGGTTCAAGTGATTCTCCTGCCTCAGCCTCCTGAATAGCGGGGATTACAGGTGCCGCCACCACGCCTGGCTAATTTTTGTAATTTTAGTAGAGACAGGGTTTCACCATGTTGGTCAGGCTGGTCTCAAACTCCTGACCTCGTGATCCACCCGCCTCAGCCTCACAAAGTGTTGGGATTATAGGCGTGAGCCACTGCGCCCGGCCTGATTTTTTTTTAATTGTTTAATTGTTTAATTTTTTTTTTTATACAGGGAGGGTCTCTGTGTGGCCCACGCTGGTCTCAAACTCCTGGCCTCAAGTGATCCTACTGCCTTGGCCTCCTAAAGTACTAGAATTACCAGCATAAGCCATTGTGCTTGGCAAAAGTTTGTTTTTTGTTTGTTTGTTTGTTTGTTTTGTTTTGTTTTGAAACAAGGTCTCGCTCCTGAGCGAGATCCTCTTACCTCTTTCTCCCAAGTAGCTGGGACTATCGGTGTATGCCACTGAGCCTGGCTAGTTTTGTTTTTTTTGTATGTGACATTTTTAGTGTAAGCACATACACACACGCATGCATGCACGCACATTCATACTATCCCCCTTCTTTGTTTCTTTGTACGTATAATATGTGCACTTTTTCCACCTAACACTGTCTTGTGGAGATCACCGGATGGCTAGCCTCCTATTTAGATAACCTGCCTGGGAGGCAGGCTGGGGTGCCCTGCAGCTGCTTTCAGAGTTTGCTGATCAGAGTCTGAAACTGCAGGCTATGCATGGGTAACAGCTGGTGTACAGGCTTGCTAGTGGCCCCTGCACAAATGTGTGTCTTTCTTGGCTGTATTTATACGGATTTTCAGTGACATTTTTGGTATCTTTGTATAGCAATAGATGTAGTGTTTCATGAGGCCTTTGCCATGGTTCTTTTAAAAAGAGACACTAGATGGCAGTAGAGACCCCGCCAGTGAAGTCTCAACCCTTAGGTCACTGTGCTGTACTCAGGATGCTGCTTTTCGAAGCACACAGTATTCAGATTCAGTTTTTTTAAAGGGTCTCTTTCATGGAGAGCTCAACGGTTCTATTAAAAGTATAATTGAGGCCAGCCGTGGTGGCTCACATCTATAATCCCAGCACTTTGTAGGGGCAAGGCAGATCACTTGAGGCCAGGAGTTCAAGACTAGCCTGGCTGACATGGCAAAACCCCGTTTCTACTAAAAATACACACACAAAAATTTGCTTATGCAGCTTATGCTGCCACATGTCATTAAACAACTCCTTTTCCTTAGCTTTTTCTCTGAGTTTGTGATTTAACCTACGTTCTGGAGGTATTAATGACCTCCATATGGGTAATACCCAGCAAACGTAAACTTCTTTGTGGTTTGCCAGATTTTCACTAATTTACAAGGATATGCCCAGTTACTGTAACTCAATTTGAGATTACCTTTACCTTTCCTATTCTTATGGCTGGGGTTTCTGCATAGAATGATACCTTTGAATGACCCGCAAGCTACATTTAAGTGAACATTAATGATTTCGGTAAGCTTGGTCCACTCTGGGAAGTGATGTGCTGTGGTTGGTTTCAGTTGCATGGGAGCCAGTCGAAGCTACAACTCATCGACTGCCCTGTGCCAGATGAAAGGAGGTGGTTGATTTTTGAACACCTTTTCCCTTCCTTAGGGTTGGTGAGCTCATCGCTCTCTGTGGAGTTCATAGTGTCCCTGTAACTGAGTATCTTAGCTGTGAAGCCAAGCATTGTCTCTGCAGGAGTGGCACACAGATTTTCCAAGGCTGTTTTGTGGGAATGGATGTTACCTTACAGTTTGAGTCTTGCCTAATTTAGCCAAACCTGTTTGGAGTGAAGCTACTTATCCAAGGAAGTTTGAAAGTAACTTAATTCCCTGATGAAGGAACTTTTAAAACAGGCAGAGTGTGTAGACCTTGCCTTGCCTTAGTCCTGAGTGCTCCTGATGCAGAGCTGTGCAGCACACATCAGCTGGGCCCTGCATGCCACATGTTTTGCAGCCCTGGTAAAAGGTGCAGCACAACCCGAGAAGGAGAGAAGCCGGGAGGCGTGTCGCATGTGTTTTATCTGTGGCTATAGTTCTCCTTTCTGACAAGGAGGCCCCCAGCACTCCTTGTGACCTAGAGCTGGAAGTGGAAGGGCTTGGGGTGCTGCTTCCTGAGCCCTCTGCTCTAAGTCCATCTTCTCCCTTTGATTCCCTGCAGATTGGTACACAGAACAGCTTGGAGCTTCTTGAGGATCCAAAAGCTGAAGTGGTCGATGAAATTGCTGCCAAACTTGGCCTGCGGAAGGTACTGAGGCATCCGGCAGCCAAGCAGGGGGCGTGGCCAGGCTCTGTTGGGCATCCAGGCCAGGGGGAGTTGGGAGAGTGGCCGGGCTGTGTCGGGTACTGGCTCTCTCCGGCTGCACAAGGTCAGGTGCAGGCACTATATGTTTTGAAACTTCACATATGTTTGTTGGGCACCAATAACCTTTATGTTCCTCTGACTTAAACTAAAATGAGAACATTTTCTTGAGCATAAAAAAAAAAAAATCCCAGTGCAGATCTGGCTGTTATATTTCAGCCTTCCAGCCACACTTCATGAGGACTGCTTCAAGTGGGAAACAGACCCCAGCCGCACCCCTGCTGGCTCCTCTGTGCATGTGTGTCCCTTCTGCCTGAGCTCTCCCTTCATGTAGCTTGGAAGCCGAGGACAGTCAAGGCTGACATTCCATTGACAGTGTTCATGTTCTGTGCCATGCACTTGGAGCTTCTGCTGCTCCGTCATCAATCATCATTTAATTTCCTGTTTATAATTTAGCTCTCTGAGCCTACAATTCTTCCTAGTTTCATGGAACAGTTAGAAGATGAGAAAAGGATTTCCTTTTTTATTCTATTGATCTGGTTTATCTGACATTGATACAGTTCCCAGGAACAATTTTAATAAATTAATGTAGAGCCATGAATTTGAACATATCTTACGAGTTTAATGTTAATAAGTATGTTTTATCCTTTATTTCCTAATCAACTCAGACCATGAAAAATAATCTCTAGATTATTTAATCTTCTCTACAGATGAAGCGGGTGAGACTGCAAATGTGACTTAAAACCTAGTAGTGTCAGTGAGCAGTCCACACAGTTTTACTGTCTTTAGGAAAGAAACATCCTGTTTCTAACAAGGAGTCAGCATCTTGATTTAGGGGCATATTTGGGTTCAAATTCTGGAAGTTCTCTTGTTTAAAAGAGATTGGTCCAATTTTTTGACCTAATTTGTTATAATCTTACAGTTCATAATCTTGAAATTACTTAAATAATTTTCTGCAAGACACAAGTTTCTCTTTTTATTTTATTTTATTTTTTTTTTTTGAGGAGTCTTGCTCTTTCACCCAGGCTGGAGTGCAGTGGCACGATCTTGGCTCACTGCAACCTCTGCCTCCCGGGTTCAAGTGATTCTCCTGCCTCAGCCTCCCAAGTAGCTGGGATTACAGGCACCCGCCACAACGCCCAGTTAATTTTTGTATTTTTAATAGAGACGATGTTTCACCATGTTGGCCAGGCTGGTCTTGAACTCTCGACCTCAGGTGATCCACCCGCCTTGGTCTCCCAAAGTTCTGGGATTATGGGCGTGAGCCACCGTGCCTGGCCTAAAATATGAGTTTCTAAGCCCTAATTTTTCTCAGTTTGATTTTGATTTTGCTTTATTTACTGCATAATTAACCCTTTAAGTTTCATTTTCTCTGTTGCCACCACCTTGGGTTTTTCATTCATTGGGGCATCTTTAAAGACAGTGAAAGTCTCCCAGTGGGCTAGTCATGTCTGCTGGGGGTGGATGGGAAGAGTTGTGTGTCAGGTAGTGCTGGAGAGGGTCATGGGCCGCAGATCCTTCCCGAGGACAGAAGTGACAATTGCCGGGACTCAACTGCTGCTCCTGTGGCCTCGTGACGGGCTTCTGGTGCAGGAATTCACAGGCAGAGGCGGGCCTAAGGATCACACAGCACACAGGCACTGCTACACTGAACGTGCAGGGGTTGCTGGGTCACAGGTTTCAGATCCTCATACCCTCAGATGCTTCCTTCCGGCCTTGAGGTGGAGCTCCCAGGAGCAGCTGTGTGAAGTCTGCATTATATTACCCCTTTTGTATTATGTGCCTTTCTCTAGGAATCCTTTTTCTTAGCTTGTCAGGAAAGACCTACTCTCTGAAATGTTTATTTGCTTGCTTGTTGTCTGTCTTCCTCTTGGGAGTTTAAGTGCCTTTTTCACTCACCTTCTGTTGGTCTCACTCACTGCTGTGTCTCTTGCACCCAGCATGGTGCTGGGCAGAGCTGGTGCTGAGGAAACTCATCTCTAACCCAGCAGCACCAGAGGGAGGGTGGCCAGTTTCTACTGAACAGAGATGGAGATCCCTGGGTGTGGCCTGGCATCTTACTTGAGGAACCTGTTGATGTAGATTCACCTGGCTCACAAAAAGGAGTTTCTGACTGAGAACATTCTTTTTAAGCTCTCTGGGCAGAAGCCAGAAAACATTCATCATCTATCTTTTTTTTTTTTTTTTTTTTTGAGACAGAGTCTTGCTCTGTGGGCCAGGCTGGAGTGCAGTGACGCAATCTCGGCTCACTGCAAGCTTCACCTCCCGGGTTCACACCATTCTCCTGCCTCAGCCTCCTGAGTAGCTGGGACTACAGGCACCCGCCACCACGCCCGGCTAATTTTTTTCTATTTTTAGTAGAGACGGGATTTCACCATGTTAGCCAGGATGGTCTTGATCTCCTGACCTCGTGATCCACCGTCTTGGCCTCCCGAAGTGTTGGAATTACAGGCGTGAGCCACCACACCCGGCCACGCCCAGCTAATTTTTTTTTTTTTTTTTTGAGATGGAGTTTCATTCTTGTTGCCCAGGCTGGAGTGCAATGGCGCGATCCTGGCACACTGCAACCTCTGCCTCCCGGGTTCAAGTGATTCTCCTGCCTCAGCCTCCTGAGTAGCTGGGATTACAGGCATGCGCCACCACCCCAACTAATTTTGTATTTTTAGTAGAGACAGGGTTTCTCCATGTTGGTCAGGCTGGTCTCGAACTCCCGACCTCGGGTGATCCACCCGCCTCGGCCTCCCAAAGTGCTGGGATTACAGGCGTGAGCCACCGCACCCGGCCTAATTTCTGTATTTTTAGTAGAGATGGGGTTTCACTGTATTGGCCAGGATGGTCTCGATCTCTTAACCTCGTGATTCTCCTGCCTCGGCCTCTCAAAGTGCTGTGATTATAGGCGTGAGTCACTGCGCCCAGCCATTCATCGTCTATCTTGAGGAGATGTTTAAAAGCTACTTTCCTTTTTTTAAGGTTGGCTGGATATTTACAGACCTCGTCTCAGAAGATACCCGAAAGGGTACCGTCCGCTACAGTCGAAATAAGGTGAGGTGGAGACAGGACTGTGCGTGTGGCCCTATGGCTTGGTTACAGATGGTGTTGGCCTGCATTATCAGGGTCTCTTTGCACCGCTGGTTCTAGCTTTCAGGCCCCATTATTTATTTATTTGTATTTTTTGAGACGGAGTCTTGCTCTTTTGCCCAGGCTGGAGTGCAGTGGCGCAATCTCTGCTCACCGCTAGCAATGCCTCCCGGGTTCACGCCATTCTCCTGCCTCAGCCTCAGGAGAAGCTGGGACTACAGGCGCCTGCCACCATGCCCAGCTAATTTTTTTGTATTTTTAATAGAGATGGGGTTTCACTGTGTTAGCCAGGATGGTCTTGATCTCGACCTTGTGATCTGCCTGCCTTGGCCTCCCAGAGTGCTGGGATTACAGGTGTGAGCCACCATGCCCAGCCCTCAGGCCCCATTATTTTTCAAGAAGTTCTTCTTGATCAATGAAGGCCGGATCTCTTGGTCTCATAGAGCTAAACCCATCTTACCTTTATAAAGCAGTGATTTTCAGGGCTCAGCCCATGGCGGGGTGGTTTGCATAGTGCTTCTGGCCTTTCTAGTCGTGAGTGGTTTTAGATGAGGAATTGGTAATGGTTAGGAATTGTAGATACTTGTTTCAAAGTGGTTTTGAGTTTTATAGTTTGGTTCTTATTTTTTATTTTTATTTTTTTGAGACAGAGTCTTGCTGTGTTGCACAGGTTGGAGTGCAATGGCACAATCTCGGCTCACTACAGCTTCCTCCTCCTGGGTTCAGGTGTGCACCACCATACCCAGATAATTTTTTTATTTTTAGTAGAGACCAGGTTTTGGTGTGTTGGCCAGGCTGGTCTCGAACTCTTGTCCTCAAGTGGACCTCCCGCCTCCACCTCTCAAAGTGCTGGAATTAGAGGTGTGAGTCACTGCTCCTGGCTTAGTTCTTATTTTTTAAAGAAGAAATAGAAGTATATTTTGGCATGATGCTGTAAAATTTGATAGGCTGCTTCTCTTGTCTTAGGACACCTATTTCCTAAGTTCAGAAGAGTGCATCACTGCAGGAGACTTCCAGAACAAGCATCCCAACATGTGCCGGCTCTCTCCAGACGGACATTTTGGATCCAAGTTTGTTACTGCAGTGGCTACAGGTATAACAGGGACAGTATGTACTGTAAATATTACCACCTCGTTAATATATTTTGTTCCTCTTTTTGGTAGCTTTTTATCCTTAACTTAGTTATACTGGACTTTCTTACTGGGCTTGTGGGATATAAATTCCTCCTTTCTTTTTATGGTAAAAATTCTGAACAACTTAACAGCATAAAACTATATAAACACAAACCCCAAAACTCATAACAGAATCAGGACCTCCACAGAGCTCTCCTCTAGGCCAGTGCTCTCATTAAAAGTCCACTTTTTTGGCCGGGCGTGGTGGCTCACGCCTGTAATCCCAGCACTTTGGGAGGCCCAGGTGAGTGGATCGCTTGAGGTCAGGAGTTCGAGATCAGCCTGGCCAACATAGCGAAACCCCATCTCTTTATAAATATAAAAATTAGCTGGGCATGGTGGTGGGCGCCTGTAATCCCAGCTACTCAAGGAGCTGAGGCAGGAGAATCACTTGAACCCATCAGGCGGAGGTTGCAGTGAGCTGAGTTTGTGCCAGTGCACTCCAGCCTGGGTGACAGGGTGAGCCTCTGTCTCAAAAAAAGAAAAGAAAAGAAAAAAAAAATATATATATATATGTATATGTATATATGGACAAGGATGTTCCCCTGGGCGACAGAGTGAAACTCCATCTCAAAAAAAAAAAGCAAAACGGGTTTTTTTTTTTTTTTTGACAGTCTTACTGTCATTTAGGCTGGAGTGCAGTGGCGCAATCTCGGCTCACTGCAACGTCCGCCTCCTGGGTTCAAGCGATTTTTGTGCCCCAGCCTTCAGAGTAGCTGGAATTGTAAGTGCACACCACCACGCCTGGCTAATTTTTGTATTTTTAGTAGCGACTGGGTTTTGCCTTGTTGGCCAGGCTAATCTTGAACTGACCTCAGGTGAGTCACCCTCATTGGCCTCTCAAAGTGCTGGGATTACAACATCTGTAATCATAGCATTTTGGGAGGTTGAGCCAGGAGGATCCCTTGAGACTGGGAGTTTGAGACCAGCCTGGGCAACATGGCAAGTCCCCATCTCTACAAAAATAAATAAATAAAACATTTGGAAAAAAAGAAAGAAAAGTGTTCAAGCTGACTGCGAAGTTTTTGCACTTTGCTGCATATTCTTGAGTTTGCCGGGTTTTTGTGTTTTTTTTTTTGTTTGTTCGTTTGTTTTGAGACATGTTCTTGCTCTGTCACCCAGGCTGGAGCACAGTGGTGCAGTCATAGCTCACTGGTGCGACTCCTGGGCTCATGTGATCCGACCCCAACAGCCTCCTATGTAGTTGGGACTACACGCGTGCGCCACCACGCCCAGTTAATTTTTAATTTTTTTTTTTTCCCTAGAGACGGAGTCTCGCTCTCGCCCAGGTTGGAGTGCAGTGGCGCGATCTCGGCTCCCTGCAGGTTCCACCTCCCGGGTTCACGCAATTCTCCTGCCTCAGCCTCCCGAGTAGCTGGGACTATAGGAGCCTGCCAGCATACCCGGCTAATTTTTTGTATTTTTAGTAGAGATGGGGTTTCACCATGCTAGCCAGGATGGTCTCGATCTCCTGACCTCGTGATCCGCCCACCTCGGCCTCCCAAGTGCTGGGATGACAGGCGTGAGCCACTGCGCCTGGCCTAATTTTTAAATTTTTAGTAGAAATGAAGTCTTGCTGTGTTGCCCAGCCTGCAGTTCCTTGATTTAAGGTGCATTTAGATTGATTTTTGAAATGAATATACTTTTTGAGGGTGATAGGCATCTTTCACACGTTAATTATGTTAATAATTAATACATGTTAACTATTTTACAAGTGAATTAGTTGAGTCAGTTTTTTTTTTTTTTTTTTTTTTTTTTTTTTGAGACGGAGTCTCGCTCTTTCGCCCAGGCTGGACTGCAGTGGCGCTGTCTTGGCTCACTGCAAGCTCCACCTCCCGGGTTCACGCCATTTTCCTGCCTCAGCCTCCCGAGTAGCTGGGACTACAGGTGCCCGCTACCATGCCCGGCTAATTTTTTTTGTATTTTTAGTAGAGACGGGGTTTCACCGTGTTAGCCAGGATGGTCTCGATCTCCTGACCTCGTGATCCGCCCGCCTCGGCCTTCCAAGGTGCTGGGATTACAGGCGTGAGCCACTGCGCCCGGCCGAGTCAGATTTATTTTCCTAAGTTGTTGCTTGGGTTGAGTGCTTAAGGGAAGGGTTGGGAATTTGGGCTAGGATTGAAGGAGGGTCTGGGAATTCTGCATTACAGAACCTGTTAGGGCACCCTGGGAAGGGTGCTGTCGTGGGGGACTCAGGGTAGCTGGAGAGCAGCTGGGGCATCAGGCAGTGGGCACTGGGCACCCAGGAGGGGAGCAGAGAACAAAGGCGCTCATGTCATTTAGAATTCTGCCTGGCCAGCGTTGTATTTAGAGACGGGGAGAAAAGTGTCGTCATACTCTTCTCGGTGTCACATCCCCACACCCCTGCCACATGTAGGCTGATATCTGGGTACAGTAGTGTAGGCTGGTAGTTTCCAAGCCTATCAGACTCAACTCCTGTTTTTAGAACACTTTGTGATACCCCTTTACTATGCAGAAATAAAATTCATGGGTAACATAGTTAATGTAGGCTGCCGACACACAGAATTCTGAAATGGAAGGCAGAGTAGTATCCTAACTGTAACATCAGGGGAAAGTGATAGGAAAGAAACAGAATAAAGTCATACGTTTAGGTGTGTCAGTGCTTCTGGACTGACTCGTGAGGACAGCACAGCAGGATCCGTACTGGCCTGTGTGGGCAAGGGCTGAGCACAGGGCTGGGTCCAGGCCTCTCAGCTGGCCTTGCCGTCAGCAACATGGCTTCCTGAGAGGCTCAGCAGCTCCCCACCCAGTTCCAAGCAGAAGAGTGTGCCCTTGCCTCAGCTTACACTATTGTAGTCCCAGAGAATTCAGTGTGCATTACAACTGTGCCTGTCTGTTTTGTGGCTATTTATAAAACAGAATTGCTTCTAATCTCATATCATTGTAAGTAGTGGTTTTTGCCTACACAAGTGTGTAGCGGGCATTCAGAGTCTTGTGGGATATGGAACAGTTCCACAGTATTTCAGTGTGGTTTTAATGACTATTTTATTCTGAGTGAAATCGAGGATCTTTTATTTTTATTTTTAATTTTTTTTGAGACAGTCTTGTTCTGTCACCCAGGCTGGAGTGCCATGGCACAATCTTGGCTCACTGCAACTTCTGCCTCCGGGTTCAAATGATTCTTGTGCCTCAGTCTCCCAAGTAGCTGGGATTACAGGCGCATGCCAACACACCCGGCCAATTTTTGTATTTTTTGTAGAGACGGGGTTTCACCATGTTGGCCAGGCTGGTCTCGAGCTTCTGGCCTCAAGTGATCCGCCTGTCTCGGCCTCAAAAAGTCCTGGGATTACAGGTGTGAGCCACTGTGCCCAGTCTAATTACTGTGTCTGTGGAGAAATTATTCCATGGGCCAGAAGAACTGGCACATTTTTAGAATTACAGTTTCTAACTTGGGGGCTACCACCTTGAATTTGAGTCATACCTCTTGTTGAGAGTTGAGAGATTATATAGATCATCCTTGGGCTTTTTTCACCTCTGGAATTGGTATTTACTGAAAGGTTTTAGAACTGAGAGATAATAAATAACCTAATTTATAAGCAGATAGGCAGTGACAGCCCCTTTGTGTCTGTGTGAATCACCCCTCTTGGTGCTCAGACTTGCCATGGTCTCCCTTTCCCGAGGGTGGTGGCCGACTGAGGAGTGCTTATCCTCATGCGTGCTTTTAATCACTACAGCTCGGATGAAGGTTTTCTAACTCAAGTAAAGTGTGCTCTTTCCCCTGTGTTAGGGTTTCTTGGTCACGGCCATGCGGGGACCCCATAGCGCTGTTGGAAATTGTACTTGTTGCATTCCCGTCCCACATCCCTCCTTAGACAGGAAGGTTCAGACTGAGCCATGTGGCATAGGGTGCGGGGCGCCCCTGCCGACAGCACTCAGGTCCTGGCTGGGATGCGGAGGCCTCGCCTCTCCCTCTGCATCTGTCCTTCCTCCCCTTTCCCCTTTCGTTGTACTCAGGTATTCTCTGGCATGAGGCTTCAGAGTATAAGAGCCCCAATGAAGTGTGCGCTTTGCTCGAGTGACCCTGAGGGTCCCTGTGGAAGGACAGTGCAGTGTAGAACTTACCCCACACACTGGGCTGGGCATCTGTGTCCTCATAGTCTAGCATACTCTACATTTACGGGCTGTTAAAATTACTTGCTGGGGATCTGGTTAAAAAACCAGAAATGCATTCAGATTCAATAGCAGCTGAAGTTTTGCTGTCACTGCCTCTTTGTAGGCCCTGTGATCCTTCCCACGTAGGGATTTCCTGACTGACTGATTTGTGAAGGGAATGATAGTTAACTTGTCCTGCCAGCCATTCCGGCAGGGTTACACAAACCCATCAGGACATGTATGTCCTGCTGCTGCATGTGGAAAGGGGAGTTTGCAGTTCATCTCAGTGAATTTACCCTTGAAGATTATCCATATGGCCAATTTTGCTGTTTATAAACAGCCTTCAGTTTTATAAATAACTGCTTTCCATTTTTCTCTTATTCTCAACTGCTAGATTTTTCTTTCTTGAATGACCTATCGTGTTAATGACCAGTCTAAACACCAGAGCAGGTTTTTTTTTTTTTTTTTTTTTTTTTCTGTTTTACTCCAGAGATGGAGTCTTGCTCCATTGCCCGGGCTGGAGTGCAGTGGTATGATCTCAGCTCATCGCAGCCTCTGCTACCTGGGGTCAAGCGATTCTCCTGCCTCTGCCTCCTGAGTAGCTGGGATTACAGGTGCACGCCACCATGCCCAGTTAATTTTTATATTTTTAGTAGAGACAGGGTTTCACCATGTTTTCCAGGCTGGTCTTGAACTCCTGACCTCAGGTGATCTGCCTGCCTCGGCCTCCCAAAGTGCTGGAATTACAGGCGTGAACCACTGCGCCAAGCCCAGTCCAGGTTTTCATGGTGTCCTAACCAGATGTCTGCACCGTGGCTCCCCGGCGCTCTGTCCAGCCTTTGCCTCTGCTCCCTCTGAGCCCTGCATTCTTTCAGTGTCATTTATGCCACCAAGCACATGGGCAAGTGAGGTGCCTGTATCTTTGCTGAGATATTAGTGGTCATTTGTGCAGGGTTGGCTGCCTCCTGAGCATTTGAGTTTGGGGCAGGGAGAAAATCCTATGCTGGTGAACTGTGCCTTTGGAGCGAGTTTGACCCAGGGTTTTGAAGCCAGCCATCACTTGCCTCCTATGTGTGTTGAGAGCTTCATGGCGGCCAGCTCTATCTCCTCCCTCACCTTTTTTGATTGTGTGGCCGTCAGGTTTGCTTTCTGATGCATGTTTGACAGCCATGTGCACTACGTTTCTGTTTTCTGATCATAAGTGATTCTTTTTGTCAAAGAAACTGAAATAGAGGTATTGAGGGTTTTTTTTCATCCAAAACTATAACAAATGTTGAGGGCTGGGCACAGTGGCTCACACCTGTAATTCCAGCTCTTTGGGAAGCTGAGGCAGGAGGATCACATGGGGCCAGGAGTTAGAGACCAGCCTGGGTAACATAGTAAGACCTTACTTCTAAAACAATAAATAAATACCTAAAAAATAATGAGATTGTAGTCAGCACATAACTTCAGTTCTGGAAGCACACTTCTGCAGCGGTGGGCATCTCCCCCATGCCTGCCTCCTCCAAAGGCTCAGGCTGCCCCCATGGCATCATCTGCCCAGCTCACTTCAGGGATCTGGTCTAACTGGACCACACTGCCGCCTCTCAGCCATGATCTGTAGTTCTCCTGTCCCCACATGAAGTCATTCTGGAGGCTTCGATGGAGTGGAGACTGGGAGAGAAGGATGGGGTGGGCAGTGTGGAGGGTGAAACCATGGAGGAGCTGGGCTCCCAGGTCTGCCCACGGCCGTGGAGTGGCACCTGCACCTCCACACTGTGTGATGACGCCTGGTGGCATTAACTCTGTGTGGCGGCCGTGTAGGTTTCTGGAAGACAGAGGCTGCTGTGTATACAATACCATGACTGGATTTGTATTAAAAATAGTTTCCGTCTTGCTCTTCTCCCACCCGCTTCCCCATCTCTCTGCCTCCAGATGAATTTATCCTCCCATCCTTACCGTGAGCCTAGGGATCTATCTGCCGTTTACACCCCTGGTGTTATTATGAACCAGGAGCCCAAGTGCTGATGACACTAAGCCTGGTTTTAGGGGCAGATGCTAGACAATGTTTAACAATCTTTTTTTTTTTTTTTTGATTGATTGATTTATTGTAAAGATAGGGTCTCACTATGTTGCCCAGACTGGTCTCAAACTCCTGGGCTCAAGCAGTCCTCCCGCCCTGCCCTCTCAGAGTGCTCAGATTACAGGCGTAATCTGAGCCTTTTCTTTTCTTTTTTTCAAAAGTTTAACAGTCTTGATTTCCAGATTCTCATAGAGCATGTCCTTAGTGGCACCTGTTTGTGGAGCCAAGTGTGTGCGGAGCTGCAGGGTGTCCTGACTGTGCTAGGTCTTGTGCTAGGTCTTGTGCTGTGGCCACCCATCCGTTGACTACTGAATTTTTTTTTTTTTTTTTGAGATGGAGTCTGTCACCCAGGCTGGAGTGCAGCGGCACAATCTCGGCTCACTGCAAGCTCCACCTCCCGGGTTCACGCCATTCACGCCATTCTCCTGCCTCAGCCTCCTGAGTAGCTGGGACTACAGGCGCCCGCCACCGCACCCAGCTAATTTTTTTATTTTTAGTAGGGACGGGGTTTCACCGTGTTATCCGGGATGGTCTCGATCTCCTGACCTCGTGATCCGCCTGTCTCAGCCTCCCAAAGTGCTGGGATTACAGGCATGAGCCACCGCACCCGGCCGACTACTGAACATTTTTTAACTCTTACCCCCGACAAACTCTTGAGGGTTTGTTTTTTCTGTTGATCAGAGGTGAAGAGTTAACAGATATGGACTGGTTTTGAATGCCGTTTGGTAGACTCTTTTTAAAGGTCTCTCTCTTGCAGGTGGTCCTGACAACCAAGTCCACTTTGAAGGGTACCAGGTGTCCAATCAGTGTATGGCACTGGTCCGTGATGAGTGTTTGCTGCCATGCAAGGACGCCCCGGAGCTTGGCTACGCCAAGGAGTCTAGCAGTGAGCAGTACGTGCCTGATGTGTTTTATAAGGTAAAAGTATGGTAAGAAAAAGAACTCTGTACATGGAGAATGGTGTGAACCTGTCTTGGACCTTTCTAATTTGGGTGCATTCTGCCTATAGCAGCCGTTTGTCAGCTGTGGTTGAACCCTGCTTGTCACTAAAGGCTTCTGTCACGTTTCTGGGGCTGGATATTCGCTACTCATGCTTCCATGGCGTAGGGCTTCTCACCAGAAGTGGAGCTACATGCACTGGCTTTGAGATCAGTAACACCAAATCCGACCATTGCAACACAGACAGTCTCAGTTTCTAAAGATGAGAAGATGGGTCCTTGGCATGGTGGCTCATGCCTGTAATCCCAGCATTTTGGGAGGCCAAGGCAGGAGGATTGCTTGAGTCCAGAACTTCAAGACCAGCCTGGGCAACATAGCGAGACTGTGTCTCTACAAAAAGTAGATGTGGTGGCATGAACTGTAGTCCCAGCTACTCAGGAGGCTGAGGTAGGAGGATCACCTGAGTCTGGGGAGGTCAAGGCTGCAGTTAGCCATGATTGTGCCACTGCACTACAGGCCTGGGTGACAGAGCGAGACCCTGTCTCAAGGATAGGGGTGGAGATGAGAAGACCGTGGGAGATGTTTCGGGACCTTTTTTAGAATCCTGCCAATTGCAGCTACTCAATGTTTTCTCTTTTTGGTGTTTCCCGCTCCTTTGGGGGCTCCAGTTACACATGTATTTGGCTGCCTGAAGTTGTCCCGCAGTTTACTGATACTCTGTTCATTTCATTTCAGTCTTCTTCAGTGTTTCATTTTGGATAATTTCTTTTAGTCTTCACATTCGTTGATCTGGACTTCTACAGTGTCTCATCTGCAGTTAATCTCATCCAGCATATTGTTCATCTCAGACATTGTAGTTTTCATTCCAGAAGTTTAAGTTGTTAATTGCTTCCTGTGTTTCTACTTAACTCTTTGAACATAGGGGATACAGTTATATTAACTTTTTTCGGCCGGGCGCGGCGGCTCATGCCTGTAATCCCAGCACTTTGGGAGGCCGAGATGGGCGGATCACAAGGTCAGGAGATTGAGACCATCTTGGCTAACACGGTGAAACCCCGTCTCTACTAAAAAAAAAAAATACAAAAAATAAGCCGGGCGTGGTAGCAGGCACCTGTAGTCCCAGCTACTCGGGAGGCTGAGGCAGGAGAATGGCGTGAACCTGGGAGGCGGAGCTTGCATTAAGATCGTGCCACTGCACTCCAGCCTGGGGAACAGAGCTAGACTCTGTCTCAAAAAAAAAAAAAAAAACAACTTTTTTCTTTGTTTCTTTTTTCCTTTTTTTTTTTTTTTTTAAAGAGACAGGGTGTCAGCTGGGCGCAGTGGCTCACGCCTGTAATCCCAGCCCTTTCGGAGGCTGAGGCGGGCGGATCACAAGGTCAGGAGATCGAGACCATCCTGGCTAACACGGTGAAACCCCGTCTCTACTAAAACTACAAAAAGTTAGCCGGGCATGGTGGCAGGCGCCTGTAGTTCCAGCTACTCGGGAGGCTGAGGCAGGAGAATGGTGTAAACCTGGGAGGCAGAGCTTGCAATGAGCCAAGATTGTGCCACTGCACTCCAGCCTGGGTGACAGAGCAAGACTCCGTCTCAAAAAAATAAAAAATAAAAAAATAAAGAGACAGGGTGTCACTATGTTGGCCAGGTTGATCTTGAACTCCTGGCCTCGAGCAGTCCTCCCGCCTCAGCCTCCAAAAGTGTTGGGGTTATAGGCGTGAGCCACTGCACCCGACCCATATTAACTTTTAATGTTCTTATATACTAACTCATATCACCTGCTTATTTCTGCATCAGTTTTAATTGATTGATTTTTTTTCTAATTATGGGTTAGCATATGTGGGTCTGCAGCTGCAATGTGTTTTCCGTGGACCGTCTGTCTGTCTGTCCTTGTTACTGGCGTGCTGAGTGTGTGTGGTGTGCTGCTCATTGTGTATCACAAGCCAGAGACTCCAGCAGGGTGTTTTCTTCCAGAGAGGGCTTTCCTTTCCTCCATGGGAAATGTGGTGGTGGTGAGCTGTCCATCTCCATCCAGGTGGCAAGTAGCTGGTCAGAGCCGAGTTGCATTTTGATGAGACTTCGTCTATTGTTGATCCTTCCCTTTTTCTACAGTGTAACCCCTTAGGGGTGCCATCTGAGAGCCTGGTAGAGCTCTTTGTGAGGTGACAGTCTTCCTTAAATCTTTGTCTCATTGGCCCTGAAAGGCTGGGAGATACAGTCTGTCCAGAAGTTTCTTGTTTTCCTCATGCCTCATACAGCTTAAATATGTAGGTATCCCATGTACCTTAAAACTTTTGCAAGCATCTTTTTTTTTTTTTTTTGAGACAGTTTTGCTCTGTTACCCAGGCTGGAGTACAGTGGCGCGATCTCGGCCCACTGCAGCCTCCGCCCCTTGAGTTCAAGCGATTCTTGTGCCTCAGCCTCCCGAGTAGTTGGGACTACAGATGTGTGCCACCTGCCCGGCTAATTTTTTGTGTTTTTAGTAGAGACTGTGTTTTACCATGTTGGCCAGGCCGGTCTTGAACTCCTGGACTCAAGTGATTTGCCCACCTTGGCTACCCAAAGTGTTGGGATTATAGGCGTGAGGCCACCCAAAGTGCTGGGATTACACCACACCCAGCTGCAAACATCTTGAGGGGAGAGAATGGCTGCATGTTTGAAATTCCTGTGTCTCCAGAGTCTCTGCCAGACCCTCATCTCCCAGCACTCACTTCCTGCAGGAGGGGAGGGAAGGGGCTTTCCATCTCAGTGCCACAGTCCCCTTTGCTGGGGGTCTTCTTATCTGGTTTGGATTCAGGCCCCTGCCTCCCCTTCCTCCCTCCTACCCCGTTGGGCAGGCTGGTCTCGAACTCCTGATCTCAAGTGACCTACCCACCTCAGCCTCACAGAGTGCTGGGATTACATGCATGAGACACTGTGCCTGACCTATATTTTTCTTTTGAAACAGCATCTCGCTCTGTCACCCAGACTGGAGTGCAGTGGCGTGATCTCAGCTTGTTGCAACTTCTGCCTCCTGGGCTCAAGTGATCCTCCTGCCTCAGCCTCCCGCGTAGCTGGGACTATAGGCGCACACTACCATGCCCACCTAACTCTTTTGTATTTTTAGTAGAATCAGGATTTCACCATGTTGCCCAGGCTGGTCTTGAACTCCTAGGCTCAAGCAATCTGCCTGCCTCAGCCTCCCACAGTGCTGGGATTATAGATGCTGGGATTACAGATGTGAGCCACTGCACCCAGCCTCTGATTTCTTTCTTTCCCCCCCCCCCCAGAAATGGAGTCTTCCTCTGTCTCCCAGGCTGGAGTGCAGTGGCCTGATCTCGGCTCACTGCAACCTCTGCCACCTGAGTTCTGCGATTCTCCTGCCTCAGCCTCCCGAGTAGCTGGGATTACAGGTGTGCACCACCACGCCTGGCTAACTTTTAAATTTTTAGTAGAGATTGGATTTCACCATGTTGGCCAGGATGGTCTCAAACTCCTGACCTCGTGATCTGCCCACTTTGGCCTCCCTAAGTGCTGGGATTACAGGCGTGAACCACCACACCCGGCCTTGATTTCTTAACGATGTGGATAATCAGCTATATGAGCACAGTTTTGGGAATAAAAGCAAACTTTTGTTTCCCTTTTAATCTTTGATGCTTCTCTGTCGTCGGTCATCTCCAGGAATCATGGATGTTACTGGACTCTGTTCTATTCCATTGGCCAGTTTTCCTAAACCAGAACTAATACCATACTCTTTTTTTTTTTTTTTTTTTTTTTTTGGCGACAGAGTCTCGTTCTGTCGCCCAGGCTGGAGTGTAGTGGTGCGATCTCAGATCACTGCAACCTCCGCCTCCCGGGTTCAAGCAATTCTTCTGCCTCAGCCTCCCGAGTAGCCAGGACTACAGGCGCACGCTGCCACGCCTGGCTGATTTTTTGTATTTTAGTAGAGACAGGGTTTCACCATGTTGCCCAGGCTGGTCATGAACTCCTGAGCTCAGCAGGCAATCTGCCCACCTCGGCCTCCCAAAGTGCTAGGATTATAGGCGTGAGCCACCGTGCTGGGCCTCGTTCCCATGTTCTTTAATGTCTCTTAGAAAGGTTTTCAGTTTTCTCTGTGGAGGTCTTACCTATCATTTGTTAGGTTATTCCTAGGTACTTTAATTTTTTTTAAGCCTGTTACAAAATAGCACTATCTTAAAATTACATTTTTAAACTGTTGGTGTTTGAAACAGGTAAATTTTTGTATCCAGCAACTGCTATCTGTTCCTCAGTATTATTATTTATAAGTTTAGTCTTTCGCATTTCCTACACGTATTATCCTTTCCATCATCAGCCCTTCTCATTCTCTGGGCTTTTCCCAGTGTTGCCTGGGATCTCCCAAACAGCACTCATGACAGTGGAAGTCTCTGGCACCTTTGTCTTGCTTTTAATTGTAAAGCAAGTGCTTTTAGGATTTTATCATTAACTGTGAGTTTGCTGTAGGATTATTTTTAAATACCCTTTTCAGATTGGAAATTGGCTTTTTTATTTCCATGCGTTATTGTAAGTTTCTTGCACTTAGGAATGGAGCTCCCTTTTGTCATGAAATATGTGACATTTCCTTAATCATTCTGTTGTTTTCATAGAGTGCTTATTTGCCCTCTGTTAGCGAGAATAGGCTAGAAATACTTCCCAGAATTGTTTATAGCCCTGTAGGATTTGAGACAGATTTCTCATGTTTCAGGAAAATATCAGTTGGAGCAAAGAGAACTGTAAAAGCAAACATTGAAGTCATCCTTTTAGTCCTCCCATGGACTTTGCGGTTGGAGGTGACATGCCTTGTAAACAAAACCTGCACCAATATTTGTCTGAGGCTGCTGTTTATCATGTTGTTGTCTCTGGCAATAAAAATGGGAAACAATTGAAAAGCCCTGTCCCAAGGGCATATTAAGTTACAGCTGGACTCTGGGATAGCATGTGGTTACTAAAGGTATGTGTTTGCAAATTATTTAAAGATAAGGGGTAAAACTTAGAAAGCAAAATTAAAAATGCATCTATACCTAGAGTATAATACCAATTTTTTTTGTTATTTTCTTGAAGACACGTATAGGCATTTGCACATGGATGTGGACATACATTTACATGCACTCACACATGGGGTGGGAGTAGAAGCTTCCTGACTGTCCTTCAGGAGGGAGGAGAGTCTACAGCTTTGCCCTGTCCCATATGCAGCCAGTAAGAGAACGAGGAAGAGCCTTGTGGACAGATGAGGGGAGCTGTGCAGATGCTGGCCTTGGAGAAGTGATTTGAAGGCACATTTGTGTCATCGTTCACGTGTAGTTTTTTAGGAAAGCATATGGGTGTACACATAGTCCTGTGAGGACCAGGAGCTTCCCGAGGGACTAGGGCCAGCCAGCCTCACTCATCTCTGGGGCAGCCAGGTGGCAGGACGTGGGGCTTTTCTCTTTCACCTTTCTTGTGAAAGGGAACATTTGTCCCCTGCAGAAAAACATGAAGAAAACATATTTAATGATAACTACTCTTTGCATCTGGTAGAGTTCTTGTTTCCTTTTCTATTCTTTTAACTTCAAAACAAAGACTTGTAATTATGGAGAATAAATGAGTGCATTTATTGACTATATGGCCAAATCAGAATGTATTTAATTGGTCTTGTGTTGATGGCCTTTGGTTCTTCCTGGTTGTTACAGAAAGTGCCACATTTAACACCCTATACATCCTCCTGTGACATCTTTGTATATCTTCAAAATAGAATTGCTGGGGAGGAAGGTTTTTCGAGTTTTGATAGATATTTCCAAGTCGCTCACTGAAAAGTCACACTAACATCTCTCTTGATAATTAGGAAGAAGAGTTTAAAATAACTTTCCAGCCATGAATGCACATGGGTGTGTCACACACACTCTGCGTCACGTGGCAGTGGCTGCTGTGCTGGCGCACATGGGCGCTCAGTTGTGAGTGCGCAGGGGCGGCGCCGCAGGGAGGAGGCCTGGCCCTGGCCGGGAGGCTCCTTGGGTTTTTGTGTGTTTCTTCGAATCGGGAGGCTGGCTGTGGCTCACTGCCCATCAGCCCCAAGAGCCTGCAGCTGTGGAGCTTTATGTGCAGCCCCAGAGCCCAGCTGGTGGGGGTTTTGTTTGGGCAGGCTGGGACCTCCTGCCCATCACACAGGGACAAGACTCACACTCGTAGACTGTTGTACAGCCAGGAGGCGCTTGACTGTCTTCTGTCTTTTCCTTTAAAAAGAATACTAATAGACTAGGTGTGGTGGCTCACACTTGTAATCCCAGCACTTTGGAAGGCCAAGGTGGGAGAATTGCTTGAGCTCAGGAAGTCGAGGCCAGTCTGTGTGACATAGCAAGACCTCATTTCTACAACAACAAAAAAAAATTAGTCGGGTGCTGTGTCATGAGCCTGTGGTCCCAGCTACTCAGGAGGCTGAGTCAGAAGGATCTCTTTAGCCCAGGAGTTCACGGCTGCAGTGAGCTATGATTGTACCACTGTACTCCAGCCTGGGCGACAGAACAAGACTCCTCCAAAAACATGCAGACATACATACACACACAGAACACCGCTAGATGCTTAGGTGTTCAGCTGCTTCCCACTGAAGGTGAAACTCGGGTCCATGCCCCTCATCGGGCATCATAGCTGAAAACCTCCTGGTACGGATGTGACGTGCAGGCATCTTCAGCTTTGCCCTTTCATGCCCGTCATGCCACAGCTCGCTTACCTCACGGCCCTCCTGGTTGTGCTGCTGCAGCCTGCAGGACAACCGCTGGGCCTCAGCTTGGGCTCCTAGAATCATAAGTTCTCTGGAAATGTTCCCCAAGTAAGTCTTCCGACTGGCTCTGTCTATGCTCCATGTTTTCTGGTGATTCACTGTGGTGTCTGGGCCCCTCGGGTGTTCTTTGGTACAGAGGAGCCCTCCTCATGTTCCCTCTCTGACACTAGGGTGTGGTGGGTCCACCATGGAAGCATGTCTCTGCTGTCAGCACGTCCCAGAGACATTTTGAGATGGTCTGGGACTCCATCCAGGGCATAGCGAGGCTACTAGCTCTGCCCAGAAGGTCTAAGTTATTCCTGCGCCTCTGCTTTCGGGATGCTCTTTCCTGCGTCTGTGTGATGTGTGAGGATGTGGCAGGCTACGACCCTTCTGCCACAGAGATCACACAGCCTCCAGTCCTTTTATTCCCACTCCTCTGGACATGGGACAGTGGCTCTAGTGTCTGGAATCTGACTTGGCTTTGTAGCTGTGCCTTTACCACCTTGCTGGCTGGCGCCCCGGGAGTATACTCTCTTCCCATGGACTGCCTTCACTGGCTGATTTCTGTAATCGTTGTGGGGGAGTGAGGAGAGGTGGCCTTGGTGCTGTGGAGGACTGGCTGCCCCTCTGGCTGGAGCCAGTTGTCTCCTCACTGCTCGCACCTATGCCAAGGGTCTGGGCGTCCACAGGGCTTATTCCTCTGGGGCAGGGAGAATTGGTTGATTGGGTTTGAGGGAGCCTCTTGAGGACAAGTAACAATTGGGCACTTTGACAAGGGGCTGGCTTTCAGTTCTTTTGTGACATGGTGATTTTATTAACTTTTTTTTTTTTTTTTTTTTTTTTTTTTGCGTTGGAGTCTGGCTGTGTTGCCCAGGCTGGAATGCAGTGGCCCAATCTCGGCTCACTACAACCTCCGCCTCCCAGGTTCAAGCAATCCTGCCTCAGCCTCCCAAGTAGCTGGGATTACAGGCACCTGCCACCATGCCTGGCTAATTTTTTTGTATTTTTAGTAGCGACAGGGTTTCGCCATGTTGGCCAGGCTGGTCTCAAACTCCTGACCTCAGGTCATCCACCCGCCTTGGCCTCCCAGAGTGCTGGGATTAAGGTGTGAGCCACCGCTTCCAGCCTTACTGTGTTTTAAAATCTCTATTTTCTTCTCCTTCAGCCATGAGGAAATAGTCTGACGGGCATAAGCCCACGGGTGGGCTGGCCCAGGGCCACTGGGGATTTTGTACTTCCATGCCATGTCTCTCCCAGGCCCCCAGCTGTGGGCATGGGAGGCTGGCCCTGGGCCCTTCAGAGCTGAGCGGGGAGCGAGAGCTGTTGTGTTTGGGTGGCCAAGCCCTTGGTAGCACTGACCTGATTCACTGTGCGATGCTCTCACGGCATCCATTCTCTCATGTTTAGAGAACACCTGTGAATTGCCAGGCCCTGGAGTTCATGGAGAATGGAGAAGGGCTCCCTGCATCGGGGAGACTGCTGCAGCAGGGGAGGTGGGCCACCCCAGCGGAACGGGTAGAGAAGCTTGGAGTGCCCTGGTGGGTCGAGTCCTGAGAGGGGAGAGAAGGTGTCAATTGGCAGAGCAGCTCTGGGGGTGTCTGGAGGAGATTGTTCAGACAGAGGCAGCAGCCTGTTCCCCACACAGAGAGTGATAAGCAGGGTGGCCTGCTGGGGTAGAGGTGGGAGGGGCCCTTGGAAGCTGAATCTATGGTTGGAAGTGAGATGAGGGCTTCTGAAAGGTGCTGAAGGGAGATGGCTGTGCCGGGGCTGTGAGACGATCACTCTGGCTGCTGGGCTCGGAGCTGGAAAAGGAGACTAGGGTAGAGAGTAGAGATGGCTGTGCAGTAGTGAGGGGGTTGAGTGTGTGGTGTGATCGAGAGAAGAGGCAGGCAGACTCCAGGGTGTCCAGGCCAGGCTGGAAGGCTGGGGATCTGTCGGCGATGTGCTAGTGCAGAGGCACCACCCGGGGTGAGCGCATTGCTTGGGAGAGGCACATGGTACAGATGGTGTTGGGGTGGTGCTTGAGGCCTGGTGAGAGGCCGAGTTGTCCATCCTGGAGGGGATGGCTGAGGAGAACCCCACCTTGGGGGAATGAGGTGGAGAGCACTGGGAGGCAGGAGCTGGGGAGGAGGGGCAGGAGCATAGCGCCCTGGAAGGCAGGCAAGAAAGGAGCTCCCTGGTGAGTCAGGAGAGGAGGCTTTGCCTTCAGCAGCTCAGGGGTGTTGGGAGCTTTGATGAGCCTGGCTGAGTAGTAGATAAGCGGCTGCCGAGAGTGAGCTCACAGAGGAGAATGGGGGGTGAGCTCACAGAGGAGAATGGGGGGTGAGCTCACATCAGCAAGCTGCATGACTCTTTCGGGGGGTTTCACTGCCAGGGAGAGCAAAGGACAGTCACCAGTATGGGAAGTGGGATTGAGAAGTTTTCTTGTTTGGGTTTTTATTAACGTAAGGGAAATACTGACATGGGCATGTACTGCTTCCTGGTGTCCAGCAAAGGAGCTAATTGGCACACAGAGAGGAAGGGGCATGGTCCGTGTGTCAGGGACAGCTTTGGGGCATCTGGAGACAGGTCAGTACAATGAGGATGGGAGGCAGAGGTGGGTGGAGCTGGCAGGAGCGATGGGATGCAGGTTTGGGGATCAGCTTGCTCACAGGAAGCCACAGGGTCAGCTGAAGGGGGAGGCTGGAGTGGAGACCACCTTTTAGACCAGGAACTTGTGAAGGGGGTGTTGTCCAGGTAGGAGGGAGAGGCTGGCAGCAGGAGGGTCTCAAATCTAAAGATCCACATGCATCAGACAGCTCGAAGTCTATTTATTTTTGAGATGGAGTCTCGCTCTGTCACCTAGGGTGATGTGCAATGGCACGATCTTGGCTCACTGCAATCTCCGCCTCCCTGGTTCAAGCAGTTCTCCTGCCACAGCTTCCCAGGTACTTGGGATTACAGGCGCCCACCACCACGCCCAGCTAATTTCTTTTTTGTATTTTTAGTAGAGAGGGGTTTTGCCATGTTGGCCAGGCTGGTCTCAAACTCTTGACCTTAAGTAATCCACCTGCCTTGCCTCCCAAAGTGCTAGAACTACAGGCGTGAGCCACCACGCTAAACAGTAATGCATGCAGTCTATGCTGTGTGCACCTGTGGCCCCAGGTACTCAGTAGGCTGAGGCAGGAGGATCGCTTGAGCCCAGGAGTTCGAGGCTGCAGTGAGCTTTGATTGCACCACTACACTCCTGCCTGGGCAACATAGTGAGACCCTGTCTCTAAATAAATAAATATGGAACATTTTAAATATGAAATGAAATGTATGTTTATTATGAAAAAATTAAATATTGTAGATTGGTAAGAAGAAAATGGACGCCCCCTAGCACCCTTTGTGATATGGATAGGCTTTGTGTCCACACCCACACCTCATCTTGACTCACAATCCCCAGGTGTCAAGGAGAGATGAGGTGGAGATAATTGAATCATGGGGGTGGTTCCCCCATCCTGTTCTCAGTGATAGTGAGTGCATTCTCACAAGATGTGTTAGATTTATAAGGGGCTCTTCCCCCTTTGCTCGGCACTTCTCTTTCCTGCCACCTTGTGAAGAAGGTGCCTTGCTTCCCCTTCCCCTCCTGTCATGCTTGTAAGTTTCCTGAGGGCTCCCCAGCCATGCTGAACTGTGAGTCAATTAAACCTCTTATAAATTACCCAGTCTTGGGCAGTTCATTATAGCAGTGAGAAAACGGACCAGTCGTACCGTTTATCTGTTGAGAGCTTCCCGTGGGTCAGGTGTTAGGCCTGGGGCGCCACGGTGAGCAGGTCCCTCATGGTCCCTCTTCTTGGAAACTGTGGAGGTGTCCTGTTGGGGAGCAGGGTGCGCCGAGGTGGCCATTCACAGTGCTGAGACTAGAGTGTGTGAGAGGAAGCCACGCGGAGTGGAATCTGCTGAAGCTATGTACCTGGAGAGCACAGCATGCACCCGGCGGGGCCAGTCTAGCTGGAGTGGCTTGTGGTGGACAGTGGGAGGCCATGGAAAGACTTATGGAAAGTGAGTTCTGGAATGTTCCTGCTGGAGGTGTCAGGAGGGGTGGTCTGGAGGCGGGAAGCTTTTGCAACAATCCAGGCATTGGATGCCAGTAGCCTGAGTCAGGAGAAGGCAGCAAGTTTAGAGGAGTGAGTGGGGCTGAAATCCAGGTAGGAGAGGCAGTGGACAGGTGCTGACAGCCGGATGGGGTGGGCAGGGGAGGTCCCCGCTGTAGAAGACCCATCCTGGGCTGCAGTGTGGGGAACGGTTTGGAGTTGGGGAGCCCAGTGAGAAGCTGGTGGTGTTGGCAATCCAGGCCACATGTCAGTTCCCTGTGGCCTTGGGGACAAGGATGGTGTGCTGGGACTGAGAGGTTTGGAGGCCTGGCAGGTGTGCAGAGAGGAGCACAGGCTCAAGCCAGGTTCCTGGTTTTGGGGAGCAGGGTTGGCACTGGTGCCAGAGTAGAGCCATGGGTCTGTGTGGGAGGATGGTGAGTCCAGGTGCCAGCACGCAGAGTTTGAAGATGGAGCAGGACAGACGGTTGCCAGGACTCAGGTCTGGAAGCTCAGGCAAGAGATACAGGCCAATAGTTCCCTTTTCAGACTATCTGTGGAGAAAGCCTAAATTAACCCAGAAGTAGATGAGCCAAGCCGTGGTTCAGAGGGAGAAGAGAAGAGTGCGTTGAGCTAACCCGGAAGTAGATGAGCCAAGCTGTGGTTCAGAGGGAGAAAAGAAGAGGGCGTTGAGCTAACCCGGAAGTAGATGAGCCAAGCTGTGGTTCAGAGGGAGAAGAGAAGAGGGCGTTGAGCAACTCCAAGGATGGCTGCTCTAAAGAGGTCAAGGAGAAGGGTCTGGGAGAGGTGGGAGGGTGATGTCCTGGTGCCAAGGGACAGTGCTGGGGTCCTCTGTCTGGAGAGCTGTGCGGACAGGCAGTCTGGCGAGGACTACACAGTGATGGGGTGGGGCGGGTCAGAGCGCCGTGGGGAGCTGAGGGGACATAGGAGCAGCAAGGGAACAGCGTTCCTTCAAGGAGCCAGCTGTGGAGGGGCCAGAGGGTATCTCTGAGGAACCCACTGCCCCTTGCTGTGGCCAGGCATTGCTTACTCAGCAGGCCGTGGGGTTTGTTGGCATCTGGCACTGTGAACAGCACTTGGTGGACCCTGTAACTCATTCTTAGTGCATGCTTTAAATTACTTGGGATGAATTGCTAGAACTAGGATTATGTTGCCGAAGCTTACTATGTACTCGAAGGGTCTGTGTGTCCTCCCACGTTTCCTCTGGGAATGTGGCAGGGTGGACACTTGCAGGTGGTGCTGCAGACCAGCCTTGCCCTCGCGCCCGTGACTCTGGCAAGGACCAGGCAGGCCCAGGACCCCGCTCTCTGTGCTTCTTTGACCACAGGGAGTCTCCTGTGTTTACTGACTGTTTTCTTTGTGAGTAGCCTCTGTGTGCACTTAAGTATTTGTAAAGTGATTCATCATTTTTGGCATTCATTTGTGAGGTCTTTGTATATTAACCCTTTGTCGTGTGTTGCAAACACACGCCAGGTTTTCGTTCTTTGTCTTTTATACAAAGAAGCTGAAATATTTTCTGATTTCAAAGATACCTTAACTCTTTTTCTTGTAATTTCTGCCTTTGTCATCGTACTTTGGAAGTACAATTGCCCCTCAGTTGACACAGAGGATTGGTTCCAGGACCTCCATATATAGTCAAGTCCACATGCACTCACGCCCCAAAGTGGATCCTTCCAACCTGCTTATATGTAAAGTTAGACCTCCGTATACATGAGTTTCCTAGCCCTCGAATACTGTATTTTCAATCTGTGTTTGGTTGAAAAAAGTCTGCCTATAGGTGGACCTGCTCAGTTCAAACCCGCGTTGTGCAACGGCCAACTGTAATTCTTTCCCCCAGAACTATGCATCTACCTACATACTCTTTCCGTGCTTTTAGGATTTAATTTTATTTTGAGATCCATAATCCATTTATGCATGATACTGGTACAGGTAGGAATCTAGCTTTTGTGCTTCTCTAGATGTTTGCCTGGTTGACCTAGTCCCACTGTTCATTGTAAAACAAGGTATCTGTGTCTCCTCATGTCTTACTTCTGGTCATCGTCCTCTGTGCCACTTACCTACAATCTATTCCTTTGTTGTTACCAAACTGCTCTGTTTGCTATAGCCCTGTAACCCACTTGTATTTGCTGGCACAAGACCCAGCAGCACGCAACTTTTTAAAACAAGCCTTTTCACTCATAGGAGATTGTGTTTGCTTCCAGCATTATTCAGGCAGGTTTATCAATTAATCAAGAAACTGCCATCGACAGAAGAGATTCTGAATCACTTATTATAGCATATTCCCAGTCTTAAGAGAAAATTTTGCATCTTCCCTTGCGGTGGAGGTGGGAGAGTCTTACTCAGTGTGAGACGGCTGTTGGGGTCCGAGCCTCAACTTCAAGGTTCCCCAAAGGCAGGAGGGAGGCCTGCGTGTGCCCTGGCCCTGCAGCACCGGCACTGACTTGGGAGGCGGGGAGCCTGCGCACGTAGTGTGGGGGGCCCAGTCTCTACACAGCTGTCCAGCTGTCCTTGCCGATTGCTTTAGGAGGTTCACTCATCTTTGTAACCCTTCCTGTCTTGGACAGCAGTAGTGCCTGTGACCAGTGTGTTTGTGAGGACGAAGTGGCTCTGTGCACACAGCTGGCCCCTGAGAAATGCCAGCTGCCAGTTCTGTGTGCATCCAGTCGTTGCACACGGACTGGACTATTTTCTAAGTGGTGCTTTTAAGAAACCAAGTGTCAGCTGGGCGCTGTGGCTCACGCCTGTAGTCCCAGCACTTTGGGAGGCCAAGGCGGGTGGATCATGAGGTCAGGAGATCGAGACCATCCTGGCTAACACGGTGAAACCCCGTCTCTACTAAAAAATAGAAAAAAATTAGCCGGGCGTGGTGGCGGGCACCTGTAGTCCCAGCTACTCGGGAGGCTGAGGCAGGAGAATGGCTTGAACCCGGGAGGCGGAGCTTGCAGTGAGCCGAGACCGCGCCACTGCACTCCAGCCTGGGCGACAGAGCGAGACTCCCTCTCAAAAAAAAAGAAAAGTAACCGAGTGTCTGAAAGCTTTGTTTTTTCTGAGTTATCCTGTGGCGGCTCAGATCCTGGTGTCATTTGTGCCCCTTCTTGCCAGTTCTTAGAAAAGCAGCACATTCAGGATTTCATTTACCTTTTCTAAAGCAGGGTTGATGCCATTCAATCAATGGAATTCACTGTTGTCCTGGCATAAAGCCCACATGCTTTTGTGTTTGTGTGTGTGTGTGTGTGTGTGTGTTTGTTTGTTTGTTTGGAGACAGTCTTGTAGAGACGGAGTTTCACCACGTTGTCCAGTCTGGTCTCAAACTCCCGACCTCAAGCCGTCTGCCCACCTCGGCCTCCCAAAGCGCTGGGATTACAGGCATGAGCCACTGTGCCCTGGGCATCCCCATTGCTTTTGAGCTAACAAAGACATCGATCCCTGGATTTCTCTTGGTGTCAAGACCTTGGCGCCACTGCTTCCAGAAGTGGCCTCTGGCGGGTGGCGAGGTGTTGGGGCCACAACCTCCGACCTCCTGGTGCCTCGCTCCAGGTGGAGATAAAGCTGCTGACACTTTGACGGCTGCCAAACTTAGAATTAAGACAACCTCCTCCCAGCGCATTCCAACTGACATTTTCTAAGGCCCATAAAAAGTAATTGCCTTTTAAAATGGTGTGTAGGCCTAGGGATTGGCTGGCGAAAACATCTGAGTGAAGGCTTGGGGGAGAGGTAGAAGTGACCTGTTTCCCCAGGGAGGAAAGGGGGATACAACACCTTTATTTTCTTGGGGAGTGGAAAAGATGCAGTTGGGTAGTTAAGTTTGAAAGAGAATAGCATGACACAAAAAAGAGAGAGGGGCATTTAACAAGAAAAATCCCTAGAGGGGGAGATTAAAGTGAACAGGTGCTGGAAAAATGTTTCTGCATATTAGAGCTTAATTAGATTTGAAGATGAATTCCAGATGGGCTAATTATGTGTGAGTTGTTGCAGGTTTATTTCTTGTAGGGGCAAGCCTGTATTTTTGGAAATGGTGATTTAGTTTGACTGGATTTGATTTTTGCCTCCTACCAAATCTCCATTGAGAAACCACCTCTTTTGGGGCCCCAGGACCCCGTGCAGTAGGCCCTGTGTCTTTAGCGCCCCCATCACAGCCAGCAGAGCGCAGAATGCGGAAGCCCATCCTGACTGGCAGCCACTCGTCACGTGGAAGGAGGACACACGACCCTCACCCAAGTCGGTGGAAAGTCATTTCAGTGTCCAAGGAAGGCAAACAGAGCAGAGCTGTGTATTTGCAGGAATGTAGCCTTTGATGGGGCGGGGAGCAATACGTGAAATGGAAATAGAGTCCAGGTTCATTCTCCTGCCCTCCTGGAAACATCAGTGGGATCTATTTGGACCATTTTTCTCTGGGAGGGTAGAGGCAAGTTCTTGTTGGCAGCTCTCTAGCTGTGAGTAGAGAAAAGGTGTGAGGGTATGGAGAACTGAGACACATTTCAGGCCAGAAATTGAATTTAAAAATTTTTTATTATTTTTTAAGACTAGTCAAGTACAATAGTGAGGAAAGGGGAGAGAGTAGAACAAGGAGTTGGATCTGTAACTGACTGTTAACAATCATCTGAGGTAACTCACCACCTTCGGACCAGCCAGAATTTAATTTTCAAGCAAGAAACAGGGCCAAGGGCCAAATGGGGGCCTGGGGCTTCTCATTAGGGTAATGGACTTGGTTTGACTTGGGAACAGCTTGTGATGATTGTCTCAGAAGACAGCGGGGCTTCCTGACATCCCCAGGAAGGTGTGGTTGTGATGGGGGTGGCCTCCTGTCACCCTGCACACCTCAGGGAGATTTGCTTGGCAATCATTTCGGGTCTGAGAGCTCCAATAAACGTAAACTTTTATGTAAGGCCCTATAATTGGAAATTATGGATGTATAATTTATATATGACTTAATGAATGATTTATATAATGTTAAGTGATGATTTAGATAGAAAATGTGATCCCCTCTTGCAGAATCTTTAATGAAAAGCTTTGGTTCTTATGAATTTATTTCTGGAGCTCTGTTTGAACTCAGCATGTTTGACATAAATCAGATCTAATTGTCATTTTATGATTAATGAACATATGCTGGCCGTTTTTCCCCATAATTAAACTTTATGTTCTGTGCATCTGACAAAGCAAAACAAGTTGAGACTTTGACAGATTGGTGTGGGGTTCCCGTGTCTTCATATTTGTGTGTGCGCTCATTTGTGCATGCCTTTATTTTATTAATGTCCAAGTACTCGGTTTCTGGAAAGTCGGGTTTTCAGAGGTGTGAGTAAGATTCTAAGAGTTAGCATTCAGACTGTGAGGATTCATGTGCTTTTGGAGGATAGACAGGGCACAGGTCCAACCTGAGGGGAACGCAGACCCTTCTGCCTGTCGCAGATCGCGCCTGAGTGCCAGGCCAAGCGCCATGGGTGGAGAGGAGGCATTTGATGTGCTCTCCCAGTGGGGAGTCCCAGTGCCCGAGAGCACGACTGCTTTTTCAGGCTGTGGTTATAATGAGCTCCAAGAAATGGTGGAAGGTGGTTTTACTGCAAAAATATGCACGTTTTCCTTTCTGCTATCCATACACTTCAATAAGATTTGAAGTAATTTAAAAAGTGAAGGCCGGACGCGGTGGCTCACGCCTGTAATCCCAGCACTTTGGGGGGCTGAGGCGGGTGGATCACGAGGTCAGGAGATCGAGACCATCCTGGCAAACACAGTGAAACCCTGTCTCTACTAAAAAATACAAAAAAAATTAGCCGGGCGTGGTGGCGGGCGCCTGTAGTCCCAGCTACTTGGGAGGCTGAGGCAGGAGAATGGTGTGAACCTGGGAGGCGGAGCTTGCAGTGAGTGGAGATCACGCCACTGCATTCCAGCCTGGGCGACAGCACAAGACTCTGTCTCAAAAAATAAATAAATAAATAAATTAATTAATTAAATAAAAGGTGAGACAAGCATGTGAAAGGAAAATCATTACTACTGATCGTCTTTGCTCACCGCTGTTCCCCTCTGACTATTGCAGGACGTAGACAAGTTTGGCAACGAGATCACCCAGCTGGCCCGGCCCCTGCCTGTGGAGTATCTCATCATAGACGTAAGTGCCCCCCATGCACAGCTTGGGCAGGTGGACCCATTGGGCGCCTTGTAGGTGGGACTGCTGGGTGGTGGCTGCTCAAGGGAGGAGGCTGCAATTTAAGGCACCCTCTGCCTTGAGCAGTGCCCACCCCAGAACAGGCACCCAGGAGGTGGTTGTAGAATCACTGAGCATGCGGTGTTGCTGAAATGCTCACAGTTTTAAGGGCTTTTTGTTTTAGTCTCAGGTTTTTATTTCCTTGACGTCAACCTAGGGGTTAACTGTCCCCATACTAAAGTACAAAGGACCACTGACCCCAGGCTAGGCAGCCTCTGGAAGGCAGCGAACCCCCATTGCTTGGGTCTCCAGTCACCGGAGCATCAAGCAGTCTTGTCCAGATGTGCTGTGCTTGGTGTGTGGCTGTCAGCTGTCCTGCACGTGCAGGTGCTTGCCCTAGCCCCAGCACAGCTGCCACAGCCCACAGTGTGTCTGGGTCACTCCGTCCAGGGTGGTCCCCAGGGGACACACCTGTAACTCAGTGTTCTTGAGTGAGGGCTCAGCGTGGTTTACTGGGTGGAACTCCAGGAGCCACAAAGGCCCCTGGCTCTTCCACATCTTCCCTGTGTCTCAGCTCCTTTTTGGAGGCATTTTATGGTCATGGAGACATGGCTGTACCATTGGCCACAGGGCAGCAAGGATGGCAGGATGAGCCTTTGCAGAAGCCAGTGCATCAGCCCCACCGGAGCTCTGTCCAAAGCGGACGGGAGGCGGCTCATTTCCTATGCTGCTGCCACGCCAGGATCTATTCAGGCTGCATTTGAAATTGGATGGGCACGTGATTCAGGCAGTAAAATATCATTGCATTCGGAACAGCAGGTCCCCACGAGCCAAGCCCATCGATGCACCATTCCAACTGACAGCTCCCGAGAACATATTTATTACCTAGGCCGTGAAGGCATCTGGTTTTTAGACTACCTAGGGTGTAATTAAGATGAAAACAGATTGATGGAGCATGCACCCAGGAGGAGCAGGCATGATTTAAAACCAGCTTTCTCAGGTCTTCTACCCCAAGCAGCCTCCCCACTTCTTTCCTCTTCTTTTATAAAGGAAGTTAAGTTTTTGCCTTAGTGCAGTTTTTCAGAAGTACTTGTTTGTGGGAGAGCATTCTGCTCTGTGATGCCCAGGCTCCTTGACCCTGTGGAAGTGAGGCATGGGGAGTCCTTGAGAGCAGGTGCCCAGAGAGGTGTGTCAAGCTCCATGCCCAGCCCTGGGCCACAGGCGCTGGCCTCAGCCAAGGTTCTTAAACCTTGGGATGGGATGGCTGGGCAGGCAGGAAAAGGCACCAGCCAGTGTTACTGGGGTTTCTTTGTGGGTTCTGGGGGCATCATCTGGCTGATAGACGATGGGTAGGGTAGGGAAATGGCTTCAGTGTAAGATGGGAGCTGATGCCCTTCCTTGGGACATCTGGGATGGGCTGTGTGGACTTTGGTTCTGTTCCCCTCCAAGGGCCAGTTACAAGGCCAGCAAGAGCCCCCGTCAGTCCCACTAGCTCACTCACTAGCACGTGTTCTGGGGGTGCCGCCTTCTTCATTTCTAGGCCTTCCCAAGGGACGCGCCTGAGCAGGCCAGGCTTTTGTCTCTGCAGGAGGTCAGCACCTCCCCTGTCTTCAGCTGGGACCCAGCACTGTGTGTACCAACACTATGTGTACCAGCCCCGTGCTGGGCACCCAGGAGGCGAGTACTCCGATCATCTTCATCCTGAGGAAGAGTAAAGTGAGGCCCAGGATCCCTAACTGACGAGGCCATGTAGCCGACACGTGGCACCGCGGCCCGAGTCTTCATGACCCACCCCGCCGCTTGCCCATGAAGGGCCAGCTCAGGCCAGAGATGCTGCTGGTGGCTCAGCTGTCCTTCCACAGCGGCTGGCGCTGGCACAGCAAATCCTGGGCCAGCTAGCTCAACAACTCACTGCCTTTGCTGATGCAGAAAACAGACCAGAACCACACTCATTCTTTAGAAATAGTCCCAAAGGAACCAGAATAGTTCCCCTAAATCTGGAAGAGGTGTGACCTCTGCTGCTGCTGTTGTGTTGCAGAGAAAAGCAGCATCAACTCAACTCGGTGCTGCTTTGGGGAGGGGTGTCTGTCACGAAGAATAAAAGTGGTATTTCTATTGATTCTTGCACATTTACCACTGTCCCTGTAGCATCTATTGATTATATCTTAGGTGCAAAGTGCCCTCTGTTGTCATTAAGGCCTGTCTGAGCCAGTGAAGGACTGAAGGACTTAGCTGGCCTTTGGGTATCAGCTCTGAGGGAGAGAGAAGAGCTGAACCCTGTGTTCCTCAAGGGCCTTACATTCACCCCTGCCTGGAAAAGCCCACAGCTCCGTGGAGTGGCTCCCAGCATTCAGAAGGGGCTTAGTGAGCTGCTGAAGGGTGCTTTGTGTCTTGAAAGCTGGCTGATTGCTCATTTGCCCTCCGAATCCAATGACACGAATCTCTCTTGAGCAAAGTCAGCTCCTGGGGCGGCCTCCTGGCCCTTCCGTTCCTTTCCTGTCACCTGGCCAAGGGGCCAAACCAGCCTTTCGTTCCTCCATAGCAGAGGGAGAGAACCTGTGTGACTCTGAAGGGAAGCTGTGCCACGAGGGGAGTCCCAGTGCCCTTTTTGTCCGACGTCGAGGCCGGTGCACAGGCCGGAGGCTGCCCGGATATGGTGTAGTTTGTCTCCAGGATGGCGGAGTTTCCAAGTGTTCGTTTAGAGATGACACTAATAGATAACGGTTCCCTTTGATGGAGAGCTTGTAGAACATTCTCAGAATTGCTAGGAGTCGTTAATTTGGGCTCTGGGAGATGCTCTGGGCTGGCTGGGAGTCGGCCACACCATTTTCAGCCTCATTTATCATGGGTTTGTGTTTTTCTTCATTAGATCACAACAACTTTCCCCAAGGATCCAGTTTACACTTTTTCTATTTCGCAAAATCCATTTCCTATTGAAAACCGGGATGTATTGGGTGAGACACAGGTGAGCTCTTTGTCTTTAGAAACATAATTTAAGGTAACTGCTGATTGTTATCTAGTGTCAGTATTGTTTTTCCAGAAAACATCAAGCTTTCAAATGCTCCCGATTCATTCTTGTGACAGGCCAGCTAGGGCCTACTGTGGGGCACTGCTGGTCACGTGGACGCCCTTCCCATGGCTAGGTGATGGACGGCCACAAAGGCTAATCCCCTGACGTCCTGACTGGCCACATCTTCAGTGGACCTCGTAATTTTCCCAAATGTGTTGCTTTGTGTCTTCTGCCAGCAGCCTCGTCACTGTTGGTTTGGCCTGGCCCCTGCCTGGTCACCTGCTGCCCTTCTTAGGCACCTTGGGGCTGTGTGGCCCCTCTCGGCCTGGCCTCGGCTTTCCCGTGTGTAGTGTTGATCTGCTGCTTAGCGTGGCTCCCGTGTTGGCCTCTGCTCTCACTGGCAGATCAGGCCAGGTCCGATTTGCTGTCACGCCTGCATACTGTGTAGACAGGCTGTGTACACATGGTTGTTCTTAAATCATAACTTGCTAACAGACATTTCAGAAGGTGGTCAAAGAATGTCTATAATGAGGTTTTCTTCAGTGGCTGACAAAGCTTCTTCTATGCTTTGATCCCCTCAGTGCCCATCCGCCCAGGGGACTTGGGGTGCTCACAGAGGTGCAAAGCCAGTTATTGGGGTGCACTCTTGAAGCTCTGTGTTTGGTTCTGCTGAAGATGTCCGTGCTGCATCACGGCTGCCCTGCACATTCCTCCCTCTTGCTGCCCTAGATGGAGAATACAGCTCGACAGGAAAAGTCAGACCTGTCTCCCTGCCGTGAAGGGGGCCCCAGGCCCCTCCCGCAGCCCACTCTCCACCGGGGGACCAGGGCGCATTTCCATGTTTGTGTCTCTGTCTGAGTCAGCCTTTTTTTTTTTTTTTTTTTTTTTTTGGAAGACAGAGTCTCACTCTATCACCCAGGCTGGAGTGCAGTGGTGCGATCTTGGCTCACTACAACCTCCACCTCCTGGGTTCAAGCGATTCTTCTGCTTCAGCCTCCTGAGTAGCTGGGATTATAGGTGCGCGCCACCAAGCCTGGGTAATTTTTTTTGTATTTTTAGTAGAGACGGGGTTTCGCCATGTTGGCCAGACTGGTCTCGAACTCCTGACCACCTGCCTGCCTCGGCCTCCTAAAAAGTGCTGGAATTACTGTGTTAGCCTCCACACCTGGCCAGTCTGAGTCAGCTTTATAAGCATGTCTCCTTGCACATCTGGGTAGTCAGGTGTGCTGAGAGCATCTTCTTGGGAGAAGAGAGCAAGAGCTTGCTTTGCAGCTGCCTGCTCCTCTTTCTTGGACCCTGTTCGTGGTTGCAGAGGCAGAGGGAGAGGTGTCTCAGCATTCAGTGTATTGAGTTGCGTCTTAGTAGGAAACAGCTCTGTTTCGGGGTCTGGCACTGGGGAACTGTATGGAACATTCATGTTTATTCCCATTCCTCTAGGACTTCCATAGCTTGGCCACCTATTTGTCTCAGAATACCTCATCTGTGTTCTTGGATACCATCTCAGATTTCCACCTCTTGCTGTTCCTGGTCACCAATGAAGTTATGCCTCTGCAGGTGCGTGTCCAAGTGTGGTGTCCACTTGAGCAAGTGGGCTTTGGCTGCAAAGAGACGCCTGTGTCTTGCTTTCTTTCCTCCCAGACCAGAGCATGATTGGGAAACTGGGTCAAAGCTCGGGGTCACAGGTTGTCCCCCTCATTTGTCCTATGGGCAGAGTGTAGGCAGCAGCTTTTCACAAGAAGCTTGTTGATAGAAAGATTAATTTTTTCACCTTTAGCATTTCCATTGAGTGTCTGCACCTCTGTGAGGAAGTACGGTTTCATCTGTTACAATCGAATGGGAAGCAGAGGTGATTTAGCTCTGCCTCCAGCATTAGAGTTAGACAGTTTAAAAAATTCCTGTTCTAACAGTTTCAGAGTCACAGCCTCTGCTTTTTACTCATATCTCCCCTCCTCCTAAATCAACTCTGGTTTTATTGCCTTGGCCCAGAAGGCTTGGCCAGCTTCCAGACCCCAAGCTCACAGCTGCACAGTTGGCATTTTTAAGAGACACCGTTGGGGGAGAAGAGGGCGAGTGCTTTGCAGAAGTGGCTGCTCTGGGTAGTGGGGGCCAGTGGGCAGCAGCCCCCAGGAGGTTCTTGCCGTGTGTAGGGGTCCGACTTTGGCTTTTTCTTCACTGTTCAAGCCAACAGGAAATGCCAAAGAGAAAGGAGCAAATTCTTTCTGAGCTGCTCCGCCACTGACTCAGAACTTTTCCCTGAAGGAGACAGAATAGAGAGGCTCCTCCTCCCCCGGCCTTTCTCTGTCAGGAAGCCTATAGCTGTTCTTGTATCCTGCTAGTTTATTTTGTGTCTGTATTTTGTCTCAAAACCACTCACTCGGGTATTTGACATCAGGCACCCTGTGCCTCTTCCCTGCCTGTGCCTTCCCTAGTCAGCCCAGGGAACTGCACCTCCTGCTCCGAGGTTCAGCTGCTGCCCATCTGTCTGGACAGGTGGTGAAAGGTGAGGCTCCCTCTACACCAGAGCCACCTTGCTAGTATACTGCACTATTTTTGCAGTCATCTGTTGGAAGACATTCTCTGGAGGTACTGAGAGCTCCTGAAGGCTTTATCCGTTTCTCATATATGAATTATTTTTTTTTAAGACGGAGTCTCGCTCTGTTGCCCAGACCGGAGTGCATTGGCGCAATCTTGGCTTACTGCAACCTCCGCCTTCTGGGTTCAAGCGATTCTCCCGCCTCAGCCTCCCGAGTAGCTGGGATTACAGGTGCCCGCAACCACGCCTGTCTAATTGTTGTATTTTTAGTAGAGACGGGGTTTCGCCACGTTTGCCAGGCTGGTCTCAAACTCCTGACCTCGTGATCTGTCTGCCTCTGCCTCTGAAAGTGTTGGGATTACAGGCGTGAGCCACTGCGCCCATCCTTAATGCATTAATCCCCTGCAGTTTGACTCGGAAGGCTAGGATAGAGAGTGCATTTTTCCAGACACGAGAGGAGAAAGAGGCAGAGGGATGAAATGTGAGGGAGGAGGACACGTCTCACAGTCAAGACTTCCGCCCTCCATCCCAGCCTCCAGGACGAGAGGCATGAGCTCCTATCCTCCGGGCTGTTGAGCACCGTCAGCACAAGGCAGAGGCACAGATGCCCGCTTGGGCCTATTTGGGAAGAATTTAAATTCTAGTTCAATTTAGCACTTGCGTTTATAGATGTAAGTTGTGGCAGTTTGCATTTTATAGTGATAGCCTGTAAGATTTTTAAAATGTCCTCAGAAATACGTCTTGATGTTGGGGAGAAAGAAACCTGTTCTAGCAGGAAGCTGCTCACCTTAGGCACAGCGAAGAGGAACCTTCCTTTTGGCTTCTTGTAGGACAGCATCAGCTTGCTGCTGGAGGCCGTGCGGACCAGAAATGAGGAGCTCGCCCAGACATGGAAGAGGTCTGAGCAGTGGGCCACCATCGAGCAGCTGTGCAGTGAGTACCCCCACCCCCTGCCCCGGCACCCCGTGGCTGGGGCCGGAGAGCAGCCCACTCTGCACAGCTCCCCACTGCCGGTGGTGCCCTGGATTCCGCACCCAGCTGCATCCTGGCAGGTGCCATCGGCAATGCAACGAGTAGAGACTCGGCCTCCCTGCCAGGCACGTGGCAGGCTCCGGTGATGGAGCAGACATGTTGTCCAGGCCGTACGTCTTAGGTACACAGCCCTGTAAATTTTATAAACCTGTACATCAGAGATACTAATCTCCAGGCATCCTAGGAGCACTTTGAACATCATTGTCTTAAGAGAATCAGAAACTTTATGGAAGCGCCGGAAGCGTGGGACCTTTTGGTCTCCTTGAGAATTTCCCTTTAGTGCTTAAAGCTGTAAGGAGGAGAAGCCTGCAGCATCCATGTTGTTGCTGGTGGACACTACGGAACGGACCGCAGGCATTGCGTGTCTTCCGGACCCTCAGTCACCAGGTCCTGAACGATTCCCCACTCGTGAGAACCTTCTGTCAGCATTGCTGCAGGGACTCCTCACGCACCGTGGTGCCTCGTGCAGCCCGAGTGCCCTGAGTCCCTGCAGCTGAGAGCACCAGAGTGCCCGGGAGCTACGGCCCTGGACAAATGCTAGAATCCTTCTGTTAACACAGCCTTCAAAAGACACATCAAACACCTTTATACCATTTCCTGTTTTTTTTTTTTTTTTTGAGACGGAGTTTGGCTCTTGTCACCCAGGCTGGAGTGTGGTGGCGTGATCTTGCCTCACTGCAACCTCCACCTCCTGGGTTCAAACGATTCTCCTGCCTCAGCCTCCTGAGTAGCTGGGACTACAGGCATGTGCCACCATGCCTGGATAATTTTTGTATTCTTAGTAGAGCCAGGGTTTCACCATGTTAGCCAGGCTGGTCTCGAACTCCTGACCTTGTGATCTGCTTGCCTCTGCCTCCCAGAGTGTTGGGATTACAGGTGTGAGCCACCACGCCCAGCCGAGGTTTTCTTTTCACACAATTCTTTGTTTATTATTTTTATTTTTGTAGAGACAGGGTCTCACTCTATTGCCGAGGCTGGAGTGCAGTTGCACAATCGTAACTCACTGCAGCCTCAAACTCCAGGCTCAAGTGATCTTTCTGCTTCAGCCTGCTGAGTAACTGGGACCACAGGCTTGCAACACCACACCCAGCTAATTCTTGGGGCTTTGTTGTTGCTTTTTATTTGTTTGTTTTTTAAAAATAATTTTAACTTATTTTAGATTCACAGGGTACATGTGCAGGTTTGTCACCTGGGTATATTGCCTGATGCTGAGGTTGGGGTATGATTGATCACATCACCCAGGTACTACACATAGTACCTAATAGTTTTTCAGCCCGCCCTGCTCTTTGTGTGTGTGTGTGTGTGTGTGTGTGTGTGTGTGTTTTGAGCTGGAGCCTCACCCTGTCTCCCAGGCTGGAGTGCAGTGGCGCAATCTTAGCTCACTGCAAACTCTGCCTCCTGGGTTGAAGCAATTCCCCTCCCTCAGCCTCCCGAGTAGCTGGGATTACAGATGTGTACCACCACACCTGGCGTTGCCATCTTTATGTACGTGAGTACCCATGTTTAGCTCCCACTTATAAATGAAAACATGTAGTATTTGGTTTGCTGTTCCTGCATTAGTTTGCTTAGAATAATGGCCTTCAACTGCATCCATGTTGCTGCAAAGGACATGATTTCATTCCTTTTTATGGCTGCAAAATTTTTTAATATTTTTGTATCAATGAGGTCTCACTGTGTTGCCCAGACTGGTCTCAAACTTTGGCCTCAAGCATTCCTTGCACCTCAGCCTCACAAAGTCCTGAGATTATACCTGGGAGCCACTGCACCCAGCCCTTTGATGCAGTTCTAACAATGACACCAGTCTTTTTTTTTTTTTTCTTTTTTGTTTCCCTTTTAGAGACAGGGTTTCACTCTGTTGCCTAGGCTGGAGTGCAGTGGAGTGATCATAGCTCACTACAGCCTTCAATTCCTGAGCTCAAGCGATCCTCCTGCATCAGCTTTCGGAGTACCTAGGAGTATAAACATGAGCCACTACACCCAACTAATGTTTTTGGTTGGTGTTTTTTTTTTTTCTTTAAGAGATAGGGTTGGCCGGGCCCGGTGGCTGGCTCACACCTGTAATCCCAGCACTTTGGGAGGCTGAGGCAGGTGGATCACAACGTCAAGGGATTGAGACCATCCTGGCCAACATGGTGAAACCCCATTTCTGTTAAAACTACAAAAATTAGCTGGGCATGGTGGCGAGCGCCTGTAATCCCAGCTACTCAGGAGGCTGAGGCAGGAGAATCACTTGACCCAGGAAGCGTAGGTTGTAGTGAGCTGAGATCGTGCCACTGTACTCCAGCCTGGGCGACAGAGCAAGACTCTGTCTCAAAAAAAAAAAAAAGATGTGGTCTTGCCATGTTGCCCAGGCTGGTCTCAAACTCCTAGGCTCAAGTGATCTTCCTGCCTTGGTTCCCAAAGTGCTGAGATTACAGCTGTGAGCCACTGCACCTGACCTTTTTTTTTTCCCCCCTCCTTTTTTTTTTGAGACAGGTTCTCACTCTGTCACCCAGGCTGAAGTGCAGTGGCATTTGAGGTCAGTCTCACCTTGACCTCCCCAGGCTCAAACAATCCTCCCGCCTCAGCCTCCTGAGCAGCTGGGACTACAAGCATGTGCCACCATCCCTGGCTGATTTTTTAAATTTGTTGTAGAGATGAGGTCTCACTATGTTGCCCAGGCTGGTCTTGAACTCTTGGGCCCAAGCGATCCTCCCGCCTCAGTGCTGAGATTGCAGTGGTAAGCCACCATGTCCAGCCAACTCTTTAATAATAGGCAGTTCTGACTGGTGTAAGTTCTGACTGGTATCTCACTGTGGTTTTAATTTGCATCTCTGATGATTAGTGATGTTGGGCATTTTTTCATGGGTTTTTTGTTTGTTTGTTTTGAGACAAAGTCTTGTTCTGTTGCCCAGGCTGGAGTGCAGTAGTGTGATCTCAGCTCACTGCAGCCTCCACCTCCCGGGTTCAAGCCATTGTCCAGCCTCTGCCTCCTAAGTAGCTGGAATTACAGGTGGCTGCCACCACACCCAGCTAATTTTTTTAGTTTTAGTAGAGACAGGGTTTCTCCATGTTGGCCAGGCTGGTCTCAAACTCCTGACCTCAAGTGATCCACCCACCTCGGCTTCCCAAAGTGCTGGGATTATAGGTGTGAGCCACCGCGCCCGGCCCTCATGGGTTGTTTTGTTTTGTTTTGAGACGGAATCTCACCCTGTCACCCAGGCTGCAGTGCAATCTCATGATCTCCACTTACTGCAACCTCCACGTCCTGGGTTCAAGTGATACTCCTGCCTCAGCCTCCCGAGTAGCTGGGACTACAGGCGTGCACCCACGCCTGGCTAATTTTTATATTTTTAGTAGAGATGGGGTTTCACCATGTTGGTCAGGCTGGTCTGGAACTCCTGACCTCAGGTGATCCACCTGCCTCGGTCTCCCAAAGTGCTGGGATTACAGACGTGTATACACAAGACACAAAGATCAGCTCAGGATGGGTCATAGGCCTAATGGTAAAAGGTAAAACTATGAAGCAGGCTGGGCATGATGTCTCATAGCTATAATCCTAACACTCTAGGAGGCCAAAGCTGGAGGACACTGTAGCCCAGAAGTGTGAGACCAGCCCACACAGCATAGTGAAGCCCCGTCTGTACAAAAAAACAATATTAAAAAAAAAAGAATTAGCTGGGCATGGTGAGTGGTCCACGCCTATAATCCCAGCTTCTGGGGAGGCTGAAATGGGAGGATCCCATGAGTCAGGAGGTCGAGGTCACAGTGAGCCATGATTATACCACTCCAGCCTGAATGACAGAGCAATACCCTGTCTTAAAAAAATAAAAACTGTAAAACAGTTATTAAGTTGAATCTCTTCAGGGCCTTGGGGTACGCAAAGATTCTTTTAGGCAGGATGCAGGACCTTGGGGTAGAACACAGAAAAACACTGGCATAAAAATAGGTAAATTGATAAATAAATTTATCTAAACAAAACACTTGTGCTCATCACAGGGCACTGTTAGAAACATGAAAAGGCACCAATGGGGGACGCAGTATTAGCAGTACATACACACAACATGACTTCTATCTGAAACTTAAAAATAACTCTGCCTGTTGTTAATCAAACAGAAAGCAGAAGAAGAAGCTGGGCGGAGGGTGAAACGTTTCACAAAAGGAAATGCAGGTCGGGCATGGTAGCTCACGCCTGTAATCCCAGCACTTTGGGAGGCCGAGGCGGTGGATCATTTGAGGTCAGGAGTTCGAGACAGCCAGGCCAACATGGTGAAAACCCATCTCTACTAAAAATAAAAAAAATTAGCCAGGTGTGGTGGCACGTGCCTGTAATCCTAGCTACTTGGGAGGCTGAGGTAGGAGAATCGCTTGAACCCAGGAGGCAGAGGTTGCAGCGAGCCGAGATTGCGCCATTGCACTCCAGCCTCGGCAACAACAAAAAAAAGGAGATGCAGGAACAGTCACTATCATTAGTCATCAGGGAAATGCAAATTAAAACATGAGAAGCCGTTACACATTCATCAGTGTGGCTGAAATGAAAAAAACGCGACAATGTCAAGTGTGAGTGAAGATGTGAAGCAGCTGGGACTCTCGTACCTTGCGAGTGGGAGGCAAAACCGTGCCACCCTCGCGAGAACTGTGTCTCAGGGTCTTAGAAAGTTCAGCACACAATTCATTACCCTGTGGGCCGGCAGATTCATTCCTAGGTAGGTTTTTTGTTGTTGTTGTTTGTTTGTTTGTTTGTTTTGAGATCTCGGCTTACTGCAACCTCGGTTCACTGCAACCTCCGCCTCCCAGGTTCACGCCATTCTCCTTCCTCAGCCTTCCTAGTAGCTGGGATTACAGGTGCGCACCACCACCCCCAGGTAATTTTTGCATTTTTAGTAGAGACGGGGTTTCACCATGTTAGCCAGGATGGTCTCCATCTCTTGAATTTGTGATCTGCCCACCTCAGCCTCCCAAAGTGCTGGGATTACAGGCATGAGCCACCGCGCCCGGCCTGTTGTTTGTTTTTGAGATGGAGTCTCGCTGTGTCGCCCAGGCTGGAGTGAAGAGGCAGGGTCTCGGCTCACTGCAGGCTTCCCCTCCCGGGTTCATGGGATTCTCCTTCCTCAGCCTCCTGAGTAGCCGGAACGGCAGGTGTCTACCACCACGCCTGGCTAATTATTTTTAGTAGAGACCGGGTTTCGCCATGTTGGCCAGGCTGGTCTCAAACTCCTGACTTCAAGTGATCCACCCGCCTCGGCCTCCCAAAGTGCTGGGATTACAGGCGTGACCCACTGCACCCAGCCTCACTCTTTGTTTTTATCCAAGAGAAATAAAAACACAGGTCCACAAAGAAATTGTAGAAGAATGATCCTGGCAACTTTGTTCATATTAGCTCAAAACTGGAGGCTGGGCATGGTGGCTCATACCTATAATCCCAGCACTTTGGGAGGCCAAGGTGGGTGGATCACCTGAGGTCAGGAGTTCGAGACCAGCCTGGCCAACATGGTGAAACCCTAGTTCTACCAAAAAATAGATAAAATTAGCCAGGCATTGTGGTTCATGCCTGTAATCCCAGCTACTTGGGAGGCTGAGGCAGGAAAACCGCTTGAACCCGGGAGGTGGAGGTTGCAGTGAGCCGAGATCGTGCCACTGCACTCCAGCCTGGGTGACAGAGCAAGACCCTACCTCAGAAAAAAAAAAAAAAAAAAAAAGCTGGAAACAACCCAAATGCACATCCCCCGGGGAGTTACGTTATTCACAAGGAGAAGCACCCTCTGCAACAAAAAGGAACCAGCAAGCACAGGCTCCCTGTTACTCCCTGTGGTGCAGGAGGCATTTTTCTGAGGGCATTAAGCACTTCAAAGTGTGCCTGTGGTGGGAGTGCTGTGTGGGCAGGACCAGCACTGGGTGGGATGTTGGGGGCGGGGAGCTCTCAGCTGCCTGCCCCTGCCCCCATGCCCACACTCTGGCAGTCTCTGGTGGGCCAGAAATGATGAGTGCTCATTTCTCTTCCACCCTGCAGGCACAGTTGGCGGGCAGCTCCCAGGTCTCCATGAGTACGGCGCCGTCGGGGGCTCCACACACACGGCCACTGCAGCCATGTGGGCCTGTCAGCACTGCACGTTCATGAACCAGCCAGGCACAGGCCACTGCGAGATGTGCAGCCTCCCCAGGACCTAGGGCGCCTGCCCTCTGCTGGCTAGGACCGGGCCCAGCCCAGCCCTTCCTGAAGCCAGAAGCGTTGCTGAGTGTGTTCCCTGTAACTGCCCCATAGTGGGCAGCCCTGGAGGAACAAGGGGCTGGCTGTCCTGGGCTCCCTGACCCACTGAAGCTTCTCAGCACGTTCCTCCCTGGAGAGCGGGCGCCACGGCTGGTATTCTGCAGGCTGAATGCAGTCTCCAGACTGGAAACGCAGAGCGGCTCCTCACGCCTAATCCTGTTGACAAGTCCCCCGCCGTGTTGGAAAGACCTCTCGCCTCTACGTGGCACCTGGAATTGGGGCGCACAGGGAGGGGCCGATGCTGCCACCACCCAGCCTTCTCTTTATTTTCAGTGCTTTTTGTTTGGCCTCCCTGCCCCCATGTTTTTCTGGCTGGGAGCTCTTGGTTACCCCCTTGTCTGACTGCTTGGTGGCAGGCACCCTGCCTGTGAGGGCCACTTTCCTCTTCTAGTAGCTGTTGTCTGGTGGGGACGCAGTGGCCCTGGACACGGCTCCCCTCTGCAGGTCTGCAGGTCGGTTTGCTGCCTGCCCTCCTCCTCTCACCCGATGTCCAGGTGGGATTTTAAAGTCTGCATTGGTTATAATAACAGTTATCAGTAATTCCTGCCCAGAAGACTTTTATTTATTTTTTTTTAAGATAAAAACTGCACAAAAGGGGAGTGAGAGAGACTAGTTTCCACATCCTTCCCTCCTTTAGTGAAGCCCCCGAGGTTGTGTCCAGGGTGATGAGTGTGGACGGGGGCACCAGTCAGTTCTCCCTTGAAGTAAACCTCAGTGCCTGAGACTTTTCTACCAAGCCACACAGCTGCAGCAACTGCAGATACTGCGGGCTGAGCAGGAGCAGTGGTGGCGCCTGCCCTGAGGCTGCCCTGCGATGGCCTGGGTGGGAGAGCTGGGTCACCGGTGCCGATGCTCTGGCCCTCCCCAATACGCTGCTTCGTCCCACTGCACCGCCTGGCTGAGGGCGTTAGGGGCTGTGCCTCTTGTGAGGGCCATTTGGGACCTCCCTGGGGCACTGCACAATTGATAGTGTACCAATAGAGGGAGACTGGGCGATCTGGAACAGCACGTGGTGGGGTCCTGCTTGTGTGCTCTGCGTTCCTCTGTGGCGTGGCCAGGCCGGGGCATGGCTCTTACCCGGGGAGTGGTGGGCATCTCGATGCTTCTTTGCCTTAATGATGGCCACATCTGGGCTGCTCTGCACCCACGGGAGAGGCTGGCCCAGCTGCAGACTGCTTAGGGACTTCTGTGTCCATCCTGGGGGGTAAGCCCACGTGACCCACATTCTTGGCACTATGAACAGAGAACATTTGCCTGTTGGCTTCTGAAGTGGTCAGGGCCATGGCTGACACCTCCAGGTCCGCCTGGCATGGGACACCAAGTGGAAGGCCCAAGCAGCTCATCTGCTCTTGGGACCAGGGGCCAGTTGGGTTGGGTCTGGTCACGGCAGAGCTATTGTGGAGGGTCAGGAAGGGTGGAGAGGAGCTGGGTTGAAGCGGACTGCTGCGGATGCAACTCCCAGCTTGCCCACCGCGGGCTGTCTGCTCTCCCTCCTAGCAGCTGTCACACTGAAGTTTTGTCCTCTGCTGTCTCCTCTGGTCCTGAGATGAGCTGTGAGCCTAGGTGGCCAAGGCTTCCTGCATTGCTTCCCTGTGAGTCCAAGGCCTTCCCCCACCACTGGGCAGAGGCTGGACAGCACGGACTTCTAGAGAGAGCCGCGTTGCCAGTTCCTCTCCCACTCGCTCGTCCTTATCCACCACGCTATTATAGTTTCCGTTGTCCTCCACCAGCATTTCCCTTACTCTGAAGTTCCGGCATTCACATCATTCATGTTTTCTTTTGTCTTTTAGCTAAAGGAAAAGCATTGGCGATTTGTCTGATTCTGGTTTTGAGTTACTCTTTGTTCAGTAATGCACTTTATTTTATTGTCCAAAGAGAGTCAGAGCTAAGCATACAGGCTTGGGGGTGAGCCCTGCTGTGAGAGTTCAGGCCCTGGGAGGCTCAGCCACCTCCTCTTGTGGGAAGGAGGTCTCAGCCCCACCTCGCATCTTCACCTGCCCTTGGTGTGGACACACCCTCTCATGCTACCAGCACCATAATCCAGTGGGGGTGACTGGGTGCACACCTGCCCAGGTGAACACAGCGGCTGCCAGTCTCCTGGTCCCGAGAGGAGGTGGGGCCTGGCCCTGGCTCCCTCCAACCAGCTGCTCCTGGGACACAGGTGCTCCTGCTTCGGCTCTGTTTCGGCTCACAGGTGTGCATCACTGGGCTTGGATTTGCATTACATTGACCCCAGCCCTGCAGTGGAACCTAATAAAAGCGCCTGAAGCAACTGCCTGGTCCTGGTGTGTCCTTCCTGCGCACTCAACTGTTGTCTGGCATCTGCTCAGTGTGGGGGGATTTGATAACTTGTCTCCAAGATATCACTGTTTTACGTGTATGTGCATGGTCCATTTAAAGGTGGGGATCCCACTTCCCCAGCCGATCCCTCCCAACCTTGGCTCCTCGATAAGTTTCTTAAAGTGCTAACATCTGGGGGAGGAGGAGAGTGCGTCAGTGTTTGACGGCCCCGCCGCCCTTGGGTGCCTCTTCTGCCTCTGCCGCACCTGTCAGCCCTGCGACTGCCCCACAGTCACTGCTTTGTGGACAGGTACATGTGGTCAAACAGCAGGTGAAGGACAAAGCCCAGGAAGGCCAGACTGCACAGGTGCAGCAAGGAGTGAGGCCTGGGGGTGACACACTGCCTGTGTTCCTGCTTGAGCTGTCTTTCCCTGTGACAACAGAAAGCGTCTAGAACAAGTGCTCTCTGAGCCTCAGATAGGAGCCTGGCAGTCACTGTTCAGCACCACTTTGTCCTTTGGTCAGTGACTCATAGCTGACTTGAGCAGTTACTAAAAAAAACTCCAACTAATTTCTGAAGGAGGGCCCTGGGGTGAAGCAGGCCACAGGACAGTGACCAAGGTGTCCTGGCTTCTGGACTCCAGGAGCGAGAGGGTGAGTCCCCCAGCACCCGGACTCCAATCCTGCACCTTCAACACAGTGCAGTTCACTCGATTTACCCACAGCTCCTGGGATCGCTTGAGCCCAGGAGGTTGAGGCTGCAGCCAGCTGTGATCGCAAGTCCAGCCTGGGCCACGGGGTGAGACCCTGTCTGAAAAAAAATTTAAAAAGCTGAGGTGAGGAGGCTCGGGGAGGTTGTATCAGAGAAAGCAGCAGCCTGGGCCATGCAGTGAGCCAGTACCTGATCATGGCCGTCTTATGTGAGAGCCAGTGAAGATCCTTGGCATCCTCTTTGGTTCGATGTAAAGATAAAAGCCGGGCGCAGTGGCTCACACCTGTAATCCCAGCACTCTGGGAGGCCGAGGCAGGTGGATCACCTGAGGTCAGAAGTTCTGGCCAACCCGGTGAAACCCTGTCTCTACTAAAAATACAAAAACTAGATGGGCCTGGTGGTGCACACTTGTAATCTCAGCTACTTGGGAGGCCCAGGCTGGAGGATCACTTGAACCCCGGGGGCAGAGGTTGCAGTGAGCTGAGACTGTGCCACTGCACACTCCAGCCTGGGCAACAGAGCAAGACTGTCTCAAACAAAAAAAACAAAAAAACTGGGTGTGGCAGCTCACACCTACAATCCCACCACTTTGGGGAGGCCAAGGCTGGTGGATCACTTGAGGTCAGGAATTCAAGACTAGCCTGGTCAACATGGTGAAACCCAATCTCCACTAAAAAATAGAAAAAATTAGCCAGTGTAGTGATGTGTGTGCGCCTGTAATCCCAGCTACTTGGGAGGCCAAGGTAGGAGAACTGCTTGAACCTAGGAGGCAGAGGTTGCAGTGAGCCGAGTTTATGCCACTGCACTCCAACCTGAACAGTGTAAGACTCTGTCTCAAAAAATAGGCCAGGCGTGGTGGCTCATGCCTGTAATCCCAGCACTTTGGAAGGCCGAGGCAGGCGGATCAAGAGGGCAGGAGATGGAGACCATCCTGGCTAACACAATGAAACCCCGTCTCTACTAAAAATACAAAAAAATTAACCGTGCATGGTGGCAGGTGCCTGTAATACCAGCTACTCGGGAGGCTGAGGCAGGAGAATGGCGTGAACCTGGGAGGCAGAGCTTGCAGTGAGCCGAGATGGCACCACTGCACTCCATCCAGCCTGGGCGACAGAGTGAGACTCCATCTCAAAAAAAAAAAAAGACTGTCTCAAAAAATTAAAAAAAAATTTTTTTTAATCTGTCATCCAGGCTGGAGTGCAGTGGCGTGATCTCGGCTCACTGCAAGCTCGCCTCCCGGGTTCACACCATCCTCCTGCCTCAGCCTCCCGAGTAGCTGGGACTACAGGCGCCGCCACTATGCCCAGCTAATTTTTTTGTATTTTTAGTAGAGACGGGGTTTCACTGTGTTAGCTAGGATGGTCTCGATCTCCTGACCTTGTGATCCTGCCCGCCTCGGCCTCCCAAAGTGCTGGGATTACAGGCATGAGCCACCGTGCCTGGCCAAAATTAAAAAATTTAAAACAGTTCTGGATGCCACTCCCCCATTAAATCAAGCAAATTGTACTGCTTAGAAATAGAACTCAGGCCCGGGGTTCGAGACCAACGTGGCCAACATGGCGAAACCCTGTCTCTATTAAAAAAGACAAAAAATTAGCCTGGCGTGGTAGTGTGCACCTATAGTCCAGCTTTTCGGGAGGCTGAGGCAGGAGGTTGGCTTGAGCCTGGGGTGTTGAGGCTGCAGTGAGCCGAGACTGTGCCACTACACTCTAGCCTGGGAGACACAGTGAGAACCTGTGTGTGTCAAAAAAAAAAAAAGGGAGAAGTCGGGTTCCTGGGTCCCTGCCTCACCTTCCTGCTGTGTTCTCCTTATTGGGCTGTGCTGCTCTGAGGAGAGGTCCCTCAAGGCCCAGCCCTCCTCGCCCTCAACACAGCCTGAAGCTTCATGGTTTTTCTCCCCTCAGTCTGACCTAAATTGACTCCTTCATATACTTCGTGCTTAGGGAGATGATAACACCTCCAAGTTGGGCATAGAAACGCAGTGTCCAGCGGTCTGCGCTGCTGTCTCGAAGGCTTCCGCTAGGAGTGTGTGCATCTTCCACACCCACGGACAGAGAGGCTGCCTCAGCCCTCATCACTCTTCGCCAAGTACAGGTGGGGCACGGCACAGCCCAGCAGCTGATGGAGAGCCGGCCTTCAGCCCTTCGCTTGTGTCTAACTCACCCCCTTTCCCCTGGGATCCATGCTTAAGGTCCCCCACATGACTACTGATCATAAATCTTGTTGCAGATAGGAGCTGGGCTTGGCGTGGGGCCAAAAGCCTGCCAGCCCCCGGAGCAGAGTGGGGTGGGCAGCGGAGTAAACCGCGGGGTGAGGCTGCTGGTTTGGCGGGCCTTCTCCCACGTCCGTTTCCTCCTCCACGTGATCGTGATCATTTCCTCTAGGACAGTCTTGGCATGTTACCATCCGTATGGAAGAGATGGCCTGGGAGGACTGGATGGGGTTGGTGTGTGTGAGCGAGTGACTCACAAGGCTTCAGAGGGTTAAAACTAGCAGTCAGAAGACCTGCGGATTCCTGTGGGGAAATTCGGTCAGAAGACCAGCGGAGGATCCCTGTGGGGAAATTCACAACGATGCGGCATCTGACTTCCTGACTCTGAAGGCCAAATGAGATGCACCTGGCCCTCCTCTCCCCACTCCCCAGCATCAAAGACAGCATTTCCAGCCCAAACACCTTCAGAGCAGCCCTGGCGAGAAGAGAGGAGCAAGGAACTGACTCCAGGTGCCGCACTTGAGTCTGTCTAACCCAACATTCAGAATCAGACATCCCCGTTGCCTTGGGGTCAGTCCCCACCCCAACCTCAAAGGGGGGCGGTCAGGATGTCTGCAAGTGGTGCTTTGTGCTCCAGCAGGTGCACCCGGACTCCACGATGTCTGCCTAACTTCCAAGCCCAGTTTTGCAGCCCTGCCCCTAGATTCTCCCTCGAGGGTGTCTGGCCTTAGCGCTCTTCAGATTGGCTTCTTAAACGGAGGGAGGCGGGCCGGGGGCGGGGTTCCTTGGTCATTTACTTGTGAATGGTGTGCCTGGTTTCCGCTCTCTTCCGGGCATGGAGCAGGTGTCCGTACTGCAGGCCCCTCCACGGGCGTTCTCTGGTCAGTACTTCTCTCCTGGAGGAAGTGGAGAGCTGCCAGGAGGGAGAGGGTGGAGGTATCTTGCCCTGGCTCACAGTCATTTTCTTGTCCTCTGCCCCCAACCCAGAAACCCCATTGGTGTACTCCCTGTCCCCACGTGTTCAGCCACGGAGGGAGGGACGCACTTCCACCTAAGCTGGCTCACTCCGCTGGGCCCTGAACGCGGGGGCGGCCGGGGCGGCTCGCAGAGCACAGGGCAGAGACCCATCCCTAGGACGACAAGAGCCGGCGCTGCCCCACCCCGACCCCGGCTGGAGTGCGCTCCGGCAGGACCCAGCTGCTCTCCGAGAGCCCAGAGAATCGAGGCGTTTACGCAAAAGCCCGAGTAGCTGAGCGCTTGCTCCGGGGAGACGCCCCGCCCAAGAGCAACCTCTGCTCGGCCAGGACCCGCTTCCCCACCCTGGGGAACCCGTGCAGCAGCCGGGGCCATGAAGCCGCCGAGGGCTCCCACCAGCCCGGCCGGGTCAACCTCGACCTGCGGCACGGTGCCGCGGCCCCTAGGAAGGCTCCCCTGCTCCCCGTGGGTACCAGCGACCGCCCCAGCTCCCGGAGTCCCTGCAGCGCGTCCTTTCCGGCCCGCCCCCGGCACCGCCGACCGCTTTACGGCGGAGGTCGCGCCGCACAGCGGGCTGCCGTAAAGCGCTCCGAGGCGGAGCCGCCGCCGCGCGGCCGGGGCTTCTCACTCTGACGGGCCCGCGCGCACGATGGCCGGCGCCGCGCCGCGGGTCCGCTACCTGGCGGGCTTCTGCTGCCCTCTCGGGGGCCTGGCGGCGGGCAAGCCCCGCGTGCTGTGCCATGAGGCAGAGGTCTTCCTGTCCACCGGGAGCGAGCTCGTCTACGTGTACGACCAGGAGGGCGGGCTGCTGACCGTGAGCGCCGGCCCGCGGGGGCGGGAGGGACCGGGCGGGGGCGGCGGTTCGCGTGAAAATGAAGACCGCGGGCCCGCGCGTCGCGTCGGCCTGACCCGCGCCCCGGTCCGCAGGCGGCGTTCCGGTTCCCCGACCAGGTGTGGCACCTGGAGCTGCTGGCGCCGCGCAGGTTGCTGTACGCGCTGTGCGCCCGGAGGGGCCTCTACTGCCTGTCGCTGGACCACCCGGGCAGGAGCAGGTGAGGGCGGGCCCGCGGCCTCCCTCCCGCACACTCCTGCTGCCCCCGGACTGCTTCAGAGCGAGCAGCCCCACCTCATCGCGCTTGGGGACCCGGGCTGCCGCCAGCTCTGAAGCCTCGGCCGCCATCCCTGCCCGATTATCTGGAGCCCCTGCCCCCAGCACTCTTTCTGCAAGTGTCTTGCTCACAGTCCTTAGTAAGTGGGGTTCACATGGTTAAGCCCACGGCGGGGCGCGGGATCCTGTCCTTTGGGCCCTGGTGGCCCGGTGCTGTCTGGTGAGACACGCCCCCGAGGTTGGGTCTTTATTGGAGGGAGGAGACAGCAAAGGCACCGTGACCCCGAGTCAGTGATCAGTGGACACCATCTGGGTTGGAAGGAAGCGAGCTCCGGGCAGCCAGGCCTGTCTTCAGTGCAGAGCCAGCAGCTGCTGACCGCGGCCCAGGCTGTAGAGGGGGCAGCCTGTGCACTTTGCAGCCTGGGCCTCAGCCTGACGGTTCTATGCTGACAGGTGTCGGTTCACGCTGGTTTTGGATGCCTGGTACTTCTTGTCAAGAGTATCCTTCGTGGGGAAGGTGGGAGGCCATGTGGCAGATGGACTGCTGAGCGGCCTTGGGGGTCACTGCGGGAACCCCTGAGCCAGACTACTCCATGCCAGGTTATTGTGAAGAGAACGTGGGAATCCCACCCTGCCCAGGCCTGACCAGTGCGTCCCTGTTCTCAAAGGTCTACGAGCCAGGATGACAGGGACAGCGAGGACGGTGACCAGCCTTCCCCCGTGATCCCTGTGGACCCCGATGCCTGCATCCTTCCCGATGCTGCGCTGTGCGCGTTCACCTTGCTGGACAGTGTGCTGGTCACCCTGGTGCAGGGCCCTGCCCGATGGAAGATGCAGCTGTTTGAGCAGCCCTGTCCTGGGGAGGACCCCCGGCCAGGAGGCCAGATCGGTGAGGTGGAGCTGTCCTCCTACACGCCCCCAGCCGGGGTCCCAGGAAAGCCTGCAGCCCCCCACTTCCTTCCAGTGCTGTGCTCTGTGTCACCATCAGGCTCCAGGGTCCCGCACGACCTCCTCGGGGGCTCCGGGGGCTTCACGCTGGAGGACGCCCTCTTCGGGCTCCTCTTTGGAGCTGATGCCACCCTCCTGCAGTCACCTGTGGTCCTCTGTGGTCTCCCTGATGGCCAGCTCTGCTGTGTGATCCTGAAGGCCCTGGTCACCTCCAGGTCAGCCCCTGGTGACCCAAATGCCCTTGTCAAGATCCTCCATCACCTGGAGGAGCCCGTCATCTTCATAGGGGCCTTGAAGACAGAGCCACAGGCTGCAGAAGCTGCAGAGAATTTTCTGCCTGACGAGGATGTGCACTGTGACTGCCTGGTGGCCTTTGGTCACCACGGCCGGATGCTGGCCATCAAGGCCAGCTGGGATGAGTCCGGGAAGCTGGTGCCCGAGCTGCGGGAGTACTGCCTCCCAGGCCCTGTGCTCTGCGCTGCCTGTGGCGGGGGTGGCCGCGTGTACCACAGCACCCCTTCTGACCTCTGTGTGGTGGATCTGTCTCGGGGAAGCACCCCGCTGGGCCCTGAGCAGCCCGAAGAAGGCCCGGGAGGCCTGCCCCCCATGCTGTGCCCAGCCAGCCTGAACATCTGCAGTGTCGTCTCGCTGTCCGCGTCTCCCAGGACGCATGAAGGTATGAGCTGCTGTCTAAAATGAAAGATGGGAGCCCAGGGTGGAGCACCCTTTTTGGCTGTCTGCTACTATCAGGCCGCCTTCCTTTCCTGGGCTTGTTCTTTTGCAAGGCTGACGGGTGCTGATACAGCCTAGTGGTTAACTCTCTTGTCTCAAGGTCAAGCCAGGGGCTGGTGGTGGGCCTACCTGTTGCTCTGCCTCTGGGGTCTAGGGTGTGGCCCTGGGCCTGGTAGGATCTGAGTTTGCTGCTTGCTGGCTGTGGACTTGGAGGAAACTGCATCTTGGGGGTCCACCGCAAGCGCCTCCTGGGCAGGTCTTATGTGGCAAGCAGCCCAGGGAGGTCTGTTCCGGACTTGCCTTTCTTCCAAAGGCTGCAAACGCTTGCTCGTGTCATGGTGTGGCTTGCCCGTGAGTCTGCTCTGGACCAAAGGCAGATGGCATTGTGGAATTCTAGTTTTGTGTTTTCCACAGAAAAAGCCAGAGAGGGTTTTAGCTGTGTGTGCCCAGTGTTGGGGTGAGAGGAATAGAGCCACACACCTCCTACCAGTGCACTTCCCCAAGTGTGCTCACCTTGTGAGCATGCTAATAAATCTCGCCACAGAAAATACATACACAGCAGGAGAGAAGGGCTTTGAAGGGAAACGCCAGACTGTCTCCACTGCGGAAGAGAGGGCTACGGGTGGGATCAGAGATGGCGTGGCTCGGGGCCACTGACAGAAGCCCAGGGTCGGGACAGTGCATTTGCCTTGGGACTTTCTCTTCCTCACTGGACACTGGCCTTGGCCGTCTTCCAACTTCTTTCCTGGAGTCCAGGGAAACACCACCGAGTGTCATGCTGCTTGCCCCTCCCAGCCGCTGACCAGGCCCCATGTGTGTCTGTCACCAGGTGGCACCAAGCTCCTGGCCCTGTCCGCCAAAGGCCGCCTGATGACCTGCAGCCTGGACCTGGACTCTGAGATGCCTGGCCCAGCCAGGATGACCACAGAGAGTGCAGGTCAGAAAATAAAGGAGCTGCTGTCTGGAATTGGCAACATCTCTGAGAGGTGAGCAGCTCAGCTCGGACCGGGTAGAGGCTGGCGCTGCCATCCTTGGGAGGTAGCGTCCCTGTGTGGGGTCGTCCTGGGTGTGAGTGTCCTCGGGTGGCAACGGTCCAGGCCAGGCCATTACTTGGCCTCTTTTTTTTTTTTTTTTTTTTTTTTTTTTTTTTCTGAGACGGAGTCTCACGCTGTCACCCAGGCTGGAGTGCAGTGGTGTGATCTCGGCTCACTGCAAGCTCCGCCTCCCGGGTTCACGCCATTCTTCTGCCTCAGCCTCCCGAGTAGCTGGGACTACAGGCGCCCGCCACCACGCCCGGCTAATTTTTGGTATTTTTTAGTAGAGATGGGGTTTCACCTTGTTAGCCAAGATGGTCTTGATCTCCTGACCTCGTGATCCGTCTGCCTCAGCCTCCCAAAGTGCTGGAATTACAGGCGTCAGCCACCGGGCCCGACCCTACTTGGCCTCTTTTTTTGAGAGAGAATTTCACTCTGTCGCCCAGGCTGGAGTGTTGTGGTGCGATCACGGTTTAATGCAACCTTCGCTTCCTGGGTTCAAGTGATTCTCCCGCCTCAGCCTTCTGAGTGGTTGGGATTACAGGCACCTGCCACCATGCCCGGGTAATTTTTGTATTTTTAGTAGAGATGGGATTTCACCATGTTGCCTAGGCTGGTCTCGAACTCCTGGATTCAGGTGATTTGCCTGCCTTGGCCTCTCAAAGTGCTGGGATTACAGGCGTGAGCCACCGTGCCCGGCCGTTACTTGTCCTCTTAAGATGTCTTGAGAGCCTCATGCGTCCCACTGTTTGGTGACAGGCTACCTGGCTACCTCTGGAAGATAAGCCGGGACTGCCCCCCAGCAGCCCACCCTTTCTCCCTAGTGGGGCACGGGAGACGTCCCCTGCTGAGTCCTCACCCTCCCTGCTCTCAGCACAGGATCCAGTGTGCTTTTCCTCCCGCAGCACTGGCTTCGGGACGTTCAGAGAGAACACACTGAGTGCGCGCAGCCTCCCCTGCTCCCCTCACATAACCACTGGGGTCCCGAGAGCGAGGGGCCTGTCACTCCGGGTCCCTGTGGTTTAGGGCTGTTTCTGTAGCGCCTGCGACCCCCCTGGTTTTCACTGTGAAGGCTGCAAGGGAGAAAAGAGGCCCACTAGGAACATTCTGGGGAGCCAAGGGTGGGGTAATGCACCACCCGGCCCCTGCGTGGCCCAGATGTGGGTGGTGCGCTTCTCATACCTGGCAGATTAGCCTAGGTCCCCGGAGCACCAGCTTCATCCTCTGTCCTCTTTCCTCCTGTGGCCCAAGAGGAGAGGTCAGGTCAGATGGCTGGAGGCAGCTTCCAGAGAGGCTCGGTGTGGGTGGGGCCGGGAGAAACATGCCCCTGGGGCGGGGGCTCACTCTCTGGCGTGGCTCCACACCCACCGTGTGCTTGTCGTGGAGCCAGGCTCGGTGCCTACCAGGCCTGAGTCAAGATGTGGCACCTGGTGCTGTGGGTGTCCCCCCGCTCCCGGGGGTCATGTCTGTCCTTCGCAGAGTGTCTTTTCTAAAGAAGGCGGTTGACCAGCGGAACAAGGCACTGACAAGCCTCAACGAGGCCATGAACGTGAGCTGTGCACTGCTGTCAAGCGGCACGGGCCCCAGACCCATCTCCTGCACCACCAGCACCACCTGGAGCCGCCTGCAGACACAGGATGTGCTCATGGCCACCTGCGTGCTAGAGAACAGCAGCAGCTTCAGCCTGGACCAGGGGTGGACCCTGTGCATCCAGGTGCTCACCAGCTCCTGTGCTCTCGACCTGGACTCGGCCTGCTCCGCCATCACCTACACCATCCCCGTGGACCAGCTCGGCCCCGGTGCTCGGCGGGAGGTGACGCTACCCCTGGGCCCTGGTGAGAACGGCGGGCTCGACCTGCCCGTGACCGTGTCCTGCACGCTGTTCTACAGTCTCAGGGAGGTGGTGGGCGGGGCCCTTGCCCCCTCAGACTCTGAGGACCCCTTTCTGGATGAGTGCCCCTCCGACGTCCTGCCCGAGCAAGAGGGTGTTTGCCTGCCCCTGAGCAGGCACACAGTGGACATGCTGCAGTGTCTGCGCTTCCCTGGCCTGGCCCCGCCACACACACGGGCCCCCTCCCCACTCGGCCCCACCCGAGACCCTGTGGCCACTTTTCTGGAAACTTGTCGGGAGCCTGGCAGCCAGCCAGCAGGACCCGCCTCCCTGCGGGCCGAGTACCTGCCCCCATCTGTGGCTTCCATCAAGGTGTCGGCGGAGCTGCTCAGAGCTGCCTTGAAGGACGGCCACTCAGGTTGGTGGCACTGCTTGGCTTTGCTCAGCCTTGGGGATTTTTTTTTTTTTTTTAAGAGACAGGAACTTGCTCTGTTGCCCAGGCTGGAGTGCAGTGGTGCAATCATGGCTCACTGCAGCCTCGAGCTCCTGGCCTCAATTGATCTCCTCTGGGCCTCCCAAAATGCTGGGATTACCTGCATGAGCCACTTCACCCCACCCACCTCGGGCCTGTGGACATGGGCTGTTCCTCCCTCTCCCAGCTGCTCCTGGGGCATCCTGGCCCCCCAGCCCAGCGAGCTCTGCTCAGGAAATGAGCTTCGCCTGCGTTCTCTCTGCTGTTGGGCTCTGGCCTTATGTGGAGCCCTCTCACCATGTATTTCTTTTCAGTTATGTTTTTTAAACCTATATATGGAAGCGTAACCTAAATACAGAAGAGTCACAAAGGAGCAAACTGTGAGCTTCACAGTGCGGGCACCCGGGGAGGGAGGCAGCTGCGCTCACCCCAAAGCCCCAGCACCGTTCATCAGGCATGTGTGAGCTCCACGAAATGGAGTGTGCAGTCCCTTCTTTGTGTCTGTCCTTTGCTCCCCCATGTGTGTGAGACCCTCTGTGTCGCAGGTGCAGATGTCACCGTTCTGCTGCAGATGGGTATTTGGATGGTTTCTGGATTTGGGCTTGTGCAGAGAGGGCAGCCGCAGCCATCCCCTGGGGTGTTTCTGCCCAGTGCCGGGCGGAGCTGCCTGCTCCTAACATCGGCTCCCAGGAGCATTAGCAGGTCCCCCAAAGTGAGGTTTTCACCTTCCACAGATCGTAACTGCCACCACCCAACGTAGGACTTGTTCAGCAGAGAAAGTTGAGCAGTGGCCTCCTTCCTCTGGGTCAGCTGGCCACGCCGCAGCTTAGGGTGGGGCTGGGGACAGCTGGGATGCTTAGATGGCTCTGGGAAGGGCACTTTGGGGCAGGTATGCAGATGCCCACCTGGTAGGATCGGCTGAGCCCACCTGGTAGGATCAGGCTGAGCTCTCGGCTGATGCCTCCCCTCCAGGCGTGCCCCTGTGCTGTGCCACCCTGCAGTGGCTCCTTGCTGAGAATGCTGCTGTGGACGTCGTGAGGGCCCGAGCACTATCTTCCATCCAGGGAGTGGCCCCTGATGGCGCCAACGTTCACCTCATCGTCCGAGAGGCAAGCAGGGGTTCAGGGAAACGAGCCACGGCACCAGCAGTTCTTGGGGTGGGGCCCCTGGGCCGGAGCTCGGGAGGACCCCTCACCCTGGGTGGGGGCCTGGCAGCCTTTTCCCAAGCTTCCCGGAGGACTCTGATATGACAGTTTCCCCTCGCACCAAGCAGACCCCACTCAGGCAGGGAGGGCCTTGCAGCTCAGATCCCCGAGGACTGGCCCTGTCCATCCCTGTCTGCCATGGGGGTCCCCTTCCCCTGCACAGGACTGAAGTCATAGCGGGTTCCACAGTGCTGCCACCAACACCTCTACCCCAGGAGCAGCAGCCCCGCTAACCCTCTGCACTGCCAGAAGGCTCCAGACCTGTCGTGGAAGCCGCTGAATGGCAAATGGCACTGCTGGTCTCCAGCCCCTGTCGTGCACACCTTTCCAGAGACTCAGGACTGTGGTGCCTCCAGCACACTCTCAAGTCCCACCAGCAAAGGCGCTTGCAGGGTAGCCCAGGCTGCCAGGACACGTGTGTCCCTGAGGATGGGCAAGGCTGCCTGGGGCTCAGAGTCTGCACTTGGTTTTGGTTTTCTTTGAGACAAGGTCTCGCTCTGTCTCCAGGCTGGAGTCCAGTGGTGCGATTTTGACTCACTGCAACGTCTGCCTCCTGGGTTCAAGCGATTCTCCTGCCTCAGCCTCCTGAGTAGCTGGGATTACAGGCACCCACCACCACACCCAGCTAATTTTTGTGTTTTTAGTAGAGACGGGGGTTTCACCATGTTGGCCAGGCTGGTCTTGAGCTCCTGACCTCAGGTGATCCGCCCACCTCACCCTCTCAAAGTGTTGGGATTACAGGCGTGAGCCACTGTGCCCGGCCCAGAGTCTGCACTTGGAATCAAGCCTCGGCCCTCGGGTACCTTGGCTGCCCTCTACACAGCCCTTTCAGCCCTGATGCTGGGGTCTGTTGGTGGCCCGGCAGGTCGGTGCTGGCGGCCCCTGTGGGAGAGCCGCAGGTGACTGTGTCCTCTCTGGGCTCCCCAGGCCCCTGGCGTCTCACCTCTTGTGCTGTGTGTGCAGAATAAGCCCGGCTTCCTGGCTCTTGGCCTGTTCTTGCCATTTGTTGTCCAGCTCAGCTCAGTCCAACCTTCCTAAGGGACAGGTGGGTGTCCCATAGATAGGCCCAGCAGCTCCCAGTGCCCACAGCGATGCCCTAACCCTGCTGCCAGAGGTGATCTGTGATGCCTGGTGTGGGGGGACGGATCTGGGCCCCCCAAGGGCGTGGCAGGATCTACATGTAGGTTGTCCACAAGGTGTGTCACAGTAGTGGCCTTCTTCTGGAGCAGGCCCCAGTCTGGCTCGAGGCCCTGCGTGAATTCCACAGGTCTGAGGGATGGTGTCTTCCTGGACACACCTGGGTACAGAGCAGGTTCTTGCCATTGGTTGGTGGCTGGTTCTTCAGGTGGAAAAAGCTAAACCAGGGTACTGAGCTCTGCTCCTTCAGGGTATAGGACAGCCCAGGGCAGGGGGTTGGGACCATCTCAGGGCCTCACGTGCTGCCAGCTGGGGAGGCTCCTGTGTAGCCTGAGCCCCCCGGGCAGGTGGGAGTGCCACAGGCAGGCAGTGAGGTGGCTCCTGTGTTGCAGGTGGCCATGACTGACCTGTGCCCAGCAGGGCCCATCCAGGCCGTGGAGATTCAAGTGGAAAGCTCCTCTCTGGCCGACATTTGCAGGGCGCACCATGCCGTTGTCGGGCGCATGCAGGTATGTCGGCCCGCTGGGGAAGGTGGCCAGGATCTGTGGGTCGCTCACTAAGGTCCCTGCATGGGACCCTGTAGCTGCTGGCCACGGGGTCTGCGGCTCCCTGCAAGGGAGTTGTAGGAAGATCCAAGTCTGCTCTGCCGCTGAGTGCGGTGTTGTGCAGTGGAGCTGTGGGCGATGAGAGGCATGGGGTGGACCCTCTCAGGAGGCCAATGCTGCTCCCCAGGTGTGCCGTCACCCCCTGGGCACCTGTGAGTCCAAGGACTGCCCGGGCTACAAGGCCAGTGGGTTTCTATTTGTGACCTGCGAGGTCAGCCCAAGGTTTCCTCCCTTCTCTGGCTGGGCAGAGGCTGCCTGGAGAGGCCGTGGCCTGGGCGTGGATCCTAGAACGAGGTGGTAGGAGCCTCCACATCTTTGCCAAGAGAGTGGAGTTTGCAGTTCCCCCCACTCACAGCCCCAGGAGTTCCCTGGCACAGGAATAGCTGCTTCCATGCTGTGCCCAGAGCCAGCTTGGGTCAGCGGCTGCCAGATCTGAGAAGAAGCTCTCCAAGTTCCAAGCTAAAGTCTAAGCTCGTGCCCGCGGGAAGGCATCCGTCACGCCCGCCCGCTAGGACTGTAGCGCAGCTTTGGCCCATATGGTGGGTCTGCAGCGACCCTAGAAACCGGTTCCGGAGTTTCTTTTTAGGGGTGGTCCCTGCCTCAGCTCCACCTGGGCTTGTTATCAACGTGCATGCCCAGGCCTGCCCAACCCTGAGACCCAGGGCCTGCAGCCTGACGCCAGCTTGACTCCCGTGGGCACTGTGGTAATGCTTGGAGACCAGGCCTTTCTGTGAACAGTGGCTCTGCCCAGCCCTGGCAGGTGGCTCAGATGGCCGACCCCAATGAACACATCAACTCACGCAGCACCATGACCCAGAGATCTCATTTGGTGCAAGGACCCTGTGCCCTGCACTGTGACACTGCCATGACCCTGATGAGCATGTCACGCAGCACCATGACCCCAGTGATCTCACGGCACCACGATGGGGCTGCCTGGGCTTGGGGGTCTAGTCCTGAGTGCTGGGGGCACCAGGGGGTTCTCCAGAGCTGAGGTGTTGCCTGTCAGAGGAAACTCTGCCCACTGGACCATCTGGTCCCCAAGAAAGTCCCATCCCCTGCCAAGAGCAGAGCTCCAGCCCCTGGGTTTGTGTCCAGATATCCCTTTTCTTACAAGGACACAGTCGTGTGGGGTCAGACCCACCCCAGTGACCTCATCTTGATCATCTGCAGATACCCCATTTCCAGACACAGCCAGGCTCTGAGTGCTGGCACTAGGGCTTCCGCATGAATCTGGGGGGCCTGAGTCAGCGCCCAGGAGCCCATGCACTGCTGCTGCCTCCTGGACACAGATCTCATCTCAGGCTGCAGACCTTAGTGTCCCCCAACAGCTAGGTGCCCGCCCCAGGAACAGGAGTGATCAGGACCCTGCCCAGCACACAGTGCAGCCACCAGCACTTCTGGAGCCCCCGGCAGGCCAGTGCTGCCCCTCAGGGTGTCGTCTCTTCACAGTTGCTTTGCTCCAAGAGCCTGCAGGAGCCTCACTGCCCAGGCTCATCTGGAAATTTAGTTTTATTTGTTTGTTTGAGATAGAGCTCTGGCTCTGTCACCCAGGCTGCAGTCCAGCGGTGAGATCTCTGCTCACCGCACCCTCTGCCTCCCAGGTTCAAGCAATTCTCCCTCAGCCTCCCGAATAGCTGGGATTACAGGCTCTGTCACCACGCCTGGCTGATTTCATATATATATATATATATATATATATATATATATTTTTTTTTTTTTTTTTTTTTTTTTTTTTTTTTTTGAGACGGAGTCTCACTCTGTCGCCCAGGCTGGAGTGCAGTGGCGGGATCTCGGCTCACTGCAAGCTCCGCCTCCTGGGTTCACGCCATTCTCCTGCCTCAGCCTCCCAAGTAGCTGGGACTACAGGCGCCCGCCACTACGCCCGGCTAATTTTTTGTATTTTTAGTAGAGACGGGGTTTCACCGTTTTAGCCGGGATGGTCTCGATCTCCTGACCTTAAGTTATCCGCCTGCCTCGGCCTCCCAAAGTGCTGGGATTACAGGTCTGAGCCACACCTGGTCCCATCTGGGAATTTAGATCCAAGCCCAGGGAGCCAGTGCTGCAGCCCACACTGGGCTGGGCTGCGTGAATGAGTGAATGGCCAGGCCAGGGTCTCTGCACAAGACGCCGAGGCAGCTCCCTGGCTGGTCTGTTCTCCTGAGCGGCCTTCAGGCCTGAAGCCCAGGATGGGAGAAGGGGGCGGTAGGCAGGTCTGGATCTGCACAGAGTGTGGCTCTTGGGGACAGGGAAGATCCCAGCGATGGAGAGAAAAGAACCAAACGAGTTCGCTTCCAAGAAACTGTCAGGCCAGGGGCTCTGTGCCCTGCCGCTCTGGAGGGCAGGAAGTCGAGATGAACAGCAAGGTGGAAAACAGCAAAGCGCTGGGGTGGGGAGGGGTGCCAGGCAGGGAGGCAGCACCAGGCAGCTCGAGGGAGAGGGTCACCCTGCTCCAAGGGGTGTGGGGGCAGGTGCTGGGGCACACCCTCTCCAGCATGTCTCCTGTGTCCCCCAGACGATGGTGACAGAGCAGGCCACCCAGGGCTCCAGCGCTCCTGATCTCCGTGTGCAGTACCTCCGCCAGATCCACGCCAACCACGAGGTGAGCACCCGGTTCCCCGGGCAGTCCCCTTCCCCTGGGTAGCCAGGAGCGCCCATCGCCAGGCCCCCCTCTAGTCACTCGGGGTCCGCAGAGTCCTCACAGCGCATGGGCTTCGCTCCCATGGGCCTGGGGCAAAGTCCGAGCGGCCATGGCTCTTCCTGCCCCTCATCCTACTTGAGGGGCTGGGTGTCCGGGCCAGGCTGCGTGTCCCATGTTTTAAGGTTCCGGATGAGTGTTCTTCCTCGGACCACCTGCCACTTCCCAAGTAGGGTCCTGCGAGTGGTGGGTCCCCCAGAGGTACCCAGTGACATCCCCAGGGCCAGGTGGGGGGCCTGAGCTGTGTCTGCTTCACCTGCAGACACTGCTGCGGGAGGTGCAGACCCTGCGCGACCGGCTCTGCACGGAGGATGAGGCCAGCTCCTGTGCCACCGCCCAGAGGCTGCTACAGGTGTACCGGCAGCTGCGCCACCCCAGCCTCATCCTGCTGTGACCAGGCGGGCCTGCCCCTGGGCTCTGGCCACGCTTCCAGCCTCTGTCACAGCCCCCCCAGGCCTCATGGGTTAGAGGGAAACCGAGCTGGCCTGGCCAGAGCCGTCAGGGAAGGTAGGACCTGGCCACGTAGGAGCAGAACGCTCATGAAAGTGCTTGGAGGCCGTGGAGCACAAAGCAGATTCTGATTGGGAGCAACCGAGGCGGGCTCTGAACCTGGCCGGTCCAGCTTCGCGTCCTCTGCTGGTGTCTCTCCTTCTCTGACCGCGGCCGCAGCCCCTGCACTCGCCTTCCTCACTGCTGGGCAGCCTTCCCACCACCGCAGCAGCCCCTGAGGCCAGGAGGCAGTGCAGGGCATTCTGGACCCGGAGGGCCAGAGAAACAGGATTTCTGGGGTTTGGACTTGGGGTGAGTTTGTAACTGTTGCTGCCACACCACCAGGAGCACCGGCTGCCCCTCTGGGTGGCACTACCAGGTGCCCCACGGTACCCTTGTCACACTGTTCACACCTGCCCGGCTGCCCACTCTGGGACCCCGAGGTAGGAGGGTGCTCCCTGAGACCAAAGCACAAAACAGCATGCAGGGAGCTCCTGCAAGTGCCCGTGGTCTCGTGCCACACCAAGGAAGGGCCAGCGGGTGGCCTGTGGCCGGAATGCTCAACAACTAGGTGCCTCCAGCCGGGGCAGTACCCAGCACTGTGCACTATTTTCAGGGCCACTCAGGGTGGCGCTGTGGCCCGGGGGGGGGCCCTGAGCCCCAGCCCCCAGCCTCCTCCCTCAGCCTGGGCTACGGCCCACCTCCTGGTGCTGGTGTTTTCATCTGGGGAGGGTGCTCGCGCCGCTCCCGCTGCAGGCACTGTCCGCGATGAGTGCGGGTAGGAGCCGTGAGGTGCTTCTCTGCTGTGACAAACGACCCTGTCTGTCCGTGAACCTTCAGGCCTCGGCTGTTTTCTCTCACCCCTTCCCACCCTCTCTCACTGGGCTCCTTCCAGAGCCCTGGCGCTGCTTGGGAGCCCTCACCACCGGGGTGGCCTCTGAGGAAGACGCGTCCCTGTGACCCAGTTACCCCTGAGGAGGGCTCTGCTGCAAGGGGGTGTCTGGGAGGCCTGGGGCCCCTGCCTGGCTCTCCCCTGCGTTCCTCTCTGTGGAGTGGGAGGGGCCTGTGGGGTGCTCCTAGTCAGGGTTTGTCTCCCTCAGTGGTTGCCACATCTAAGGGAGCACGGCCGCCCTGATGACACTCCAAACCCGGCCTCTTCAGCGGGTGGAGACAGTCCAAACCCAGCATTTTCAGTGGGTGGTGACACTCCAAACCCAGCCTTTTCAATGGGGCCATGGCCCCGTGCTTGCTGGGAGAGCTGGGGCCAAGCGAGCCACCCACCGAGGCAGGCCTGCACCCCTTAACGGTCCCATCCCTGCTGTGCTCCAGGGCTGTCCTCTGCCACCCGTGGGCAGGAGCTTCTGGCTCTGACCTTTGTACAGCGCTTGTGCCCGTGTCTTGCTCTGAGCATCAGGGCTCGGAGAGTGAGGGGCTAGACCAGCCCGTGGGGACTCCCAAGAAGGCCCTAGATGAGCGGGCGGAGGACTGTGCAGGGTCTGTGTTCACACGCCTGGGGGAGGGGTGTGTGTCCAGGGCTGTGCCAGCCCCTCACTCGCCATCACAGGCCACAGGGATCCCAGAGCTGACAGATCTGGGTCGCCTGCAGGACTCATCTCCCCACCCTCAGCTGGATGCCAGCAGGTCTCAGGAGGCTGGGAGCCTGAGGGGCCTTCCACGGGGCTGCTGTCTGTGCAGAGCAGTGGCACCATCCAACCCTGTCAGCCTCAGCTGTGCAGGGGGTGTGGGGGCACCACTGTGGCTTGTGAAAGAGCAGACACAGGGATGAGCCGCACTGGTGTCCCCACACCCCCGGGCACACACTGGGGGTTTAGATAGCTTGCTGTCCTTGGCACTGCAGCCTCCTGAACTAAGGCGGTGCTGGCCACCAGGGCTGAGACGGCGTCCCCAGCTGTCCTGACCTCTGTTGGGGCATTCTCCAGGGCCACCCATGTGGAGGCATCAGTGCTGGTGTGTTTACAAATGTTCATGCCCACCTGCCAGCCTGAGATCCTGCTGTGGGGACGCCTAGTTCAAGACGCCATGTGGTCCCCCCGAAAAGAAAGCTGCGACGCAGACCCTGAGGGGCCAAGAGAGCAGGTCACGTGGAACAAAAAGGAGATCTACAGCGGCAGGAAAGGAGGGACCACAGTGGGCAGTCCCCAGCCCCGCTGTGCCGCCAGAGTGTACAGGGACTGGGCGAAATGTACCCAACTCACATGCACCTCCAAGGAACCTGCTCTCAACACTCGGCATTTGAGGAGGGCTTGGCCTCAGAGGCAGGTGGCAGGTCCACAATCAGCTTCTCGGGGAGCCTGCGGACCACGGTGTGGCCGGGCCCTGTCGCCCATCCTGGGCCTCCCTGCCCTCACCTCTTCAGTGCACACCTCCTGGGCTCTCAGCACCTGAGCTCTCACTACGTGAGGCCCTTCCCCGGTGGCAGGGGCGGCCTCTCGACCTTTCCAGCTTCCTCCACCTGCTCCAACTCCGATCCTGGCTTGACACCGTAGCCTTGCATGACCCTCAACCCAGCTCACACGTGGGGTGAGAGCAGCTGTTCTTCCCCCTCCTCCTAGGAGCATGTGCTAGACGCCACCTGGCAGCTGCTGGCAGCTGTCTCTGCATGGAGTAGCACCTGCCTCAGCAGCAGCAGTGGGCCCCCCGCTTCCAGGCCCAGCCATTATTCCGTTCCAAAGGGTTTCTTTGACCTCCCACCCCACCCTCCGCTTCCTAGCCTCTGCCTCCCGCCGTGCCCCAGGCTGTGGATGTGGACGGAAGTGGGGGTTCCCGCAGTGGCAGGCCAAGTTCACGTCAGGCAGGGCAGTGCAGGGAGACAGACCCTCTCCGAGGCTCTGCTGAGCGGGGAGCCTGGAGGTGCTGAGTGCCAGCCACTGCGGTTCCACCTGGTGCCCCCAGTCCCGCCCCAGCCACAGACTCCACCTCACCTTGGCTGCCACCAGGGGACACTGCAGGCTGCAGGGACAGCCCGAGCTCCAGGGTCACTGCCGTTCCCTGCCAACTTGGACCAGGTGGCACCTGGTCCTCCAAGGGTTAACTCGGACCCGCCTTGCCCACGTGGCTCGGGGAGTTCCAGCCTCTTACCATGGAAACCTGCCCTTCTTTGTCCCTAAGGCTGGTGGGCTTAGTGGAGGGGCATCCCAGCCAGTTCCTCCCCTTGCTGGCCGTGCTGGTCCCACCTCCCCAGGACTGGCTCTCCCCCACCCTCTGCCACTCGCCTGGCCTTGAGCAGTGCACAAGGAAGGACGAGCACCGCAGGGGCTGCCGGGGGCTAGGGAGGGTTGAGGACCTAGGTTGGGGAGGGGCGGTGTCCAGTGAGGTCATCTGTGGTCGGTGTTGGTGGCCTCAACCCGCGCAGGCTCAGTCCCCCACCCACCCCCAGTCCCCGTCCTCCCCATGTCCTTGAGACCTCCCCTCCAGCGGCCTGGGTCACCCGGCCCATCCACAAGACCACCTCCCAGACGGGAGTCCCTGGGCACTGGGAAGTTCTGGGCTCTCTCTGGTTTGGGGAGAATTGTGGGCCTCCTCCACCTCCAGCTGCAGGACCCCCAAGCGGCGCCCCGGGGCCCACCCACAGCTGCGGGAGAGACACGGTTTTAATGCGCGACAGGCTGGTCTGGGCGCGGCCTCAGTACTCCCAAAGCGCGGTCCCGGCCGGGGCGTCGGCATCGGCCCGCAGCAGGCCCGAGGCGCCGCCGCGCAGGTACTTGCCGCTCCGGGCGCGGATGGCCAGGCGGCCGCGCTCACGGAACTCGAAGACGAAGTCCTCGGCGCGTTCGCCGTCGCTGCACACGCTGCCGTGGCTGCCCGTGTACCAGAACCCTCCGTCGCGGCCTGGGGGACGGGACGGCGTCGGCGGGGGTGCCCACCTGCCCGCTGCCACCCCCGCTCCCGCGTGCCCACCCGCCCCGCCACGCACCTCGGATCCGGTAGGCGCCGTCGCTGAAGCTCAGGTGGAAGACGTCGTAGACGGAGCGGTTGGTGTCCAGCTGGTTGGAGCCGCGGTGGTGGCAGACGAAGCCGTCCAGGCCGCGCAGCACCAGGATGGGCCGGTTGATGAGCTTGAGGGTGAACTCTTCGTCCTTGCCTGGCGGGGAGAGCGTCTGCTGCGCTGCCCCTCCCGCCACCTTCCCTGTCCAGGCCGGGCGGGGTGGGGGCCCTGGGAAACGCCACACCTGGACTTAGGGACCCAGGCCTGCCATTGCCTCATGTGCGGCCTTGGCAAGGCGCCTAGGGGGTTCCCAGCAGCGGAGATAAGGACATTCAGACCTGTTTCCCTTGCCAAGACGAGTTATCTTGACTAGCAAGTATGACTCCATGACAGCACCCGTTCCGTGGGCTGGGGAGGGTCCAGCTCTTGGTGGAGATGGGGTGTCTGGGCAGGTCCTTTCCCTGGGTGGAGACAGCCCCTGCCCCAGTACCTGGCAGGCAGAGTGCTCACCGACAAAATCGCTGATAGCCGCCAGCTGCCCATTCTTCTTCATGCACACGTAGCGCCCGTTGCTGGCTTTGAGTGCTACCCGCCGGCCACGCCACTCCATCTCAAACATGGTGTTGGCAGAACTGGAGGGAGCAGCAAAAGGTCTCCTCAGGACAGCAGGAGATGGGGGTGCAGGGTCTCACTTCCCCATCCTCCTCAGGTTCCAAGGAGTGGGACAGAAGCCTGCCCTCCACTGACACACCCACCACCATCAGGCGCTACCCTGCCCCAGTGGGCTTTCCTTTCTGACTGAGCTGCTACGGCAATCCTCATGGCCGAGGCAGTGATGGTGGTGGGAGTGATGGTGCAGGTGATGGGAACGGTGGTGGGGATGGTGAAGATGGAGATGGGGATGGGGATGGAGAGGGGGATGGTGATGGAGATGGGGATGGGGATGGAGAGGGGGATGGTGATGGAGATGGGGATGGTGGAGATGGGGATGAGGATGGTGAGGGGGATGGGGATGAGGATGGTGAGGGGGATGGGGATGGGGATGTAAATGGAGATGGGGATGGTGATGGTGGGGATGGCAGAGATGGGGATGGAGATGGGGATGGTGGGGATGGAGATGGGGATGGTGGAGATGGTAATGGGGATGGTGGAGATGGGGATGGTGATGATGGTGATGGGCATGGTAGAGATAGAGATGGGGATGGTGATGGGGATGGTGGTGATGGAGATGGGGATGGTGATGATGGTGATGGAGATGGTGGAGATGGGGATGGTGGTGATGGGGATGGGGCTGGTGGTGGTGGGGGTGGTGGGGATGGAGATGGGGATGCGGATGGTGGGGATGGTGATGATGGGGATGGTGGTGATAGGGATGGTGATGATGGGGATGGGGATGGCGATGATGGTGATGGAGATGGTGGAGATGGGGATGGTGGTCATGGGGATGGGGCTGGTGGGGGTGGGGGTGGTGGGGATGGAGATGGGGATGCGGATGGTGGGGATGGTGATGATGGGGATGGTGATGGTGGGGATGGGGATGATGGAGGAGGAAGGGATGTGTGCACTCACACTTGTGTGGCTGTGGCGTGAATGCCCCCATGGGTGACCAGGGTCCAGTAGCCCCCAGTGCTGGAATAGAAGGTGCACTTCTTTGTCTCCTGGTCAATTTGCATCAGGAAGGTCTCGTGGTCTAGTTCATCATCCTGATTGGCTGAGACGTTGACCCCTGGAGGGAGGAGATGGGGAAGCCCCTCACGCCTCTCCTGGGTAGGGAGCAGGGGAGGGGGCATATTTTGGGGGGCACCCCTGAAGCCAGAGGTGGGTCTCATCTAGAACCCTCTTGACTTGAGAAGATTTGGAAGGCACCTCTCAGAGACCCTGGGAACCCTGCCCCAGGGCCATATGTGCCGTCTGTGGACCCTGCACACTGTCCCCAAGGGAGCCCTGACCTCCCTCCACACCCCCAGGAGCCAGGCCCTTCTGCTTGGCACAGCCCCCACTCTCTGCTAATCAGTAATCAGCTGGTAATCTCCTTGCCCTGCTCTCTTGACCCAGGGCTTACCCCAGCCTCTATTTATAACTCACCCTAAGCTGCTGGATGGGCACAGGCAGGACCTAATGAAGGGGATGGTGCGGATGGTGATGGGGCACCCCTGGGCTCCAGCCAGGGGCTGGTCCCTGTCACCTCTGCAGCTTTCCCCAACCATCTGTGCTTGGTCTCCCAGGACCCCTGGGGGAGGACAAGACTGCCCCGGGCTCCATCTGGGGTTCCTGCGAGGGGATGGAGGGGCACCCATGCCCAGCATGGGGACAGCAGGCACCAGAGCCTACCCAGGATCTTCTGTGAACTAAGTCCCTGGCTCCTCCCACAAACCACCTCCCTGTTTGCATGGCAGCCAGACACTGGGAGTGGTGTGTCAGATTGCGGAGCTTCCCACAAGGCCCAGGGACTCTGGTGGCCTGTCCAGCTGGGGACTGGGAGGGAGTGGTGGGCAGAGCCCCCACAGGGCCTGAGGGTGGGGCCAGATCCCATCCCACGCTGTGCCCAGGGGAGAGGATGCCAGGCTGTGACCATGCCAGACAGCTTGGGACCTTTTGCCTTCTGCCAGCCCCAAAGCTGCCCCTCACGCCCCAGGCTGGGATCTCCCTCACACTCATCACTGATCAGACGCAGAGGAGCACCCGGCATGTCCCCTGCACTGTGACCGAGTATTCGTGCCAGCATCCCCACTGCCACCAGCTCTAGATCCTGGCAAATACTGAACTAAAAGCAGCTGCCTGGGCCCAGTGGAGGGCAACACTGACACGGTACCCGGGGGCAGCAGGAGCCCGCAGGAGGGGCCCATGAGAGGTGTGGGAACGCCGTCCCTGCGGGCACTGAAGGAAGCCACAGCATCGCAGGGCTCCCCCCGCCACTGCACCTCCCAGGCCAGCACTTTGGTGTCCCCAGAGTTGCCCCACACCCCCTTCAGACAGGATGCTGTCTGGGGCTACTCATTCAGCCACCTGCTTCCGGGGACATGGCCTCAAAATAGGAGAGGAGTGGAGTCCGCCTTGGTCTGGGCAACACTGGTTTTACCCCCCTCCAGAGGGGCTAGCTGAGCAGTTGGGGGACTCAGTTCTGGCAAATGAGTGTGAAGAAGTGTCTGCTAGGACTTAGGGGAGAAGTTTTCTTACTCCTATGAAGACACAAGCAGAGCCAGTGCCTCTTTTTCCTCTGGACTTTGTCCTGCCTGGATGTGAGGCCTGGAATACCAGCAGCCACATTACTACCGTGAGGGCGTCAGGCTGAGGTCAGAGCTGACCCAGGAGAGTGGTTCGGTGAGGAGGTAAGAACGGAGGACTCCGGGGAAGCTGCTGAGCGGGTGATAGTGGCTGCCTGGGAACCCACCATGCCCAGGGCTCTCTGGACTCCCGTTTCAGGAGATGATCAGTGTCACTGCTTGAGCCAGCCTGTGGCCAGTTTTCTGTTACTGGCAGCATCAGACACTGCCTGCCATGCTGTCTGTTGGCAGAAATGAGCAGGCTCTGGCCGATGGGGGGGGATACATGCAAGCCTGGGTGCTCACTCCCCTCCCAGGGGGGAAGAGAGGGTTAGGGGCCGCCCAGCCAGGGAGATGCCTCGATGAAGGGCCTGCCATGTAGCCACTCCACAGAGGCCGGGTAGGGGTGATGCTATGGCACCACCCACGCTGCAGCTGCCTTGGAAGCCGTGAGGTTCCATGCCCCAGGACTGAGATGCCATGTCCCGCTCCCTACAGCCCTGGCCGCCAATCCAGAGCCTGAAACACCTGGTGGTTGGGTCCTCACCCTCAGCCCTGTTGAAGGCAGGGAGGCGAGTGGCTGCTGCTTCCTGCTTCTAAAGTGGGAGATGGGAGCTGGTCTTGAGTAGGGGATTCTCCCCTCAAAGGGATGATAGGGTCAGATGCAGGGTGGTTGAGGATCAAGAGACTGAAAAATGGTCCATACAGTCCCCATCCCTCCACCACTCTGTCAGCACCCCTCCATCACCACCATCACCATCATCACTGTCATCATCACCATCACCATCACTATCACCACCACCATCACTATCACTATCGCCATCACCATCACTATCATCACCATTGCCTCCATCATCACCATCACCACCATCATCACCATCACCATCATCACCATTATCATCACCATCACCATCATCACCATCACCATCACTATCATCACCACCATCACCATCACCACCATCACCATCACCACCATCACTATCATCATCATCACCATCGTCACCATTATCATCACCATCATCACCATCACTATCATCACCACCACCACCATCACCACCACCATCACCATCATCATCACCATTATCATCACCATCACCATCATCACCATCACTATCATCACCATCATCGCCATCACTATCATCACCATCACCATCACCACCATCACTATCATCATCATCACCATCACTATCATCACCATCATCGCCATCACTATCATCATCATCACCACCATCACCATCACCACCATCACTATCATCATCATCATCACCATCACCATCATCACCATTATCATCATCACCATCACTATCATCACCACCACCACCATCACCACCACCATCACCACCACCATCACCATCATCATCACCATCACCATCATCACCATCACTATCATCACCATCATCGCCATCACTATCATCACCATCATCACCATCACCATCACCACCATCACTATCATCACCATCACCATCATCACCATCATCATCACCATCACTATCATCACCACCACTACCATCACCACCACCATCACCATCATCATCACCATTATCATCACTATCACCATCACCATCATCATCACCATTATCATCACTATCACCATCACCATCATCACCATCACTATCACCATCATCGCCATCACCATCATCACCATCATCGCCATCACCACCATCACCATCACCACCATCACCACCACCACCATCACCACCACCATCATCACCATTATCATCATCACCATCATCACCATCACTATCATCACCATCATCGCCATCACTATCATCACCATCATCACCATCACCATCACCACCATCACTATCATCATCACCATCACCATCATCACCATCATCATCACCATCATCATCACCATCACTATCATCACCACCACCACCATCACCACCACCATCACCATCATCACCATTATCATCACTATCACCATCACCATCATCACCATCACTATCATCACCATCATCGCCATCACCATCATCACCACCATCGCCATCACCACCATCACCATCACCACCATCACCATCACCATCATCACCATCACCACCACCACCATCATCACCATCACCACCACCATCACCACCATCTCCATCATCACTATCACCACCACCATCACCATCACCATCATCACCATCACCACCATCACCACCACCATCATCACCATCACCATCATCACCACCACCATCACCACCACCACCATCATCACCACCACCACCATCACCATCACCACCATCACCATCACCACCGCCATCACCACCATCATCACCATCACCATCATCACCACCATCACCATTATCACCATCACCACCATCACCACCATCACCACCATCACCACCATCATCACCATCACCACCATCATCACCATCACCATCATTGTCGCTGCTGCCACCACACTGTCACCACCGTCCTCACCTCCACTTCCACGCCACCATGCACATCACACCACAATGCCACGGCCACGGCCATGACTGCCACTTTGAGTCTGCTTTCCAAGCTGTCCATATACAAATGCCTAAAGGTCTAGTGTCTTTGGCTTCCATGGAGGAAGCATTCTCACTGCCACTGTCCCACTTACCCCCTTTAACCACCTAAGGATTGCCACATGCCCGGCCTGGGCCCAGGCCAGCAGGCATTACAGCTGGACTGTGGGCTGTGATAGGAAGGAAGGGCCATGGCCGTGCATCCACAGTTGAATTCTCACTCCTGGGACCCTGTCACTGCTGGGACAGGCCCGAGGATGCCAACTGCAGGTGCAGGACCCCATAGCCATGGCTGGGCTCCCCTCTCCATGCACAGGGTGGGGCCTCTGCCATCTGGCCCCAGAGTGTCAGTGTACCCAGGGGGCCTGGACATCCGTCAGGGTGGGGGCTTGGTGGGCACCTGGGAGCTGCCAGGAGACAGGGGAGCTCTCCTTGCCCAGCTGATGCTGGTCTGGAAGGACCTGAGTTGGGAGGAGGAGCTCCATGCACCCGGCTCTCCCCACCTCGCCTTTTCAGACCACCTCCGAGCCACTCTGGGGTGCATGGAGCCAGGAGCCCAGGTGGGTAGTGACTGCCCGGGCCAGGGCTTTTCCCTCAGAGCTCAGCTTGTGGGGAAGGAGGAACTGCTGGGGTTCACCCCATAGGCGGTGGAGGGAGTCACACAGACAGGCAACTGGTGACCTGGGAACTGGGGAGAGCCAGGCCACGCCCCACTGGGGCAGGGAGGTGCCTCCCCACCAGGAGCCCAGGCCCCGGGTAAAGCTGCCTGCCCACCGTGTCCTCCATCACTGGAGCTGACCTTAAGCCCCCCCACTCCTGAGGACACGAGGCTCCACTGGTCAGGCACGTGGTGGTGCTATCCCCGCCCGATCCCCAGCTCCCTGCCCTACCCTGGGCTCCTCCCCAATTTCCTTTAAAGTCCAGAAAATGCAGCCGGGCACGGTGGCTCACGCCTGTAATCCCAGCACTTTGGGAGGCCGAGGTGGACAGATCACAAGGTCAGGAGATCAAGACCATCCTGGCTAACACAGTGAAACCCCGTCTCTTCTAAAAAATACAAAAAATTAGCCGGGCGTGGTGGCGGGCGCCTGTAGTCCCAGCTACTCGGGAGGCTGAGGCAGGAGAATGGCGTGAACCCGTGAGGCGGCGCTTGCAGTGAGCCGAGATCACGCCACTGCGCTCCAGCCTGGGTGACAGAGCGAGACTCTGTCTCAAAAAATAAATAAATAAATGAAGTCCAGAAAATGGGGTGGAGAAAAAGAAGGGGAGATATGGACCCCCCACAGCCTCCTGCCCACATGCCCCTCATGGCACCAGGCCAGGCTGTGGGCCTCCTGCCCCTGCTGGGCACTGCCCATCGCCTGGCCCACACCTCTCCAGTCTCAGACTCCGCAGCTGCCCAGGGCTTGGCTGAGACATTCTCCAGCTATGCTGAGAAAGGCCAGGAACCCTTGCCTCTGACCCTGAAGCCACCACCCCTCAGTGGGGGTCGCCTGGGCATGGCCCGAGGCCCACCCACCTACACCCTGAGTGGCCACACATGTCCCACATGGACCCCCAGCCCAGAACAGACATGTGAACGCACAGACACGATACCACTCCCCGTGAGACCCCCACGGCCTCCTCCCTGAAGCAGGGGGGTCCCAGCACCCCTCAGGAGGTCGCCACCTGTGCCCTCCCTACCTTGCCGCACAGAGACGTAGCGGTGGTTGGCAGCCACCAGCACCACCTGTGGGTGACTCTCCTCCAGATCAAAGAGCTCATCCTTGCCAGGTCGCGTGTTTCGGCCGGCCTTGAGGGTGCCTGCGGGCCCCACGGGTGCCAGGTAGTGGCCGTCGCAGTCCTTGAAGGCCAGCTTGCCCGCCTTGAACTCCAGCGTGTAGCAGGCACGGGGCTCAGGCTCCCAGACCAGACGGCCGTCGCTGCGCAGGTAGCGGCTGTCACAGGACTTGAGGCAGTACCGTCGGCTCCGGAAGATGAGGGTGAGGAGGGCGTCCACGCCCCAGGGCTTGTCTCCGTCTGCGGCCATCTCGTCCTCCCGCGGGCACAGGTGCACGTAGCGCCGCCGGCTCACGCTCAGCAGGTGGGCCTGCGGGTGGATGGCCAGGTGCACGGTCCACAGCTCGGCCGGGGAAACGGCTGTGGCGAAGCAGGACAGCTGGTCCTCGGTGCCTCCGAAGAAGCGGCCGTGCGGCTCGGACCGCAGCACCCAGCGCCCATCTGGCTGCGGCAGGACCAGGAAGCGGCAGTCACGGCCCGGCTGCTCTGCCTCACAGGCCACGCGCCCGTCCTCTTCTGCCGACAGGTAGCGGCCCAGGTGGCTGCTGCGGAGCAGCACAGCCGTGCCTTGTCCTGGGTCGGGTTCCAGCACCCAGGTCTGCTTCCTCTTGAGGCTGGGTGCCGAGGCATTGACCTTGAAGCCGAAGCTCTCAGCTGTCAGGTAGCGGTCAGTGTCGTTGACGAGGCCAAACTGGATCTTCAGCACCTGGTGCAGGCCGTTCGTCGGCATCTTCAGGCTGGCCGGGTCCCCGGAGGGGCCTGGGATGCGCCCTCTGAGTGCTCACGGCCCCCGCGGTCCCCCAGAAGCCCGGGTCGGCTCGGCTGGCCCACAGCCCCCAGACCCAGCCGGCGTCACGAACCCCCTGCCTGCTCTGACCCGCCTCTGACCCGCGGCAGCAGCCTGGGCAGCTCTTAGAGGGCCCGCGGGCAGCAGAGGGCGGGCGGGGAGGGCGGATCAGAGACGTGCGGCTTAGGAGCAGCACCTTTCATTACCCTCAGCTTGGATTTCAGCCACTCCCGGATTGCACAGAGCCCAGAGCCCGAGGGCCTGAGGGCCTACGGGGCTGGAGGGCAGGGTTGATCCCCTTTTCCTCATAGCGTGGGCCCAGCGCCCCTCTTCACGGCCCTGCACCTTTTGGCCTCTCTCGTTCCTGCCCCCCTCCTCCAACCCCGTGTGGGCTCCCGGCCCGGCCCGGCCCAGCCCTTCCGGATGTAGAAGCCGTCCAGTGGAACGCTCACGGCTCGGCCGCAACCTGATCGCCGCCCGTACCCTCGGTGGCCGCCAGGCCCTCAGCTGGATCCAGTTACTGCTTCTCTGATTCCTGCTGCCAGAAGCATAGCAAGGACCCCAGCCACAACCTGCAGCCCAGGTCGCCTCCACCCCAGACCGGCCTCTGGCCACACTGCTCAGGCCCCAGAATGACGCACTGGACTGCCACCCACGCTGGAGGGTGGAACACAGTGGCCGTGCAGCCCTGCAGGCAGGGGGCAGAGTCAGAGGCCCTGGGCCAGGCTGGCCCGGCCCCAGCGCACTCCTGTGCGCTCTGAGCAAGTTGCTGGGCCCTGAGGCTGCCCCCTCCTCTGCTGTGAGCTGGAGTGAAGCCAGCCTCACTTCACTTTGGAGTCTTTACGGATGTGGATCCAGGAGGCTGGTGGGACGATGTCCACCCCATGCTCCCAGCGGTGGCCCTTGGAATCTGGGAGAGGATGAAGGCCAGCAGGCCGGGAGAGACTGGAAGTGGTCACACCTGTCTACAGCACCTCCTTGCTCTGGGCCACCTGGCTGTACCCCTTCCCCAGAGCCTGAGGGGCACTGGGCCCTGCTCACCGTGCCTGGCTCCTGCACCTGCCTCAGGGGCTTGGGGCCAAGTAGTGAAACCAGAGCTGGCCACCCTGGGCCAGGGCCAGCCCGGTGTCCTCTTCCTCATAACAGCGTGTGACCCTCCCGTCTCCCTGGGGACTGGGAACAGGGGCCACAGGCCCCTTCCGGTCATGGCCTGGAGTCACTCCCCTGTCCTCCTGGGCCCATCTCCTGAGTGGCCATCATGGGGGTCCCCGTAGGGCAGGAGTCTAGCCAAAAGCAAGGGGCCTGGGCTGGGCACCTGTGGGCTCCAGAGGTGGGCAGGGCCATGGTGGCAGAGTGTGCACAGACTCAGGGGCTCTTCCTCTGTCCTCTAAGCCCTGGACAGCAACCGTGCCAGGCACCTGCAGACACAGGGGAGGAAAAAGAGGAGACCTGTCCCCACTGTCCCCACGCTCAGGGGCCAGGGTGGGGGCAGAGAGACTCCCACATGCAAATACCCCCCAGGGCACAGCGTACGCCACGACGCCAGGGCCTGCTCTCGCCTCTCCCTGTGTGCTGGCCTCATCCGCCTCTATGATTCACACGCATTTATGAGGCACCAACTGTGTGCGAAACCAGGTCACGTGCCAGGCACCATCCTGGGGAGACGCAGTCTGGGGTTTCACCCCCTTCCCAGAGACGATGCCCACACACACTCTCCCACAGTTTCCAGGGGACTGAGGACACAGGCCTAGCACCGATGCCAGGGAACTGTCTCTGGTTTAGGGATACAAGCTAGGGTGCTGCCTGCACCTCACTTTCCCATTGGCTCTTCTTTTTAAAAAACTTTTTTCTTGAAATAGGGTCTCGCTCCTCACCCAAACTGGAGTCCAGTGGCGCAATCTTGGCTCACTGGAACCTTCGAGCTCAAGCAGTCCTCCTGCCTCAGCCTCCCAAGTAGCTGGGATTACAGGCACTTGCTACCGTGCCCGGCTAATGTTTGTATTTTTAGTAGAGATGGGGTTTCACCATGTTGCCCAGGCTGGTCTCGAACTCCTGACCTCAAGTGATCTGCCCGCCGCGGCCTCTGAAAGTGCTGGGATGATAGGCGTGGCCACTGCGCCCGGCCTCCCGTTGGATTTTGAGGGTACAGCTCGGTTGGTCCGTGAGCGGTGGGGGAAGCCGGAGGGGCAGCTGTGCCCATGGTCCCCCCCACCCCAGGCACAGACACTGGCTTCACCTCCACACCCCAACGCCCAGCCAGGCTGAGGAGGAGCCCAGGCGGCCTGCCCCTCTGATTGGCACGACGGCCTCATTAGCGCTGTCTGGGCTGGCAGGGCGCTTAGGCATCGGGTGCTCAGCAGGGGGAAGCCTGGCCGCCCGGCACTAAGTGGGCCTGGCTCTGGGCAGCCTCTTGGTGGCAGAGCCAGAAATGATGGCGGCTCCTCAGTTCTAGGGCCCCACAGCTCCACGTTGGGTGGGGCTGCCTGGCACTGACCCAGCTGTGTGAGCTAAACAGGGGAGGGTGACTGAAGGGTGGGCGCCTGGGCCAGGCTTCCTTGGAGGGAGGCCGTTTACAGGGATTCCAGCCCCTCCTGCCTCCACCTCAGGACCCCAGGCTGTTGCCCAGCCACCTGCTAGGATCGCTTCCTCTGGATTCTCAGCAAAATTTCTGGCACACAGCAGGTACTTAATAAGTGCCTGAGATTGTTGGATGTCGGGAGTCTGGTTATTATTAATTATTTTATTTTTTTCAGACAGAGTCTCACACTGTCACCCAGGCTGGAGTGCAATGGCACAATCTTGGCTCACTGCAACCTCTGCCTCCCAGGTTCATGTGATTCTCCTGCCTCGGCCTCCCGAGTTGCTGGGATTACAGGCGCCTGCCACCATACCCAGCTAATTTTTTTTGTATTTTTTAGTAGACACGGGGCTTCATTATGTTGGTCAGACTGGTCTCGAACTCCTGACCTTGTGATCTGGCCTCCTCAGCCTCTCAAAGTGCTGGGATTACAGCCGTGAACCACCAGGCACAGCCTTTTTTTTTTTTTTTGAGACAGAGTCTTGCTCTGTCGCCCAGGCTGGGGTGCAGTGGCGTGATCTCAGCTCACTGCAACCTCCACCTCCCAGGTTCAGGCGATTCTCCTGCCTCAGCCTCCCAAGTAGCTGGGACTACAGGCGCCCACCACCACGCCCCGCTAGTTTTTGTATTTTTAGTAGAGATGAGGTTTCACCATGTTGGCCAGCATGGTCTCAAACACCTGACCTCAGGTGATCCACCTGCCTCGGCCTCCCAAAGTGCTGGGATTACAGGCGTGAGCCACCGTGCCTGGCCGTCTGGTTCTTTTTATTTATCTTAGAGACAGGGTTTTGCTCTGTCACCCAGGCTGAACTGCAGTGGCGCTATCTTGGCCAGTGGCAGCCCCGAACTCCTGGGCTCCGGCGATCCTCCCACCTTGGCCTCCTGAGCAGCTGGGACCCCAGCACAGGGCCGGGTTCTTGTATGATGGGCTGAGCCTCTGCCCATGGGTGCAGCGTTGTGCATGTGTGTGAGTGTGGTGTGTGTGTGTGTGTGTGTGTGTGTGAAGGTGCTCATGGATGAGGGTGGGCAAAGGTTGCCAGAAGAGTCGCCTGCTGGGCCAACTCTGGACCCTGGGACTGTCATCCTGGATCCCAGCCTGAGAGCCTACTCAGGGCTGCCCAGCAGGGAGCCCAGGTTGTACACTGCCCAAGGGAGGCTATTTCCAGGGTCCCACTCATACTCCAGACATACACAACTCACAAGAGCATATGGTGGGCTGGGGCACTCTAGCCCCCTGCAGTGTTCTCAGGCAACAGGAAGCACCCCTCCCACTGACCCTCACCAAGCCCTGTGGCCACACCTCCGGAGGTGCCAACCAACCACTCACATGGGATACACACGTGCCTGCCACCCTGACCTGTGCAGGCTGCACTGTGGCGACATTCAAAGGCGCTGCCACACTGAGGGCTCCACGCCCCACCCTCGCCCACCTCTGAGGCTGGTGGAAGCCCCTGCCCAGTGTGTGCCTGAGGCCCAAGCTGAGGTCTGCACCTGGGAGGGGGTGCCTTGTCCCGGTGGGCAGTGAGAGGCTGTTTGGGGTAGCAGTACCCCCAGCCCCCTGGTCCAGGGAGCAGCCAGCTGTGACAGACTTCCTGGCCTCACCTGAGCCCAGAGGGCAAGGAATGCCTCAGCCATCAGAATCCCCTGGCAGCCTCCCGAGGCCTGAGCCTCGGCCTCCATCCCTCTCAGTGCGGGGCCAGCTGGGCAGGACCAGGAAGCCATGCGCCCCCACCGGCACCTGGTGTCCACCCTCAGGTTTCCCGAGAGCCCTTAGGAAATCGTTCCCTTTCTGAGGTGCTGGTGGACGGGCTGTCCTGGTGCTCCAGGGTCCCCCTTCCCCTCCCCGAGTTGGCCCGTCTGGTGCTCCAAGGGGAAGGACCCCAAGCCCCCCATGCCTAGACCACTGATCCTGGATGCTTGAGCCCAGCCTGGGCTCCTGCTGGCACGCTGTCTGCTGCCATGGTGACCGGCACGTGCTCCAGGCTGGATGCCCTGCAACGCTGATGCTGGTGGTGTGAGCTGGCACAGGCCTGCGTGTGTGCAGCTGGGGGAGAGGTGGCTCCTCGCCCTGCTGGACTGGAGCCCTGAAAACTGGGAAATGGAGCCCTGGGGCCACCCCGCGGCTGAGGACCACGCCTTTCACAGGCCAGCAGTGCCTGCAGCCCTCCCTGCAGGCATCGGAGGAGCCCCCACCTCAGTGCCAGGCCCTGACCGCTGCCACTCCTGTTGGCATCCCTGTCTCCAGTGATTCCCAGGTACTCCACCCTCCCCCTTGTCCCCGTGCCAAGCCCCTGCCTAGGCTCTGTTGTCCCCTTGGCCCTGCAGCCAGGTGAGGGCCACCCTGCTGGGCACACCGGGCCTTGATGTCCTCACTCCTGGCCCAGCACCTACTCCCAGGGGCCCAGCCCCGGGTGTTATTCCTGAGCACAGACCTGCAGCCTGGCGACCTCATGATTTTTTCATGGCTGAGCTATCGGCTCCGCTGCAGTTCCACTTACACGGGCGAGGGGGCCGCACTTCTCTTTCTCTGGCCTGGGTTGGTTTACTGAGGCCAGGTTTAGGGTGACAGGCTCCATCGGCAAGGCAGGGGGCAGGGCAGGGTTGGAATGAAGAGCTTGGGGAGGGGCTCTCCAGCGTGGCTGCCTGCCTGCTCCGAGAATCCCCCTCCCCTCCCTGCCCCTCCCCGAAAGCAGCTTCCCGAACTGCAGTTGGGGTTCACGGCTGGCTGCTCCGGAGCCTCGCCTTGGAACTCTCAGGGCAGACAGCCCACACAGTCTGCTGGCTTTTGTCTTCTGTGAAATCATAAGGTGCTGGTGGGGGGCTGTGCCTGGAAGGGGAGGGGAGGAAGAGGGCTCTAGGCCTTGCCAGAAAACTCTGGACCCCAGCAAGGACAAAAGTCCCCAAAGGGACCCCGAGGGCAGAAGCGAAGGTGTCTGGACAAGCCCAGATGCCTCACAACCACTGGGGCGATGGAGCCTCCAACCCCTGAGCCCCAGGACCTTTGCACATGCAGGGGACAGGAGGAGAGTGTTCATGAAAATCCCATGAGCCCCTGGCTGCTTGGGGCTTAGAGTGACGAACAGATCAACTTTCAGAGAAGAGATGGCTGTCTACAGCCCAGCTGGACTTACACACAGGGGCACACCACAGACATGGACACCTGGCGTGAACGAGCCCACAGGTCTGCAGGTGGCGGCCTCTGCCCAGCCCCTGCGAACCTGCATCTACACACACACACAGGTGTACATACGCCCTGCCCACGTGTAATGCCACGTCCACCCGCAAGTTCAGTCACGTAAGAACCAACCATCACAGGCACTTAGGGAGTGCCAGGTGTGCCAGGAACCGTGCTGGGGAAAGGAAAGGAATTAACTCTACCTCTGACTTCTGGGACAAAACAGAAACGGACCATTTATCACTCTACGGTGAGAAGGGCTCTGCACATGGTCACCATCGTGGTGTCACCCAGCTCCCTTGGGGACAACGCCACGCCACTCAGCTCCATGCATTCAAGTTGGTCTGCTTTCTAAAAAAGTCTCATTGCCTATAGTTAATGAAATGGTGCAGAGAACAAGAGAGGCCTTGGGAATTAAAAGTATGATAGTTTGGCCGGGCTGTAATTCAAGCACTTTTGGAGGCCGAGGCAGGCGGATCACGAGGTCAGGAGTTCGAGACCAGCCTGCCCAACATGGTGAAACTGCATTTCTACTAAAAATACAACAAATAGCTGGGTGTGGTGGTCCACGCCTGTAATCCCAGCTACTCAGGAGACTGAGGCAGGAGAATTGCTTGAACCCAGGAGACGGAGGTTGCAGTGAGCCGAGATCGTGCCACTCTACTCCAGCCTGGGCAACAGAGTGCAGAGTGAGACTCCGTTTCAAAAAAAAAAGTTTATGACAACAAAACGTTATAACGTGATTTTGGATTAGATGAGGAAAACACACTACGGAGGACATTTCTGGGACAAGTGTCATTACCGAAGTTGTATGATCCACGCCATCATTGCCTGTCAATTGGATAAACAGTGTGATACTGATGTTGCCTGATTTTGATCACTGTTCTGTGGTTATAGAAGAAAACATCCTTGTTCTTAGGAAACACACCCTAAAATAGTAAGGGCATCATGCCTGAAACCTGCTTCCAAAGGGCTCAGAAATAGAAGGAGAATGATAAGCAAATGTGTCAAGATGTTTAAAACGAGGTAAGTTTGAAATTTCAAAACAAAGGCTGGGTGTGGTGGCTCACATTTGTAATCCCAGCATTTTGGGAGGCCAAGTCGGGTGGACTGCTGGAACCCAGGAGTTCAAGACCAGCTTGGGTAACATGGCAAAACCCTATTTCTACTACAAATACAAACATTAGCCAGGCATGGTGGCATACACCTGTAGTCCTGGCTGCTGGGGGATGGAGAGGGCTGAGGTGGGAAGTTTGCTTGAGCCTGGGAGGTCGAGGTTACAGTGAACTGAGATGGCACCAATGCACTCTAACCTGGATGACAGAATAAGACCTTGTCTCAAAAAAAAAAAAAAAAAAGCTGGGCTTGGCTTATGCCTGTAATCCCAGGACTCTGGGAGGCCAAGGCGGGTGGATCACCTGAGGTCGGGAGTTTGAGACCAGCCTGACCAACATGGAGAAACCCTGTCTCTACTAAAGATACAAAAATTAGCCAGGCGTGGTGGCACATGCCTGTAATCCCAGCTACTAGGGAGGCTGAGGCAGGAGAATCGCTTGAACCTGGGAGGGAGAGGTTGCGGTGGGCCAAGATCGCACCATTGCACTCCAGCCTGGGCAACAAGAGTGAAACTCTGTCTCAAAAAAAGAAAAAAAAATTTCAAAACCAAAAGGTTAAAAACTATAATAAATAAAATGAAAAACTCCGCTGAAGGGTTAGAAGTCAAGGAAATATCCCAGAAGGTTTAAAAAAGTAGACAGAAGAAAAAAACTAGAATATTAGAGAATAAATCCAGAAGGTATAATGCCCAATTAACAGAAATCCCAAAACAGAAGAACAGAAAACAAAAGAAAGAAATTGTAAAAGAAATAATACAAGCAAATTAGCAAGAACAGGGCCTAGGAAGTAGCCAAGATAATGAATGCAAAAGCATCACCAGGGACATGAAGCAGTTTTAGATCAGCAAGGAAAAGCCTGAAGGCTCTTAGAGAAACACAACACCTGGACTCTGGATCAGGAATCCAGTGACATTCATTTCTCATCAGCAGCAGTGCCAGCAAGAGACAGGGACTAAGCGTTCAAAATCCCAGGCCAGTTCTCAACTTGAAATTCCATCTCTCACCAAACTGCCAGTTCCAGGGGTGTGAGCTCAAGGCACTTGCCGATACGCAAACTCAACACTGACTCGGGGGCTCACCTTCCCAGCTTGGTGACGCCCCCAAAGGATGCCTTGTCCTAAGGACTGGAGGAAATGGGGCTTGTCAAGGTGCTGGGCACAGTTAACCTTCAAGAGAGCCCAAGGTGTGTGTGGGTGGGGGCCAGGCATAGGGGGCTCCCCAGGGTGATTCCCTCCCACAGACCAAGTGGACACATGGGTTGGGCCAACCATGATCCTTCCCTGGGCATGGTGTGACCCCAGCTCGGGCCTCTCCACCTTCAGGGTCACCTCCTGAGTGTGTTCTCCCCCCACCCCTCCCCTAGGCCTTCCTGTGTCCCCACGGCCCCAGGAGGAAGTGTGACCGCCCTGGTGTGGCACTGGACATCCCCTGTCCGGCAGTGCCCCCTCTGACTTTCCCGGAGCCAGCCCAGCCGCAAACAACCTGGCCCCTTGGGACACAGGTCTGGGGCGGCCCCTGCCACGGCCTGGCCCAGCCCTGGGAAGGCCGGAGAAGCCTCTGTCCCCAGCAGGTGTATGTAGTGAGATCTCTGAGTCCCACCCCTCCAGCCCTGGAGCCACCTTTTCCTGCTGGGTTGCCTCGATCCAGCCTCTCAGCCCCTTCCTTTCCTTTTCTGGGAGCTGGTGCTTAGCAGGGGCCATCTGCTAGGGGAGCAGAGTGCGGGAAAAACGCCCCGCACCCAGGGCCAGGGTCCTCGTGTTGGGGTCCTCTGTGGGTGCCTCCTGTCCTCGGTCGCAGGAGGGACCCCGGACATCTAGCGTGGGCAGTGAGTGGAGGCCCGGGCCACCCCCTCATCCACTGCCACGGGTGACCCCATCCCACTTTTCCGCGTCAGCCCTGACTGAGGTCACCGGCCCCTCCCCAGGCAGCCCTGCCTCTGTCACCGTCCGGTGTGCGGCCGTGACTCAGCGACCGGCCCCGCCCAGTGGCGGAGGGAGGAGCGGGGGTCCCTCCTGGCGCTCCTGGGCAGGCGCGGGCTCCGGCAGCGCGACAGGTGCGGCCTCGCGGCGATAGCGGCACCCACCTGGCGGCCCAGGTGGGAACGACAGCGGCCCGCCATTCCCGGCCTTCTCGCGGGACCCACTCCACGGGCGCCATCTCCCGGCCCCAGGCCTCCGAGCTCGTGGTCCTGGGGGTGCGTCCCCGCTGCCAGACAGTGCTCGGCGGGGGAAGTGCGTGCTGAGTGCGGGTCCTGGGCCCACCCGAAGCCCCGGTGCCGCGTCCCGGGGGGAGTGCGCGGAGCTGAGGCCCAGGCCCGCGCCCTGCGTGCACCTGGCGGTCAGGAGAGGTCGACTGCGTGGGGAGGGGGCGCAGGAGCGCGGGCCGGCGGGCTGGGAGCTGCAAGGAGCGCGCGACCACGTGCAGCCGGGCTGGACCGCCGCGACCCCGCACCAAGTTAGGGCGTGCAGCCCTGGGCCCTGCCTGAGAAACATCCCGGGGCTCACCTTGCCCGAATGCAGACCAGCTCAAGTCCCAGCTTCCCGGCCTGGGACGGGCGGGGCGGCGAGGCACAGCCGGTCTCCCAGCCACGCCCGCCCTGCTGTGCCCGCCCCCGCGGCGCGCTGGGGAAGGATGGCGTGGCTAAGACTCGGGTACCCTGACAGAGTCCGGGCTTGACCCCCGGCACCCTCCATTCTCCGCAGACAAGAGGCAGCCCTTAGGACACAGCGCCCAGAGCAGTAACCTCTTGCCCTTGTCCCGCCCTGACCCGCTTCCCCTTTTCCGCGTGGCGCCAGCCGTCCCTCGAGTGGAGACACCTGGAGAGGCCCTGACCTAGTCGCTCTGCAGAGCTGCTTGGGCGAGCTGCTGGCCAGAGCAGGAGGGGCGGGACGGGTTAAACAGGCTTTCCCTACCTCGGTGCCCCGCGCACACTGGACAAGACATCTGCTCCCCGGCCTGCTGCCGCGGGGAGAGCTGGAGGAGCTGACCAGCTAGCGGGCAGGAGAGGGTCCGTGCGGAGAGTCAGCGAAAACGACTCCCCTCCCTCCCAGCCCTAGAGTTATAGCCCCTTCCACGTTTTTGAGATAGGAGGCAGCTGCGAATCGGCCTAGCCTTCCTCTGCGCTCCCTCCTCCAGGGCTGGGAACTCCTCCCTCTCTATTCCACCCCTACTTGGGCTTCCTGCACGAGCAGCTGCTGGGCAGGTGCTATGCCAGGTACAGGGGCTATGCCAGGTACAGGGGCTATGCCAGGTACAGGGGCACCAGCTTCACTGTGGAGGACAAGGATGCTGTGCCCCAAGAACCAATGCTCTAGGGCAGAGAGTGGGTGAAAGAAGCTAATAATCAATAGGAGTTGATGGGAGGTCGTGGGTGGCATGGGGGCATGCCAGGAGGAGGCAGCCAGTGGGACAGCTTTGGGGGCAAAGGAACAGCCAGACGGTGGTCAGGGCGCTGAAGGAGTGGAGGGACAGGCAGCGCCCACTCTGTGGGCCTCCAGCACCAGGGGAAGGGGCTTAGATTCTACCCCGAGGCAGCAGGTAGCCTTGGGAGCAGCGGGGATTTGAAACATGGGGATTCATTGCGGAAGCCGAGGCCCTGGGGTGGGAAGGGTTGCAGGACGCGCACTGCCAGGGAGCAGGCATGGCCACATGAGGCAGGCTGTGGCCTGGGACGGTGGTTTCTGGCTTTAGCCCTGTGAAGAGGGTGGGGGCTCCTCGGTTTCATCTCCGTTTCTGGCTCCTCCCCTGCAATCTGTGACCGCAGCTAAGAACCACCCTGAGGGGAAACACAAACTTCAGGCCTCGCTGCCTCTGGGGAGGAAGGAGTGGGACTGGAGGGGGGGGGGGCGGCCGGAGCTCCTGGGGTGGGGTCCACAATGGCCAGGTGGAGAGCAGACCCTCCCCACTCCGTGCGGCTCTGGGAGGCCACAGGGGAATGAGGCCTGGGGAAAGGAGCCTTCTTCTCGGGCCCAGTGGAGGGTCACAAACGGGCCTGGGGCTATGCCCTTGGGAACAGAGGGAGGAGCAGGCACCCTGGTCTCAGGTCTCACACACGACACACAGAGGCACTGAGCACGTCTTACTCATCACCGAAAACTGAGCCCCTGGGTGTCAGGCAAGACGCCTGGGGGGTTTGCTGGGCCACCTGACGGCCTCCTGTCCCCAGACTTCCTGTCCACACGGGAGGGCAAGCAGCCTCAGAGCCCCTGATGGGCCACACATCTCACATCGCAGAGCCCTCTCCTCTTTTTTGACAGGAACTGGGGTACAGAGAGGTCACGTGGCAGGCACAGGGCTGAGCCGGGCCCAGAACCCAGGTGTCCGACTCCCAGCTCAGGGCTCTTCCAGGGGCCTCCTTGGTTCCTGCTCACAGCGGGGATGGGGAGCCTCAGGTAAACTGCAACAGGGATCCTGTCTCCAGAAGGCCTGGAGCAGCGGGGGTGGGGCGGGGCAGGGGAGTGGGGTTGAGGGACTCTCGGCCTGAGTGTCTGTGTGCATTCAAGCCCCTAACCCTCGTGTAGAGTGCCCACACCGCCCTCCAGAACCTTCTGACCTCCCAGAATGTGACCTTGTTTCTGGCTAATTACCCTGACCCAGGAGACTGCCTCAGTTTCCCTCCCTGTGAAAACTCCACAGTCTGGGACTCTCCTCCAGTGGTGAGAATTGGACAAAACATGCAGAGACCTGGTCTGGGGACCAGGTGAGAATTGGACAAAACATGCAGAGACCTGGTCTGGGGACCAGGTGAGAATTGGACAACACATGCAGAGACCTGGTCCTGGGACCAAACAAGCAGCACCTGGCCACTCACAGCCAGCTGCCCAGTGACTCCGCAGGGGTGGGGTGGGGGGCAGCCAGCTGAGCCTTCTGAGCTTCAGTCTGCGCAGTGGGGCAGGAGAACCAAGCCCCAAGCTGGGCACCAGCCAGGAGACAGAAGTGTGGGACCCTGGCCTTGTCCCTTGAGCCAAAACTCAGAGGCAGCCAGGCCGAGTTGCAGGAAACCAGCCTTGCCCACCGGGACCAGCCTTGGGACCACTGTTCCTGAAGAGGCAGAGCCCACTCCAGACCTGCCCAAGGGAGCCAGCCAGGCCCTGGAAAGAGCTTCAGGAAACAGGGCCATCACCTTGCATTTCATCTGTCCAAAAGGGTGTGGGAGAAGAGGGAGGTGGGCTGAGAGTAGGGAAGCTTTGCTTGCCTTGGATTCAAGTTAGCTTTTTATTATGGGAGAACTTTAAACTTACAGAAAAGTTGCAAAGACAGTGGGAAGGTTTCCCAATGCTCTATTCCCAGTGTCCCCTAACCTGGCATCTTACACGGTCATGGGACAACTGCCATAACTGAGAGATTAACCTTGATACTTACGGCCAAACTCAAGGCTGTGGGCTTTGCTAGTTCTTCCACCACTGTTCCTTTTTCTGTTCAGGGTCCATCGTTTCATTTAGTGGTGGAAGATGAGACACTCCAGGCTGGGTGAGGTGGCTCACGCCTGTAATCCCAGCACTTTGGAAGGCCTAGGCGAGTGGATCACTTAAGGTCAGGAGTTCAGGCCAGCCTGGCCAACATGGTGAAACCCTGTCTCCACCAAAAATGCAAAAATTAGCCAGGCATGGTGGTGCACGCCTGTAGTCTCAGCTACTCGGGAGGCTAAGGCCCGAGAATCGCTTGAACCCCGGAGACAGAGGTTGCAGCGAGCCAAGATCGCGCCACTGCGCTCCAGCCTGGGCGACAATGAGACTGTCTCAAAAATACAATAAAATAAAATATAAAGAAAAAGTAGACATTCCAGGCAGGTAGAGTGACAGAGGCAAAGGCTAGGGGTGGGGACCCATGCCCACGCCCCCATGTCTGTCTGACAAGTAGCCGGCCAGGTGGTTGGCGGTGGGGACTGGGGGGCCCTGTCAACTGGTGTGGAGGTGACCCAGAGTCCGGGGGCTGATCCGGTGCAGAGGGAGGAACAGGGCAAGGAGCTGGAGGTGGGGCAGTGCAGGCCGTGGAGGGCGCAGGCCCTGGGTTAAGCCTCAGCTCTGCCATACCTCCCTGGGCCACTGTTGTCGTATCCACTAAATGGGCCGAAACTAAAATAAGACATAACAAGGTCATGATAAAAAGCCATCAAAACCAGCACTGAACTAGAAAAGAAAAATCACATCGCTTCTCCAGGCCCCAAGTCTCCCTTCCTGAAATGTGAAGGACACACCCACCTCTGGCGGAAGTGCAGCTGCCGACTCTCCCGGCTCCGGAGGCCGCCCAGCTACCCCCAGCTCCATCCATGCGGTCCCCTCCCCAGGCCCAGCTGCCCGGCCCTCTCCGGCACTGGTTCCAGAAGGGTGGCGGCTGCCCTGCGCCACTGGCTTCCCAGAGCATATCCAGGACAGGCCCCGCGCGACCTTGGGCGAGGCCCCGCTGCTAAACAGAAAAATCACAGCGCGCGGTCCAGCCCCCTGCGCCCCGCGGGCTCCAGGCCTCGCCCTGCCCGCCCGCCCGCATCCCAGGGACAGGCAGACCCGCATCCCCGCCGCCGTCGGTCCCGGGACTCCCCAGGCTCCGAGGCCCCCCACGCCCGGCTCCCGCCCCGACCCCTCGGAGGCGCCGGGCCACTCCTACGCCCCGAGGCTGCCCGGCCGCCGCCCCTCTGTCCCGCGCGCCAATCGGCGGCCTCCTTGACTAAATAAGGCCAGGAGCGCCGGGCGGGCGCCCCCCGTCCGTTACTTCCGCCCCCCGCCCGCCGTGACTCAGGCCCGGCGGCGGGCGGGGATGGCGCTGCCCCGGGCCGGGCTTCCCGGCGGAGGCGGGCGGGGCTCCGGCGGCGCCGAAGTCGCCAAATATGGCCGCGCCACCGCCCCCCGCCGCGTACCTGGGCCACACCTTGACCCCTGCCGCGTGACGCGGCCGCGGAGGAGGAAGTCGCTCTCCACCCCCGGCCCGCGGCGGCGTCCCCTCCCCGCCCCTCCCCGCGGCTCAGGCCCTGCGGGTGGCGGGGAACCCGGGGGTCTCGAGGCGCCAGCCTCGCCCCCGCCCCCACGACCCTGGCGGCCTCGGGTCCGCAACGTGGGGAAGAAAGGTGGGGGACGGGGACGCGCGCCCGGGGCCGGCACCTCCCCGCACTTCCTAGACAAAGAAGCTTCGGAGGAGACCAGAGACCCGGAGGGGCAGGGTCCCCGGCCGGCCCGGAGCAGAACGTAGTGTGGGGTGAACGCAGGATGGAGGGGCTTGTGGCTATTCCCCACCCGCCTCGTGTCCCTCGGTGTGTGACGTCGCATCTTGGGACCCCCCAAGTGGAAGTCCTCACCCGGGGGTCGAGCAGGCTGTGTGGTTCTGCCCAGGGACGCGAGTCCGGGTGGGTCTGTTGGAGGCCCAGCCCCGGCTTCGCCACGGGAGGGAACATACCTGACAGCCTTGCCCGGGCCCCCGGAGATTCTGGGCCTGGGGGCGCTCAGCACCCCTGGGAGGCCTGGGGCACGGGGGCCTTAGGCACGGGTCTCGGCGTCCGGGCTGACTGCAGCCCGCAGGTGAGCTGGGCCGGCCGCCTTGCCCTGACTCGCTGTTGTCACTCCCAAACACGGGGTCGCGAGCTAACGTTGCAGGGCCCCGGACTCCGCGTGGGGACCCCGGCCCCGCCCCCCAGCCTGTCGAGTCAATCTGAACGCTCTGCGACCTCGGGCGAGTCCGTCCCCTCACTGCGCGGCCTCACTGCCACCCCTACGCGGCCGGCGCTCCAACCCTGAAAATTCCAGCAGCGCACAAGGAAACCGTAGTGCCGGGCGCCTCTCGGGGTGTAACCAAAGCACCGGCGCCGCTCCTGGCGAGGAGTGAGCGCCCTGGACAAGCCTGTGGCTAAACCCACGCCAGCCCTGATCGCTGCTCTTAACTAGCATCGTAAACAGAAGAGGGTATCCCCCCGACCGCCCGAAGCTGGGGAGCCGACCTTCAAAAAAGTCAGGGCTCCCATTGTCTACCTCAGTTTCCCTATAATGTCTACAGGTGACCAGAATGAAACAAAGGCCTCACTCCACACCACCTTCTCAGCACATAAGGGGGCGGGGTAGCCCCAACCCGGAGCGCGCGCCTGGGGACAATCAGGCCTGTGATTTGAGGGGCAGGGATGTGTCGGGTCGGGTAGAAAGGGGCCTCGGTCTTCAAACGAACGGAGATCCGGGGCAGGGCGCCCCGTGGAGGGACCTGCATGGTGGTGGCTGCGCTTGGGGACGGGCGGGCTGTTTCCTATGGTGACCGGGGCGAGGTGAGGGCTCCTGAGAGCTCCCCCGCGCCCAGGGACGCAGAGCGTCGCGGACCCCCGCCGCGCCCCTTCCTCAGCCCGGCACTGGCGCCCGAGATCCTCGTGGAGCCCGAGGGGAAAGATTGCAAGGGACGTCCCAGGGAGCAAAGCCCCGCAGCGTGGCCGGGGACTCGGGGACCCACCCCAGCTCCGGCGCGGCCCCGCCCCGGGTCAGGCAGTTTCGGGGCGCAGCAGGGCCCTCCCCACGGCGCGGCAGTCCCGGGGAGGGGCCAGGCCCGTCAGCCCTTCGGCCCTCCCGGCGACCCTCGGAGGGCGCCCCAACTCAGACCCGCCCGCCGGCCCGCGCAGGGTCGCGAGCGCGCGGGGGTGGCGCGGGCGGGGCCGTTGGGAGGCGGTGCGGGCTGGGGGCGGGGCGGGCCGGGGCCCCACGTGTCCCTGCCCGGCGGGCCAATGGGTGCCCGGCTTTCGGAAAGATCGCCATATATGGACATGTTCTGGGGCCGCGCGCGCCGCCGGGCCGCGCGGGCGCGCCGCTTCCGCTTAAATAACGGCGGGGGAGGCCGCGGTCGGTCTCAGTCGCCGCTGCCAGCTCTCGCACTCTGTTCTTCCGCCGCTCCGCCGTCGCGTTTCTCTGCCGGTGAGCGCCCCGCCCCGGGGCCTGAGCTGGACGTCGCAGGCCTGCGCCCCCCGACCCCGGCTGGCCCCGCTTCCAGCTGCCGAGGCCTCGTCGCGCCTTCCCCGGGAACAAAAGGCGGGGTGGGCCGGGTCAGGCGGACGGGGCTGGGGGGGCGCCGGGGGTCCAGGGCGGGGCCCGGCCGCAGTGCAGACTTCCGAGCCGTGGACGTTACGTAAAAGGCCCGGCCTTCGGTTCCAGGCGGTTGCGATCTTGGAGGCCACGGCCGCTGGGGTTGGGGCAGGGCCGAGGCTTCCCCGCGGGAGGGCATTAGGTGGCTGTGGGGAGGGGACCGTGTTACAGACGCGCCCGCCTGAGTCCATCCTTTTCCGGGCAGGTCGCAATGGAAGAAGAGATCGCCGCGCTGGTCATTGACAATGGCTCCGGCATGTGCAAAGCTGGTTTTGCTGGGGACGACGCTCCCCGAGCCGTGTTTCCTTCCATCGTCGGGCGCCCCAGACACCAGGTGAGTGGATGGCGCCGCGGGGCTCCTGGGTTCTGCGTTGCGGGGTGGGTTCGGTGTCGCCGGCGAGGCTGACGGGTCGTCCCCTGCAGGGCGTCATGGTGGGCATGGGCCAGAAGGACTCCTACGTGGGCGACGAGGCCCAGAGCAAGCGTGGCATCCTGACCCTGAAGTACCCCATTGAGCATGGCATCGTCACCAACTGGGACGACATGGAGAAGATCTGGCACCACACCTTCTACAACGAGCTGCGCGTGGCCCCGGAGGAGCACCCAGTGCTGCTGACCGAGGCCCCCCTGAACCCCAAGGCCAACAGAGAGAAGATGACTCAGGTGAGGCTCGGCCGACGCCCGTGCTCCTCCCGTCCTTTCCCCAGTCATTTTCTGCCCGGCTTGATTTCTGACATTTAAGTGTTTCTTTCGCTGTTCCAGGCTCTGTTCCTCTCCCGGCATTTCCTCCCTGAAGCCTCCAGGTTTCTCATTTGGTTTCTGCCTGCGTTCTTTTCTTTTCTCCACACATCACACTGGCATGCAGCATGTTGTGGCGTGTGAGCATGGGGTGGCCGTGGGTCTCTGTCCCTGACTAAGCCGCCCCTTGTCCCTTCTCAGATTATGTTTGAGACCTTCAACACCCCGGCCATGTACGTGGCCATCCAGGCCGTGCTGTCCCTCTACGCCTCTGGGCGCACCACTGGCATTGTCATGGACTCTGGAGACGGGGTCACCCACACGGTGCCCATCTACGAGGGCTACGCCCTCCCCCACGCCATCCTGCGTCTGGACCTGGCTGGCCGGGACCTGACCGACTACCTCATGAAGATCCTCACTGAGCGAGGCTACAGCTTCACCACCACGGCCGAGCGGGAAATCGTGCGCGACATCAAGGAGAAGCTGTGCTACGTCGCCCTGGACTTCGAGCAGGAGATGGCCACCGCCGCATCCTCCTCTTCTCTGGAGAAGAGCTACGAGCTGCCCGATGGCCAGGTCATCACCATTGGCAATGAGCGGTTCCGGTGTCCGGAGGCGCTGTTCCAGCCTTCCTTCCTGGGTAGGTGTTGTGAGCTAAAGGTTTCTACTCTTACATCCTCGGTGACACAGCATCACTAAGGGAGGGCTCTGTCCCCTAGGTATGGAATCTTGCGGCATCCACGAGACCACCTTCAACTCCATCATGAAGTGTGACGTGGACATCCGCAAAGACCTGTACGCCAACACGGTGCTGTCGGGCGGCACCACCATGTACCCGGGCATTGCCGACAGGATGCAGAAGGAGATCACCGCCCTGGCGCCCAGCACCATGAAGATCAAGGTGAGTCGAGGGGTTGGTGGCCCTCTGCCTGGCTCGGGAGAGCTGACTGGGGGGCGCTCTGTGAGCTGAAGCCGTGCCTGGCTGTCTTTGCAGATCATCGCACCCCCAGAGCGCAAGTACTCGGTGTGGATCGGTGGCTCCATCCTGGCCTCACTGTCCACCTTCCAGCAGATGTGGATTAGCAAGCAGGAGTACGACGAGTCGGGCCCCTCCATCGTCCACCGCAAATGCTTCTAAACGGACTCAGCAGATGCGTAGCATTTGCTGCATGGGTTAATTGAGAATAGAAATTTGCCCCTGGCAAATGCACACACCTCATGCTAGCCTCACGAAACTGGAATAAGCCTTCGAAAAGAAATTGTCCTTGAAGCTTGTATCTGATATCAGCACTGGATTGTAGAACTTGTTGCTGATTTTGACCTTGTATTGAAGTTAACTGTTCCCCTTGGTATTTGTTTAATACCCTGTACATATCTTTGAGTTCAACCTTTAGTACGTGTGGCTTGGTCACTTCGTGGCTAAGGTAAGAACGTGCTTGTGGAAGACAAGTCTGTGGCTTGGTGAGTCTGTGTGGCCAGCAGCCTCTGATCTGTGCAGGGTATTAACGTGTCAGGGCTGAGTGTTCTGGGATTTCTCTAGAGGCTGGCAAGAACCAGTTGTTTTGTCTTGCGGGTCTGTCAGGGTTGGAAAGTCCAAGCCGTAGGACCCAGTTTCCTTTCTTAGCTGATGTCTTTGGCCAGAACACCGTGGGCTGTTACTTGCTTTGAGTTGGAAGCGGTTTGCATTTACGCCTGTAAATGTATTCATTCTTAATTTATGTAAGGTTTTTTTTGTACGCAATTCTCGATTCTTTGAAGAGATGACAACAAATTTTGGTTTTCTACTGTTATGTGAGAACATTAGGCCCCAGCAACACGTCATTGTGTAAGGAAAAATAAAAGTGCTGCCGTAACCAATGAATGGCTCCTGTTTGGGGAAGTAGCAAGTGGGCTGGGAAAGACAGACCAACCTGGAAGTATTGGGTAGTCTTGGGGGTGGGGGCGGTGGGTGCTGCTCAGCTTGGCTTCGTGGGCTGGTGAGAAAACGGCTTAACAATAAACTGAGCAGTTCGATTTCTTCCAAATCGAAAGTGCAAGAACAAGGCAGCCTAGTGGGTTTGGGTGTTGGAGATAACTGAAGCAACATCATAAGCAGGCTGGGAGGGAAGTCCTGAGACGGCTTTTTCCATTATTTAGGAAAAACTAGATGACTTGACATCTTGGGTAAATATTTGGCATAAAATAACCACCTGAATCAGCAGGGGCCTGCCTTAGTTTCCCCCCAGCCCTCAGGTGGACGTGTGATATGAGATAGTTTTACTTTGTGTAAAGAGCGCAGCAGTCATGGAGTTGGCTAGTTACTGAATCCTGGAACTCAGTATCTACCAATAACGAGGGCCTCACCTGGTGTAAGAGGCTCAGCCAGTGCCCTTTGTACTTCAGCTTTTCTCCCCGCAGGTGCCAGGGGAGAGCCTCTGTAGATGGGATTGGGAGTCCAATGCATAGCTCCTCTGAACTGCTTACAGCTGCAGAAGTCATTTGGAGGTTGGGACAGGGAAGGAAGATCTCTACCAGTTGAAAAGAGATTTGGAACTATTTCATGTTAAGTCGGGTCAAGGGATCGTTCTGCTGTTGGAAGAGATTTTACTCAAGCAGAGGTGGTGGTGCTTCCTAGCTCCCCCTCCCATATGGGGATGGGGGAGAGGAGGCTCAAGCTTGGTGGGGGTCGGGGTGGAGGCAAACATAAATTGCAGAGAGCTTACTGAGCTCCAGGCTCCCACCCTACCTTGTTCTGTGACCTCACATCACAGCATGACTCTTCTCAGCGACTCTGATACCTGCAAAAGATAGAAATTCTCTTTGTCCTGTGAAGCATTGCACTTACAGGACAAACTGTGAGATGCTCATGGACACTGGGCATCAGCAAATGCACATTAAAACAAATTAGATGCCAGTTTGTGGCTATCAGATGAGCAGAAATCAGGAGATGGGTAGTTCTGAGCACTGGCCAGGGCATGGGGACCAGGGACAGTCACGCACTCTCGAAGCGTTGAAAGCTGCAGCTCTTCCGGAACTGCCCAGTGCAGGTTCCCTGGGCAACTTGGCAAGACCTTGTCTCTACAAATTTTTTTTTTTGAAACGCAGTTTCCCTCTGTTGCCCAAGCTGGAGTCCAATGGTGTGATCTTGGCTCACACCACAACCTCCGCCTCCTGGGTTCAAGCGATTGTCTTGCCTCAGCCTCCCGAGTAGCTGGGATTACAGGCATGCGCCACCACACCTAGCTAATTTTGTATTTTTAGTAGAGGCGGGGTTTCTCCATGTTGCTCGGGCTGATCTTGAACTCCCAACCGCAGGTGATTTGCTTGCCTTGGCCTCCCAAAGTGCTGGGATTACAGACGTGAGCCACCGCACCCAGCCAATTTTTTTTTTTTTTTTTTTGACATGGGGTCTTGCTCTGTCACCTAGGCTGGAGTGCAGTGGTGTGATCTCAGCTCACTGCAAGCTCCACCTCCCGGGTTCATGCCATTCTCCTGCCTCAGCCTCCCCAGCAGCTGGTACTACAAGTGCCCACCACCACACCTAGCTAATCTTTTCATATTTTTTAGTAGAGACGGGGTTTCACCGTGTTAGCCAGGATGGTCTCAATCTCCTGACCTCGTGATCTGCCCGCCTCAGCCTCCCAAGGTGCTGGGATTACATGTGTGAGCCAGCATGCCTGGCCCCAATTTTTTTTTTATTAGCTGAGCATGGTGGTGGCCTGCCTGTGGTCCCAGCTACTCAGGAGGCTGAGGAGAAAGGATCTCTTGATAGGAGTTTGAGGTTTGAGACTGCAGTGAGCTGTGATTGAGCCACTGCACTCTAGTCTGGGTGACACAGTGAGACCCTATCTCAAAAACAAACAAAAAAACCCCAAACCCCACAAAATTATGTCTGATAAGGATCTAGTATCCACAATATGTAAAGAACGCCTACAAATCAACAACAAAAAGAACCCAATTTAAAAATGAGCAAAGGACTTTATTTTCTCCCAAGCAGATATACACATGGCCAACCGGGAGATGAAAAAGATACTCAACATCATCAGGGGATCATTAGGGAAGTGCAAATCAAAATAACAGTGAGATATCACTTCACATCCAGTAGGATGGCCACAAAAAATAAAAAAAAAAAAAAAGGAAAATAGTGACAGTGAGGGCATGATGGCTCACACCTGTAATCCCAACACTTTGGGAGCCTTAGGCAGGCAGATCGCTTGAGCCCAGGAGTCCAAAACCAGCCTGGGCAACATGGCAAAATCCCACAACAAAAGATACAAAAAATTAGCCTGTCCTGGTGGCACACGCTTGTAGTAACCCAGCTACTCAGAAGGGTGAGGTGGGAGGATCACTTGAACCTGGGGAGATTGAGGTTGCAGTCAGCTGTGATTGAGCCACTGCACTCCAGCCTGGATGACAGAGCAAGACCCTGTCTCAAAAAAAAAAAAACAAAAAAAAAAACTGCTGGGAGCAGTGGCTCACACCTGTAATCCCAGCACTTTGGGAGGCTGAGGCTGGCAGATCACGAGGTCAGGAGAACAAGACCATCCTGGCTCTGTCATCCAGGCTGGAGTGCAGTGGTGCAATCTCAGCTCACTGCAGCATCTGCCTCCTGGGTTCAAGCGATTCTCTTGCCTCAGCTTCTCAAGTAGCTGGGATTATAGGTGTGTGCCACCACACCCAGCTGATTTTTGTATTTTTAATACAAACAGAATTTCGATACGTTGGCCAGGCTGGTCTTGAACTCCTGACCTCAGGTGATCCACCCTCCTTGGCCTCCTAAAGTGCTGGGATTACAGGCGTGAGCCACCGCACCCAGCCAATTGTACACTTTTTTTTGAGACAGAGTCTTGCTCTGTTGCCAGGCTGGAGTGCAGTGGTGTGATCTCGGCTCACTGCAACCTCTGGCCCCTGGGTTCAAGCGATTCTCCTGCCTCAGCCTCCCGAGTAGCTGGGACTACAGGCGTGTGCCTGTGTACCTGGTTAATTTTTGTATTTTTAGTAGAGACGGGGTTTCACCATGTTGGCCGGAATGGTCTTGATCCCCTGACCTCAGGTGATCTGCCTGCCTCGGCCTCCCAAAGTGCTGGGATCACAGGTGTGAGCCACTGCGCCTGGCCTGTACACTTTTAAACGATTAAAATGGTAACTTTTATGTTCCATATTTCTTTTTCTTTTTCTTTCTTTTTTTTTTCTTTTTTGAGATGGAGTGTCGCTCTTGTTGCCCAATTGGAGTGCAATGGCGCAATCTCAGCTCACCACAACCTCCACCTCCTGGGTTCAAGCGATTCTCCTGCCTCAGCCTCCCAAGTAGCTGGGATTACAGGCATGCGCCACCGCGCCCAGCTAATTTTGTATTTTCGGTAGAGATGGGGTTTCTCCATGTTGGTCAGTCTGGTCTCAAACTCCTGACCTCAGGTGATCCGTCCACCTCGGCCTCCCAAAGTGCTGGGATTACAGGCATGAGCCACCGCGCCCGGCTGCAACAGCAATATATTGACTCAGAGGAGGACAGGTGCTGCTGAAAGGGGCTGAGAGAATCTGATCCTGGCTCAGCACAGCTGGGGATTGGCCTCCTCCATGGCCTTTTGTTTGTTTGCTTTTGTGTTTTTTTTGGAGACAGCATCTCACTATGTTGCCCAGGCTGAACTCCTGGACTCAATGGTCCTCCTGCTTAGGCCTCCCAAAGTGCTGGGATTACAGGCATGAGCCACTGCACCCAGCCTAGGACTCTTTTTGAAAAAACAACCACAAGCTGGGCGCGGTGGCTCATTCCTGTAATCCCACCACTTTGGGAAGCCGAGACGGGCGGATCACGAGGTCAGGAGTTCAAGACCAGCCTGGCCAACATGGTGAAACCCATCTCTACTAAAAATACAAAAATTAGCCAGGCATGGTGGCGTGCGCCTGTAATCCCAGCTATTCCAGAGGCTGAGGCAGGAGAATTGCTTGAACCCACATGGCAGAGGTTGCAGTGAGCCGAGATTGAGCCACTGCACTCCAGCCTGGGTGACAGAGCAAGACTCTATCTCAAAAAAAAAAAAAAAAAAAAAAAAATCACAGTATCATGCCCCCACCCACCAATTATTGATCGATACTTAGTATCATCTAATGTCCAAATTTCCTTGGTTGTCTTAAATTTTTTGTTGTTGTTTTGTTTGTCTGTTTTTTTGGGGGGACAGGGTCTTGCTTTGTTGCCCAGGCTAGAGTGCAGTGGCACAATCACAGCTCACTGCAGCCTCGACTTCCTAGGCTCAAGCAATCCTCCCACCTCAGCCGCTTGAGTAGCTGGGACTACAGGCGTGCACCACCATGCCCAGATAATTTTTAAACTTTCTGTAGAGATGGGGTCTCCCTATGTTGCTTAGGCTGGTCTCAAGCTCCTGGTCTCAAGAGATCCTCTCACCTCAGCCTCCTAAAATGTGGCGATTACAGGTGTGAGCCACCATGCCCAGCCTTAAATTTCTTTCTTTTTTTTTTTTGAGACGGAGTCTCACTCTGTCACCCGGGCTGGAGTGCAGTGGTGTGATCTCGGCTCGCTGCAAGCTCCGCCTCCTGGGTTCATGCCATTCTCCTGCCTCAGCCTCCCGAGTAGCTGGGACTACAGGCGCCCACCACCACGCCCGGCTGGTGTATTTTTAGTAGAGACGGGGTATTTTTTTTGTATTTTTTTGTATTTTTTTTGTATTTTTAGTAGAGACGGGGTTTCACCGTGTTGGCCAGGATGGTCTCGATCTCCTGACCTCGTGATCCACCCGCCTCGGCCCCCCAAAGTGCTGGGATTACAGGCGTGAGCCACCGCGACCCACCTAAATTTCTTTTAACGGTTGGTTTCCAATCATTGCACTTGGCCACTATGTCTCTTAAATCTCTTTTAACCGCGGGATTTACCCTCTTTCATTTTTCTCCTTTCAGGTTATTTGTGGAAGAAGGCAGGTCTTTTGTTCCAAAGGGTTCCACCTGTCTGGATTTTGCTGATTTCGTCCTTGTGGTTGATGTGGCACGTTCCTCAACCCTTATATTTCCTATAGTCAGTTAGCTCTAGGTGTAAATGTCCAAACTGGTCTGTTTAATCTCATTCAGGTTGATTTTTTTAGCAAGAAGATGACCACAGGGTGGGTGCAACTTCATGGAGAGGGAAAGAGTCCCACAGAGCCTGATGTTGTGATATTAGCAGCCATTGGAAATCCCTGCCAGGACCTGCTATTTCATTAGTGGTTACAAATTATTCTCCCCCTCCACTCCCCTCCCCTCCCTCTTTTCTCCTCTCCTCCTCTCCCTCCCTCCCTCCTTCTCTCCTTCCCTCCTTCCCTCCCTCCCTTTCTTTTTTGATGGAGTCTCACTCTCTCGCCGCTGGAGTGCGGCCTCCGCCTCCAGTTTCCAGCAATTCTCCTGCCTCAGCCTCCTGAGTAGCTGGGACTATAGGCGCCCACCACCACGCCTGGCTAATTTTTTTTTTGTATTTTTAGTAGAGATGGGATTTCACCGTGTTAGCCAGGATGGTCTTGATCTCCTGACCTCGTGATCTGCCTGTCTCGGCCTCCCAGAGTGCTGGGATTACAGGCGTGAGCCACTGCGCCTGGCCTATTTCTTTCTTTTTTTTAATGGAGTTTTGCTCTTGTTGCCCAGACTGGAGTCCGGTGGTGTGATCTCGGCTCACTGTAACCTCCACCTTCTGGGTTCAAGCGATTCTCCTGCCTCAGCTTCCCAAGTAGCTGGGATTATAGGTGCCCACCACCATGCCCCACTAATTTTTGTATTTTCTGTAGAGCCAGGGTTTCACCATGTTGGTTGGCCAGGCTGGTCTTGAACTTCTGACCTCAGGTGATCTGCCCACCTTGGCCTTCCAAAGTGCTGGGATTACAGGCATGAGGCACTGCACCTGGCCTTTTCTTTTCTTTTCTTCTTTTCTTTCCCTTTCTCCCTCCCTTTCTTCTCCCTTCCTTCCTTCCTTCCCTTCTTTCTTTCCCTCCCTCCCTCCCTTCTTTCTTTTTCTTTTTTCTTTCTTTCCTTTTTTCTCTCTTTCTTTTCTTTCTCCTCTTTCTTTCTTGCTTGCTTTCTTTCTTGCTTGCTTTCCTTCTTCCTTTCCTCTTTCCTTTCTTTCTTTCTTTTCTTCTTTCCAGGGTCTTGCTCTGTCACCCTGGCTGGAGTGCAGTGGCAATAGAGGCTCACTGTAGCCTTGACCTCAGGGGCTCAAGCAATCCTCCCACCTCAGTCTCCCTAGTAGCTAGGACCAGCACGCCTGGTTAATGGTTTTCTAATTCTATCCTTCCTTTTTTTTCTTTTTGAGATGGAGTCTCGCTCTGTCGCCCAGGCTGGGGTGCAGGGGCGCGATCTCGGCTCACTACAAGTTCCGCCTCCTGGGTTCACACCATTCTCCTGCCTCAGCCTCCCGAGTAGCTGGGACCACAGGCGCCCGCCACCACGCCTGGCTAATTTTTTGTATTTTTACTAGAGACGGGGTTTCACAGTGTTAGCCAGGATGGTCTCGATCTCCTGACCTCGTGATCCGCCCGCCTCGGCCTCCCAAAGTGCTGGGATTACAGGTGTAAGCCACCGCGCCCAGCCTGTTTTCAATATCTTAAATGCCATTCAGCTTAGTTAACAGAAACTTCTGGAAGGGATGCCTGCTCTGAGAAGTGTCACACGTGCTGGGGGACTTCAGGGCACTCCTGAAAGGGCTCCCCTTCCCCAGGATCCCTGGGTCCTGATGGTAGGCAGAGGTGGAGGATGTTCTCCAAGCCGAGCCTTCCTGCAGCTTTCAGAGCCTGTCCACACCACCGGCATCCCTCTACCCAGACCAATTTTCCCCGGCAGGAGATGGACATTGTGTTTATTGGATGCAATTTCAAACCCCTTTCATGTTTTCATAGAGGATGGAGACCAAGGGGGAAGTTCAGTGGTTCACGTTGGCAAATCCTGGCTCCGATGACTGAGAGATTTTCTGACTTACAGGACCCTTGCTTGGTTGGAGGTGGGTCCTAAACATCAGAGCCAGAGACAGCTGTGGGCAGGTGTTTTCCTCTGTGCAGCACGTGGGCCAAGTGCTGGGGCTGCCTGCTGTACACAGAGCACCTCGTGGCCTCCCATGGCTCCCTTCAGCTATGCTTGGCCTGCCCGCCTGCTGGTGGTCGTTTGGAATCCTTTCCTGCTGGAAAGGATGTGTCCCCGTGCTGTCCAGCTCCCTGCTGGCGGCCCTTCTCAGGGTGCCCTCCAGAGAGGACTGCCGTGGTGCATACTTCACACATGATGCAGCATCATGGTCTATGTGAATGGCATCCCCTGCAGTTGTGCAGTGCACCACCTGTGCAGCCGTCCACAGCATCCCCACACAGCCCAGTCCTCTCCCGGGAAGCACGCCTTCCTCCACTTCCACCCTCTGTTACTCGTCCATCTCCCTCCCCGATATGCAGGATTAAAAAAAAATTTCTTTCTTTTTTTTTTTTTTTTTTTTTTGAGACAGAGTTTTTGCTCTGTTGCCCAGGCTGGAATGCAATAGTGCAGTCTCAGCTCACTGCAACCTCTGCCTCCTGGGTTCAAGCGATTCTCCTGCCTCAGCCTCCCAAGTGGCTGGGATTACAGGCATCCACCACCACACCCAGATAATTTTTATATTTTTAGTAGAGATGGGGTTTCACCATGTTGGCCAGGCTGGTCTTGAACTCGTGACCTCAGTTGATCCACCCTCCTTGGCCTCCCAAAGTGCTAGGATTACAGGTGTGAGCCACCACGCCCAGCCCCCCAAAAAATTTGTTTTAGATTATGGTAAAACATGCATAACACAAAATTGATCATTTTAATGGTGTTGAAGTGTACAGTCATTACGTCACAAAGCTGTGCCTCTATTACCACATGTTCAGAATTCTTTCATCTTCCCAAACTGAAACTCTACAACTATTTTCTTTTATTTTTTTGAGACGGAGTCTTGCTCTGTCACTAGGCTGCAGTGCAGTGGCACGATCTCGGCTCACTGCAACCTCCGCCTCCCGGGTTCAAGGGATTCTCCTGCCTCAGCCTCCCAAGTAGCTGGGACTACAGGCATGCACCAACACATCTGGCTACTTTTTGTATTTTTAGTAGAGACAGGGTTTCACCATGTTGGCCAGGCTGGTCTCAAACTCCTGACCTCAGGCAATCCTCCCACCTCGGCCTCCCAAAGTACTGGAATTACAGGCGTGAGCCACCATGCCGACTGAAACTCTATATCTATTAAACAACAATTTTCTTCCTTTTTTTTTTTTTTCTTTTTTTGGACAGGGTCTTGCAGTGTAACATAAGCCATAGTGAACTGGCATAATCACAGTTGACCACAGCCTCAACCTCCCTGACTCCAGCAATCTGCCCATCTCAGCCTCTGGAGTAGCTGGGACCACAGGCGTGTGCCACCACGCCTGGCTAATTTAATTTATTTACTTTTATTTATTTATTTTTTAGAGACAGGGTCTCACTTTGTTGCCCATGCTGAAGTGCAGTGGTGCAAGCTCAGTCACTGGCTGGGCTCAGGTGATCTTCCCACCTCGGCCTCCTGAGTAGCTGGGAATACAGGTGCATGCCACCAAGCCCGGCTAATTTTTTGGTATTTTTAGGAAAGACGAGGTTTCACCGTATCACTCAGGCTGGTCTCGAGCTCCTGAACTCAAGCAATCTGCCTGCCTTGGACTCCCAAAGTGCTGAGACTACAGGCATGAGCCACTGCGCCCGGCCAATTTTATTTATTTATTTATTTTATAGAGATGGGGTCTTGCCATGTTGCCCAGGCTGGTCTCCAACTCTTGGGCTCAACCAGTCCTTCTGCCTCTGCCTTCCAAAGTGTTGGTGTTGGGATTACAGATGTGAGCCACCACACCTTCCTTCCTTTTTTTTTTTTTTGAGACAGATTCTCCATCATCCAGGCTGGAGTGCAGTGGCGTGATCTCAGGCTCACTGCAACCTCTGTCTCTCTTTTTTTTTTTTTTTTTTTTTTTTTTGAGATGGAGTGTCACTCTGTTGCCAAGGCTGGAGTGCAGTGGCACGATCTCGGCTCACTGCTACCTCCGCCTCCCGGATTCAAGTGATTCTCCTGCCTCAGCCTCCTGAGTAGCTGGGACTACAGGTGCCCACCACCACATCTGGATAATTTTTGTATTTTTAGAAGAGCCGGGGTTTCACCATGTTGGCCAGGCTGGTCTCCAACTCCTGACCTCAAGTGATCCACCTGCCTCACCCTCTGGGTTGGGATTACAGGCGTGAGCCACCGTGCCTGGCCCTTCCTTTTTAAAGCTGAGAAATACTGCAGTATATGTCTATACTACATTCTGCTTGTGAAGTATGTGTTCCAGGGCCTGCCTGCAGTTCTCTGGGGTCTGTGGCCGGCGTGGACTGCTGGTCATAGGGTCATTCTGTGCACCTTTCTGAGGAACCAACAGTTCTCCACAGCAGCTGCCTCATCTTGCATTCCCATCGGCAGTGGACAAGAGTTCCAGTTGCTTCACATCCTCAGTGGCACTTGTTTTCTATATTTTGGATAATTGCCACCCTGGCGGGTGTGCTGCAAGCCCCTGAGGACAGGCTGACCTGCTCACCGGGCCACCCACCCCTCATCCGGGACCTACCAGGCTCAGATGGAGCCTCCCAGGAAATAGCTGAGATTCCTCTGAACGAACAAACAGACTCCATGCAGCCTTTCAGGCTCTTAAGACCCAGCTGCCCAGGGACACACTTAGCTTGGAGTTTAGGGAGCAGAACAGAACAGGAAGGGACAGGAGGCCTGTCTGCCCCCTGGCAGGACGGGTGGTCCAGAGGAGCCCGGGACCTTCAGGCATGGAGGCCTACCTAGGATAAACGGATACCTGGGCTCAACCCACTTGGAGAACTTCAGCCTAGAGGGTCCCCGGCTCCAGAACCTGCAGCCAGGGTGGCAGGGCTGTTGGCAGCCTGGCTTCCCTACCAGTGCCCGAGGGGCTCTGCTCCTCCCACGGCGGTTCCCCAGACAGATGCTCAGAAGAAAGCCAATGCATGCCCCAGCTGTGGCTCAGCAGTGGGGTCTCCACCTCCGAGGCCCAACAGAGGCCCTCCCTGTCCTCTCGCCATGGCCCCCTGCTGCTCCTCACTGCCTAGGGTGGCCTGGACCTGGTCGCCCAGGCAAGCGTCCAGCTTCTCTCCTGGGGCGGAGGGTCGGGGGACTGAGGGGTGATGTCTGTCCGAGCTGGGCTCCCACACTGGGGCTCATCCCGTGGGACCCCCACTTTGCATGGCCGAGGGCTGGAGGGGCTACGAGGCCCGCGGGATCAGAGTCGGCCTGGGTCCCAGCCAAGGCCCATTTCCCGACTCTCCTGGCCCGGGTCGGCACCCGGATTTGTGGCGTCCCCTCCCCTCGTGGCTGCAGGACCGCAGGGCTGCCTGGGGAGGCCTGGCCAGGCCCTGCCCTCTCTGGGCTGCTCCCTCCCCAGATCCTGGACACGTCCAGCTCAGCTCCGTGGCGCTAATAAGCCCCTAGCCGGGGTGCGGCAGGCGGGGGTCACAGAGAAGCTGCGGGGCTGGGCGTGGGCAGAGCGCGGCGCGGGCGCGAAGCAAGAGGAGCCGCAGATGGCCGGGGCGCGGGGCCGTAGAGCGGGGAGCAGGGCCGGGGCGCTGTCCCGGGCGAGGCGGGGCCGGCAGCGAGGACGTTGGCGCCACGCCCGCGCGTGCCCGTGCCTTGGTTTCCCCAGAGCGAGGCCGACGTCAGGCTGCGAGCTGGTCGCAGGGGAAAGCCCCGATCTCAACCCCCTCTGTCGCTGCGGCACCGCCTGGTCCATCGGCTGACCGCCTCCGCCCTGGAAGGCGCACGGGCTCTGACCCCCGAGGGCTCCAGCCCCCTGCCCTGGGCTCCCATCCGTGGCCCGTGAGGCCCACGCCTCCCGTGCCCAGAGGTGGGCCCTGACCCCGCCACCCCGGCAGGATGCGTGAGGCTGGTGAGGAAGCTCCAGGGACGCCTCAGCGGTGCCAGGGGCCTCAGAACTGCGGGCCACTGGCTGTGACTGTGGCACCTGGGCCGGCCCTGGTCAGAGGCTCATCCTCCGGGAGGCTGGAGCAGGCCGAGCCGCGAGGAAGATTCTGCTTGTATGCAACAGGCATAGCTTCCTTTCCTTCTTTGAAGTTGTTTCAAATTTTGAGACAGGATCTTGCTCTGTCGCCCAGCCTGGAGTGCAGTGGCAAGATCACAGCTCACTGCAGCCTCAACCTCCCAAGCTCAAGTGATCCTCCCACCTCAGCCTCCTGAATAGCTGGAACTACAGGCACATGCCACCATACCCGGTTCTTTTTTTTTTTTTTTTTTTTTGACGGAATCTCGCTCTGTCGCCCAGGCTGGGGTGCAGTGGCATGATCTCGGCTAACCGCAACCTCCACCTCTCGGGTTCAAGCGATTCTCCTGCCTCAGCCTCCCAAGTAGCTGGGATTACAGGCACACACCACCACGCCCGGCTAATTTTGTACTTTTAGTAGAGACAGTGTTTCACTATGTTGGCCAGGCTGGTCTCGAACTCCTGACCTCAGCTGATCTGCCCACTTCCGCCTCCCAAAGTGCTGGGACTGCAGGAGTGAGCCCCCGCTCCCAGCCATCCACTTTTGAGCATACAGTTGGGCACTGAGCATCTGCACTGTTGTTCAGCCAAAATCTCCAGAACTTTCATCTTGCAAAACCAAAAAGCTGTACCCATCAAACAACTCCTTCTCCTCCACCCAGCCCCCGGCAGCCACCATTTCACTTTCTGTCTGTATGAATTTAGCTGCTCTAGGTCCCTCCTACATGTGGAACTGTACAGGATTTGTCTTTTGTGACTGGCCTATTTCACTTAACGCACAGTCCTCAAGGCGGACCTGTGGTGCAGAGTGTGTTGGAATTTGAATTTCCGTGCTCTTTTTTTTTTTTTTTTTTGAGATGGAGTTTCACTTGTCAGCCAGGCTGGAGTGCAAGTGGCATGATCTCGGCTCACTGCAACCTCCGCCTCCTGGGTTCAAGCAATTCTCCTGCCTCAACCTCCCAAGTAGCTGGGACTACAGGTGTGCACCATCACGCCCGGCTACTTTTTGTGTTTTTTAAAATTAGAGATTGGGTTTCACCATATTGGCCAGGCTGGTCTCAAACTCTTGACCTCAAGCGATCCACCCGCCTCGGCCTCCCAAAGTGCTGGGAATACAGATGTGAGCCACTGTGCCCAGCCCAAGTTTTAAATTTTAATAATATCAATTCAGTTTTTTCTTTAATAGATAATGATTTTGGTGCTGTATGTAAAAACTCACGACCTGGTCAGGTGCAGTGGCTCATGCCTGTAATCCCAGCACTTTGGGAGGCCGAGATGGGTAGATCACTTGAGGTCAGGAGTTCAAGACCAGCCTGGCCAACACGGTGAAACCCCGTCTCCACTAAAAATACAAAAATTAGCCGAGTATGGTGATGAGCGCCTGTGATACTAGCTACTTGGGAGGCTGAGGCAGGAGAATTGCTTGAACCCAGGAGGCGGTGGTTTCAGTGAGCTGAGATCATGCCATTGCACTCCAGCCTGGGACACAGATTGAGACTCCATCTCAAAAAAAAAACAAAAACAAAAAACAAACAAAAAAACTCATGACCTAATTTAAGGTCATGTAGATTTTCTCCTATGTTTTGTTCTAGAACTTTTATAATTTTGCATTTTACATTTATGTCCATGGTTCATTTTTTTTTCTTTTCTTTTTTTTGAGATGGAGTCTCACTCTGTTGCCCAGGCTGGAGTGCAGTGTCACGATCTTGGCTCACTGACATAGCTGCCTCCCAGCTTCAAGCGATTCTCCTGCCTCAGCCTCCTGAGTATCTGGGATTACAGGCATGTGGCACCACAACTGGCTAATTTTTATTGTATTTTTAGCAGAAATGGGGTTTCACCATTTTGGCCAGGCTGGTCTCCAACTCTTGATCTCAAGTGATTTGCCCACCTTGGCCTTCCAAAGTGCTGGGATTACAGGCATGAGCCACTATGCCCGGCCTCCATTTTTTTTTTTCTTTTTGAGATAGGGTCTCACTCTGTCACCCAGTCTGTAGTGCAGTGGCATGATCATAGCTTACTGCAGCCTTGACCTCCTGGGCTCAAGCCTCCCCATGTAGCTGGGGCTAAAGGTGTGAGCCACCATGCTCGGTGAATTTTTAATTTTTTTGTAGAGATGGGGTCTCACCATATTGCCCAGGCTGGCCTCGAACTCTTGGTCTCAAGCAGTCCTCCCACATCAGTCTTCCAAAGTGCTGGGATTACAGGCATAAACCATTGAGCCGGGCTGCAAGCATTCTTATTTATGGCATCATTATGAACTTGTCTGGGAATGTCCACATTTTCAAAGCTCTCAGCCAACCATCTTTAGGTTTCTCCCAGGTATTTTCATTTTAAGGCTTTTCCTAATTTTCAAGGGGAAGTTTTTTTAAATAGGAGGAATTTTCCAAACATTCCTGCCAAGTAATTTCAAATGAGGCAGGTTTGCACAACTGGCTTGTTGCTTTCAATAAATAATACCTTGTAAGACTTTGCCAAGACAACTACAGGTATATCCTAATCTTTCCATTTGCCATTAGAACTTAAGTTTTTTCCCCGGGTTATTAAATATTCATTGTAGGATGGCTGGACTGAGATTCACTTACTCTCCTCATTGGACAAGTCAGTTGCTGCCACATGATTGGGTTATAATCAACTCTGTCATGATGACATGAGTGTTAAAGGGTTCCCACCACTCCAGCCACTACCTTTTTTTTTTTTTTTTAAGAGATGGGGGTCTCAGTGTGTTGCCCAGGCTGGAGTGCAGTGGTGCAATCATAGCTCACTGCAGCTTTGGCCTCCAGGGTTGAAGCCATCCTCCCACCTCAGCCTCCCAAGTAGCTGGGACTGCAGGCATGATCCACACTGCCTGGCTAATTTTTACACTTTTTGTAGAAACGGGGTTTCACCCTGTTGCCCAGGCTGGTCTTGAACACCTGGGTTCAAGTGATCCGCTGGCCTCGGCCTCCCAAAATGCTGGGATTACAGGCGTCCACCACGCCTAGCCCCTACCACCATCTTTTTTTTTTTTTTTTTTTTTTTGAGATGGAGTTTCGCTCTTTTTCCCCAGGCTGCAGTGCAATGGTGCCATCTCGGCTCACTGCAACCTCCGCCTCCCAGGTTCAAGCGATTCTCCTGCCTCAGCCTCCCGAGTAGCTGGGATTACCAGCATGTGCCACCATGCCTGGCTAATTTTGTATTTTTTAGTAGAGACAGGGTTTCTCCATGGTGGCTAGGCTGGTCTCGAACTCCCAACCTCAGGTGATCGGCCTGCCTCAGGCTCCCAATGTGCTGGGATTACAGGAGTGAGCCACCTTGCCTGGCAGCCCCTACTACGATTTTAAGAGAGATTATCTAAAATGAAATTACTGGGTGACAGGCTATAGCCTTTTTTAGGCTGCTCATATGTATTGCCACATTACTTTCCAAAAAGTTGTGCCAGCTTATGCTCCCTGCATGTATAAAGAATCTCCTTCTCACCTAAAGTTAATCTCCAGTTTGCAAAGCAGGACTCATCTTTCTGTATAAATTGAAAAACGGTAGATACTAACTTTCCCAGCATCCCTTGCTGTCAGGACTCAGTCACATGGCCCAGGCTCCACCAGTCAGGTGCATCCACCTCCAACCTTCAGTTGGAAGCCTGTGGTGTCTTCACACCATAAGCAGGAGCAGCATAGAACCGGTTCTGGCAGTGAGGCTAGTGGACATCTGGTGGCTAGCATCTGTGACATCCATGCTGTTGCTGAGGGGGCTGGAGCAGCAGCAGCAGCAGCAGGGCTCTTCCCTCATCCAGCTGTGCAGCAGGATCTCAGGTTTTGTACCCGGCCAGGCAGCCCTTCATCTGATCCCCACTCCCCTGCGTAATCTGTGAACCTCCCCATGTCTTGTCTTCCCACCTGTGGCAGGCAGACCTGCCGCCCACCAAAATCTGTTCCCCTTCTTTCCTGCCTATGGAACTTTGCTTTTTGGAGGGCTACCAAGACCCTGGCAATGAAGCATGCTTGGCCATTGCTGTCATGACAACCTGGCTCTCTGCCGTCTCTGAATCCCTCATAGCATGCCCGATCATGGGTGGCCGTTGAGGCCTGGGGGGAATCCACTGCAGGGGCTTCTAGGGCAGGTTTGTCTTTCCCTCTAAAAGGGCACAGATGTGACTGGCCCTGTCTCTCCATCCTTTCTTTGTGCCTTGACTGTAGAGGTGTGTGTGGTATATGGAATTCCAGCAGCTGCCCTACAAACAACATACAAAAGCCCACCTGCCAAGGATGTTGGAGCAGAAAGACTGAAAGAGTCTGGGTCGCGATGGGGATAACTCCCACCTCCAGATTTCTAGTTACATGAAAAAGAAGAAAAGCCTCCACACATTGAACCGCCTGCAGTTGGGTATTCTGCTGCTTGCATCTGAATTTTTTCCTCACTAGCACCACGTTCTTACCTGGATACCCCGTGGGCCTGCCTCTGCGGATCAATGCGTGTATTTGCACGAAGCTCTATGGCAAACAGAGGTTCTCACTTCTCCTTTATTTATATATATATTTTTTGAGACGGAGTCTCGCTCTGTCACCCAGGCTGGAGTGCAGTGGCACGATCTCGGCTCACTGCAACCTCTGCCTCCCGGGTTCAGGTGATTCTCCTGCCTCAGCCTCCCAAGTAGCTGGGATTACAGGCACACGCCACCACGCCCGGCTAAGTTTTGTATTTTTAGTAGAGACGGGGTTTCACCATATTGACCAGGCTGGTCTCGAACTCCTGACCTCGTGATCCGCCCGCCTAGGCCTCCCAAAGCGTTGGGATTACAGGCGTGAGCCACCTACTGTAATCCCAGCTACTTGGGAGGCTGAAGCAGGATAACCGCTTGAACCCGGGACGCAGAGATTGCAGTGAGCTGAGATTGCCCCACTGCACTCCAGCCTGGGCAACAGTGAGTGAGACATCTCCAGGCCGCCATGCTGGGAAAGTGCAGAAGTCAGGCGCTCCAGGCGAGCTGGACCAGAGCTTTGTTCTGATTGGCTGAGGCCTGGATTGCCTGAACCAATCATGATGGAGGGGAGGCCGCACTGACCTGGTTGGCTGGCGGGCGTGGGGCAGCTCCAGGCCCACCATGCACATGGCTGATGTCCTGGTCCAGGCGCTGATGGAGGGAGGCACCCGACAAGCAGGTGGTTTTGTTCCAGGAAAACAGCAAGTGCAGTGGTTGAGTGTAGATGCAGAGCCAGCCTACCTGGATTGTGTCCTGGCTCTGCCACTTAATAGTTGTGCAATCTGAGTCGAGTTATACAACCTCCTTGTGCCTCAGTTTCTTAATCAGTGTGGTGGAAGGTTCCTACCTCATTGGCAGGTTGTTAACCTGTGTAAATAAGTCCTGTTACCACCACAGCCCCCACTTTCTGGTTCATAACAGAGACCAGAGAGTTGGCCTGCATGCCCTGAGTCAGCAAACATTTACTAAGTGCCGTGGTATATGCCAGGCGTGTGCGTGGGTCTGCAGACAGCCCCTCTGGTGAAGGGCAGCTCCCTGAAGCCTGGAGTACTGCCTGCTGCAGGGGATGGCCCTCCTTCCATGTTGGAGGAAATGCTTGTGTGGGCAGAAGTGCCCTGGAAGGTGAGCATGTGGCTTCTGATACATGGGAGGACCAACAATTTTCTGGGCAGAAGGAACACCAGGTGCAATGGATGAAGGGAGGACCAGACAGCTCGGGCCTGCAGCCCCCAGGGAATGGAGACATGCAGAGGAGGGTGTTTGGGCTCCATCTATCCCAGGGCTCTGGCCACAAATGCGGGGCTTCCCCTGCTGTCCTGGGTCAGAAAAGGAAAGCCACGCAACTCTGAGGTCTCCTCTCCCCTGTGTTTTACTTTTTTTTTTTTTTTTTTTTTTTTGACTGTCTCTCTCTGTCCCCAGGCTGGAGTGCAGTGGGGCAATCTCAGCTTACTGCAACCTCCGCCTCCCGACTTCAAGTGATTCTCTTCAAGCCTGGCTAATTTTTTGTATTTTTAGTAGAGGGGGTTTCACCATGTTGACCAGGATGGTCTCAATCTCTTGACCTCGTGATTCGCCCCCCTAGGCCTCCCAAAGTGTTGGGATTACAGGTGTGAACCACCGCGCCTGGCCCCTCCCCGCTTTTGTTTTCTTTTTTCTTTTTTTTTGAGACAGGGTCTTACTCTGTTGCCCAGGCTGGAGTGCAGTGGTGTGATCATAGCTCACTGCAGCCTGGAACTCCACCGTCCAAGTGATCCTCCTGCATCAAGCCTCTGGAATAGCTGAGACTACAGGCGCGCACCACCCTCAGTAACAGACGCTCAACCCTCGGTAACGAAGTGAAAAAAGGCGGTCTCGGGGATGAGCTCAGGTCCCACTGAAGCCACAGGTCGACAGAAGCCTTCTCAGAAGGCGAGAAGGAACCCAGGGAAGCGTCGCCCGCACTCAGAGTGGCTCAGTGGGGGAGGGGGAGCAACCCAGCGCGAGGACCTCAGCTCTCAGTGCAGCTGCTGTTGATCCTGAGTCTCTGATGTCTTCTCTGTCCCTGCCTGGAGATTCAAAGTCCTTACGGAAGCATCGGATCCATGCCTGGCTAATGTTTTATTTTTTTAATTTTCTGTAGAGACGGGGTTTCACTATGTTGTCCAGGTCGGCTCCATCCTCGGCCCCAAAGCGCTGGGATTACAGGCTGAGCCACCCCCTGGCATTTATAAGCAGCTCCTCTTAGGTGCCTGGCTACACCTGCTCCTGCTGCTGCTTTAGCAGTGCGTTGGCCCTCTACAGCTGTGTAACAAATTACTCCAAAACACAGGGGCTTACAGCAAGCATCTATCATCTCTCACAGCAGCTGAGGCGCTGGAAGCAACTCACCTGGGTGGTCTTCCACGAGGCTGCGTGCTGGGCTGGAAAATCCACTTCCAAGCTTGTTCCCCTGGCTGTTGGCAGGGAGTGAGCTCCTCCCCATGTAGAGGAAGGGAGACGAGAGAGGGAGGGAGAGAGGGAAGGGGGGAGGGGGAGAGGGAGGGGGGAGACAGAAAGAGAGAGAGGGAGAGGAGGAGGGGGTGAGAGAGGGAGGGGGAGGGGGGGAAGAGGGAGTGAGAGGGAGAGGGGAACAGAAAGAGGGAGAGAGGGAGAGAGTGGAGGTGGAGAGAGGGAGAGGGGGAAAGAGGGAGAGAGGGAGGGAGGGAGAGAGGCAGGGAAGGAGAGAGGGAGAGAGAGGGAGAGAGGGAGAGAGAGGGAGGGGGAGAGGGAGGGAGGGAGAGAGGGAGGGGGAGAGGGAGAGAGGGAGAGAGAGAGGGAGAGAGGCAGGGAGAGAGGGAGAGAGGCAGAGAGAGAGGGAGAGAGGCAGAGAGAGAGAGAGAAAGAGGGAGAGAGACACAGAGAGACAGAGAACCAGGACGGAAGCTGCTGTGTGCTGTGTCCCTCTAAACTGGCCTGCTGGCGCCTCTGCCCTGCTCTACTGATTACACAGACCCTCCCTTGGTGGGGCGTGGCCAACAGGAGGGCAGGGGTACAGGCCTGTGGGGCCATCTGGGAGGCTGCCCACCCTGGATGGCTGCTGCCCTGCTGTGTGTTCGGGGTGCACACGTGCTCCTGTCTGTGTTTGTTTTAGTACCTAGTCAGTGTTGTTATTGGGATGTCTCAAGTCCACTTGGAGCAGACTGAGGGTCACACCTAGAAAGTGGAATGTGGCTCCTCTGAATCCCTTCTTGGGAGGTCCCGAGCTCAGGTGGCCTCTGCCTGTCCGGAGTAGACAGAATTCTCGTGGAAACTGACTTCAGATTTCTTTTTGAACACACTCATATTTGCTGCGAATAACTCCCTTTTTTGTGATGCTCCCAGATCCTGCCTGTCCTGGCGATGTAGGCAAACGAATGAGCAGCATCCAAACTGTCCCCATGAGCCGAGGTCACAGCCTCGTCAGGCCCCAGGAAGGGCCAGTGCCCCCACCCCCACCTGGCCCCCAGCCCCCTCTAAGGCATGGAAGAGAGACCCAGGGGGCAAGGTCATGCGGTCCTGAAACAGGTCCCAGACAGATGGGCATCCCGGGCTTCAGGCAAATGGGTCACCTGTCAAGGACAGCACTAGTGACATCCCAGTACCAGGGAGTGGCCCCAAGCCAAACTGAGGAGTGTCTGGGAGCCGGGGACACACAGGCTTTCAGTGTGGGGGACTCATTACATCAGCTACTCGAGGGTCAGGAAATAATTTGTCACTCTCTGCCCCACATGGCCTCTGTGGAAATCAAACAAGCAGTGTTGCCTATTTTTAAGGATAAATTAATGCATCAATATAAAAAACGTCAGGCGGCGATGTGGAGGGGGTAGGCAGAGGGGGCTTGTGATTTATTGGCTCTTCAAGGAGTGTTTCTGGGGCCACTCTGGCTTCCTCCTGCCACCAGCAGGGTGCCCAGGGGCCCCTCCACCGAGGTCATGAGCCAAGCCACCCACCCCAACTGGGGGGCCCCTGACCAGGCTGAAGGGCCACACTCCCTCCAGCTGGTGACTCAGAAACATCCAGTATTAACTGCACTGGGACAGAGAGACAGGGAAGGAGCTAGGGGCAGGAAGGAACAGTCCTGGCCCTGGAACAGGTTGTGGGTCTGCCTGGGGCTGAGTGCTCCTGTGTCCTCACACTGAGGGGCTTCTCCTGGCCTGGCCACAGCGAGGCTAATGGGGTCCCCAGGGGGCCGTGGCTCCTGATTCCTTAGCATGAACAGGTGCCCCACAGGCTCAGATGGCCCCCCAGGGCTGTGCCCTCCCTCCCTGAGAGCACCTTGCCAGCATCCCCACCAACACCCAGGACCACCCTGGTCCACGTTTGCCAGTTTGGAAGGTGAGAAATGACATTTCCTGGCTGTGTGAATTTGCATTTCTTTGGTTTTTGGAGGGCGTGAGCTTCTTTCCATTTGTTTGGGGCCATTGTGAATGTCTGTTCAGTCTTTGCCTGTTTTCTATGGAAGGGTCCCCATTTTCCTTGCCGACGGATGCGGCACTCTGGCAGCTGGGAGTGGTGGCGTTCAGCGGTGCCCTTGTGTGCTTTAGCTGTGGTGCGTGCGGGAGAGGAGTGCTGATGCTAGCCTGGAATCTCACCAGGGATCTGCAGCCCCGGCTTTGTTGTCAGAAAATGCTGAGAGAGGCCTCCTGGGAGCCAGGCAGGATGCAGCAGGAAACAGAGGGGCAGAAAGAGCTCAGGTCCGCAGCAGCAGGGAAGGGGGCACCAGCTACCAGAACCCAAGCAAGAATTGGGCTTGAGGGGGCCGAGGAGCGGGGGAGGGGGACTGAACATTTAGACAGGGGTGTGGGGGCTGTCTGAGAAGACACGTGAGCAAAGATTTGTGGGAGAAGATGGAGGCGCCTAGAGCAAGAAGAAGAGCAGCCCTCAGAGGGATGGGCACGCAGAGGCCCTGGGGCCAGCACAGCCTGGGTGCATTCCGGGAGCTGCAGGGAGGCCAGGCCAGGGCCGTGGGGGGCTGGGGCAGGGGGTCAGGCTAGCTGGGGGCCTGTGGGTTCCAGGAATGCTTTAGCTTCTGCTGCCAGTGCTGGGCGGGTAGGCTGTCAGTTCTCCAGGTGCAGGGCAGACAGGTGGTATGAGGCCCAGTTTGCAGAGAGCATGGTGCGCCAAGCCTCGTGAACCACAGAGGTTTACATGCCGGTGAGAGCCCTGGGTCCGCAGGCCAGAGTTTGCTCCTCTGCAGAGCTCCTGGTCGGCCGGCCTCTGCCCTTCTCTCCAGGACTTGGGGGTTCTGCTCTACAGCCAGGCGGCCCTCGGGGAGCAAAGTTCCGGGCCAGTGAGAATCCAACATATCCCCAAGCCCCACAGCAACAAGGGTTGAGGGAGCAAAGGACGGTCGGGATGGTGGGAGGTGGCGGTGGCCTTGGTGGGTGGGTGGGGGTGCTGCTGACTTCAGTGCGCTCCGGTTACTCCGTTACCGCACAGGGGTGAAGTGCTGCCAGCCCCCATCCGTGTCCCTCTGCAAAGTGCTCCTGGCATCGAGCTGGGCTCTCCGGAGGCTCAGCCTCCATTTTCTCCTCTGGGCAAGGGGAGTCCTGGGCCAGCGCCCGCTGTCCAGCCTCGCTGCGCCCCGCAGCCCATTTCCTTTCCTGGAGGCTCTGACAGGCCTGGAGGGCCCGGGCGTCAGGGTCGGGTCAGTAGGCTGCCCGGGTCAGCTGAGGCCCGGTCAGTGCGAGGGGCTTTCTCGGAACCGAGGCCGCGGCTACCTGAGGCCTTTGTGCAGAGCCCCGCTCTGGCCACCCGGGGGGGCCGAGGCCAGGAGATCCGCAGGGCCCCCTAGGAGCGCCCTCCGCCCCCTTAGCGACCCCTCCCAGACCAAGGCAGGGCCAGAGGGGACGGTGCCCGAGGGCAGCGGCGCCGGAAACGGCAACAGGCACAACTCGGCCCCGGAACATCCCGGAGGCCCCGGGCGCCGGAAACGGCAACAGGCACAACTCGGCCCCGGAACATCCCGGAGGCCCCGGGGCCTTTAGAGCCCGCGAAGGGCTGTCTCCTCGGGCGCGGCGGGGCCGGGGCTCTCAGCCTCGCCGCCGACCTCGGGAAAAGCCCCCCAGCCTCTCCACCCGGCAGCTGGAGGAGGCTGGTCCGGGGCTGGGGACAGCGGGATCGACCCGCCTGGGGCTAGGCCGACGGCTGGGGATCGCGGACCGCGGGGGGCGCACGTGCGAGACCCTTTTCCCGGCCCGCAGGGAGGCAGGACGGAGCCCCAACTTCAGGCGCCGACGCCGCGTCCCGCCTGGAGGCCGCCGGGGAGGGCCGAGTGCGCACGCGCCTGACTCTGTCCCCACGGCGCGCCCGGGGGCGCCGGGGCCGCCCTGTGATTGGCCCGGGCGGCCGCGCTCTCGGCCAATGGATGCGCGGCTCCTGGCTCGGCGCGGGCCTCCGCGGCGAGGCATGGGGAGGGTCCGTCTCCCGCCGGGTCTCGGGGCCTGGGGAGGGATGCGCCGGCCCACGGGGTCGCTCCTTCAAGCTGCCCGCCTCCGCTCCGGAGACGAGGCCAGCGAGTCCGTGATCCCGGCCGCCCCCAGTAGTGAGCCCGTGCGCAGAAGCGCCGGCTGAGACGTGGAGCCGCGCCCCGCCTGGCCGGGGCCTGCCCTTCGCAGGGCCTCCCGGTGGACCCCCGGCCAGCCACGCTCTCCCTGCTCCCATCCTGCGGGTCAGAAAAACAATGCTTGGCTGGAGGGGGCCCGCGCCTGTGGTCCCAGCCACTTGGGAGGCCGAGGCGGGAGGATCGCTTGAGCTTGGGAGGTGGAGGCTACAGTGAGCCGTGATTGCACCGCTGCGCTCTAGCCTGGGCCACAGAGCGGAGACCCTGTCTCTAAACAAAACAACAGTGCTTAGAAAGCAGACAAGCCTGTTGCCAAATACCATCAACAAAAATGAGCAGTGGTCATCTCTAGGTGGTGGGGTTGGAGGTAAATAAAAAATATTTTGACTGGGCACAGTGGCTCACGGCTGTAATCCCAGCACCCCAGGCAGGAGTTCGAGACCATCCTGGCCAACACGGTGAAACCTCGTCTCTACTGAAATTACAAAAAAAAAAAAGAAAAAAAAAATTAGCCGGGTGGGCGTGCTGGTGCACGCCTGTAATCTCAGCTACTCGGGAGGCTGAAGCAGGAGAATCACTTGAGCCTGGGCAAGACAGAGGTTGCAGTGAGCCGAGATGGTGCCACTGCACTCCAGCCTGGGCGACAGAGTGACCCTGTCTCAAAAAAAGAAAAAAAAATTTTTTTTTAATCTGTAATTTGTTAATTATTTCAGTTAGCGTTAGTATATTGTTTGTACGAAAATACTGCTTTTGGGCCGGGGGCTGTGGCTCACGCCTGTAATCCCAGCACTTTAGGAGTCTGAAGTGAGCGGATCACGAGGTCAGGGGATTGAGACCATGCTGGCTAACACGGTGAAACCCCACCTCTACTAAAAATACAAAAAATTAGCCAGGCGTGGTTGCGGGTGCCTGTGATCCCAGTTACTTGGGAGGCTGAGGCAGGAGAATCGCTTTCACCTGGGAGGCGGAGATTGCAGTGAGCCGAGATCGTGCCACTGCACTCCAGCCTGGGTGACAGTGTGAGACTCCGTCTCAAAAAAAAAAATTGCTTTTTATAAAAATGAAAGCTGTATAACAAGAACAATAATAAAAACAGTAAGCGTTGGTGAGGATGTGGAGAAACTGGAGCTCTCATACAATGCATGCGCCGTGAAAAACACATTAGCGGTTCTCAAAGAGCGAAGGGTAGAATTACCCAGCAGTTCCGCGCAGCCACACACCCAGAGAACTAGGGGCAGGAACACGAACAGTGTGCTCAACACGAGTTATTCCAAATGTTGACCACAACGATACTCACCACAGAGAAAAGGTGGAAACAACCCACGTTTCCATCCATAAATGAATAGAGAAACAAATGTGGTCCCTCCATACAATGGACTATGATTTAACGTTAAAAAGGAAGGAAATTCTGACGCACACCACGCACAGATGGCCTGAAAACATTATGCTAAGTGACATGAGCCAGTCACAAAGGACAACGTCTGTCTGATTCCACTTATAAAACATCTAGAATAGGCAAGTACAGAAACAGAAAGTAGGTAAGAGGTTGCCAGGGGTTGGGGGGAGAGGGCAAGGCCAGGGGCTGGGGAGAGAGGGAAAAGGAAGTTGGTGCTTAATGGATAGTCTCTGGAATGACAAAAAAGTTCTGCAGACGGATAGTGTTGAGAGTCTCACAACATGGTAAATGTACTCAATGCCTTTGAAGTGTACACTTAAAAATGGTTAAAATGGCAAAATGTATCACAGTTTAAAAAATTATGGGCCAGGCATGGTGGCTCATGCCCACATAATCCCAGCACTTTGGGAGGCCGAAGCGGGCCGATCACTTGAGGTCAGGAGTTCGAAACCAGCCTGGCCAACATGGTGAAACCCTGTCTCTACTAAAAATATAAGAAAATTAGCCAGGTGTGATAGTGGGTGCCTGTAATCCCAGCTACTTGGGAGGCTGAGGCAGGAGAATCCCTTGAACTCGAGAGGTGGAGGTTGCAGTGAGCCAAGATCACACCACTGCACTCTAGCCTGGGCAACAGAGCAAGACTCAGCCTCAAAAAAGAAAAAAAAAATGTAACTTGCCCAAACTAGGCCGGGCGTGGTGGCTCACGCCTGTAATCCCAGCACTTTGGGAGGCCGAGGCGGGTGGATCATGAGGTCAGGAGATCGAGATCATCCTGGCCAACACGGTGAAACCCCATCTCTACTAAAAATACGAAAATTAGCTGGGCGTGGTGGCGGGCACCTGTAGTCCCATCTATTCGGGAGGCTGAGACAGGAGAATGGCGTGAACTCGGGAGGCGGAGCTTGCCGTGAGCAGAGTTTGCGCCACTGCACTCCAGCCTGAGTGACAGAGTGAGACTCTGTCTCAAAAAAAAAAAAAAAAAAATTTAGCCAGGTGTGGTGGCATGTGTCTGTAGTCCCAGCCACTTGGGAGGCTGAGGTGGGAGCGTGGCTTGAGCCAGGGAGGTTGAGTCTGCCATGAGCCATGGTGGTGCAAATGCACTCCAGCCTGGGCCACAGAGCAAGACCCTGCCTTGAAAAAAAAATTTTTTTAAAATTTATAGCTGTAATTTCGGAAGCAGTGTGTGCACTGATGCCTGCTCCAAGCATGCTCTTGGTCTGGATGCGGCAGGATTTCAGTTCCAGGAAGCAGCTATTCTCTGCGCTAGAAGGCCGCTTCTCCCCAACAGAAAGGGCAGCAATGCTTCACCAGGTGTGTGCCTAACAGTTCTCAATCCCACTGGGAGAGCTGCGAGGGAAGTATGGCTCATTCGGAATGGACACACACAGGCGGCTCCAGTACAGAGAGGGGCTCTAGGCCCTGAAATGCTGTGCTCCTCGCAGGACACACAACTCCACGTGACGGGGATAACACGCGACACAGCTCCTGCATCGATGCTCCCCAGTTCCTGCCTGGCTGCTCCCCCAGCTCCTGCCTAGGTTCTCCCCTATCTCCTGGCCTTATGCTCCCCAGTTCCTGCCTTTGTGCTCCCCCAGCACCCCCAACCCAGAGTGCTCCTTCCCTCTGGCCAGGCCCCCTTCCCAGCCCCGCCCCTTCGGGGCTCAGGCGGGAACCGAGCTGGCTTTTTCCTCCCAACCAGAGCAGCTCCCTCTGGTTCCCAGGTTGCCTGCCCTTCCAGCTGGGAACACCGGCCTTGCAGGGAGGGGCGGGGGTGCTCACCACGAGGCGGCCACACAGGGCGCGAAGGGGTCCCAAGGCCCACCCAGGAGGAGCGCCTGTCTTTCCGTGGCGGGCTGCGCGCGCTGCCCACGCGGCCACGCTTGGAGCCTGGCAGGAGGCCGCCATCCCGGCCACGGCCGCTGGAGGGCGCCCCCGCACCGCTCCTGCCTGCCGGTTCCCGCGGGAGGGCGCCTGTGGCGGGCGCCGGAGGTTGATCTGCTGGTTCACGCCAGGATTGCGAACCGGCGGCCGGAGCGGGAGGCCGCAGAGCCGAGTTCAGGTCGCAGTCCTGACCCACCTGGCGGCGACTTCCTGTCCCGCGGCTGTGCTGCAGCTCTCCAGGTTGGGGTGAAAATGCAGAAACGGTCCCGTGGGCTAAGTCACGGACGTTCGTTTCTCACAGCGCCGCGTGCCTGCCTGCAGGCAACCGAGCCACGCACGCCGAGGCCGCCCCACCGCCCGGGGCCTGAACGCGCCGGCCCAGACCGGCAGCCCCCTCGGATCCTAAGACCTCTGCACCGCAGCGCAGGTGTGGGGGTCCTCAGCCGGCGCCATCCAAGCAAGAGCCGAGAGCGCGAGCGCCACGCCTTCCCCCACCCTCTGCCCTGCGCCCCTGGCTGGCGGTCCCTCCTGCAGCGGCTGGCCTGGAATTCGGGCTGCGGAAGGGGCTGCACCCACGCGGGGCTCACGCCATGGATGTGGGCGCTGGGAGGGTCTCCGGCTGTTTCCTGGTGCTGCCCAAGAAGCAGGTCCCTCGGCCAAACCAGCCCCTGTTCTGGTGCCCGCCGGTGCCCTCAGCCTGCGGGCCTAGAGGCCAGAGTGCTGGCGGATGGGCAGGTCCTGACCACGCCGTCCTCCCTGGGAGCTTACTGGTGAGACGCTCGTCTGCCTCAGGGGGCCCAATAATGGTCACTTGACATAAAGGGACAGAGGTGGTCTGTCCAGGGTGACGGTGACCACTGTCCTGGCATGTGACGGAGCCCAGGCCCTGGGCAAGCGCCATGCTGAGAGGGGCTGGCCGCCCGCTGCCGGTGGCCTGACTCAAGAAACCTCGCTCCCCTGAGCGGCAGCTGGAGGAGAGGCAGCGGCAGTGGACCTCTGGGGACGGATTGGAGGGGTGGCCCTGCGGCCCTTGCTTGGGCAGGAGGGACGCTGCAGCAGCTGCTGGAGCTCCCAGGCAGGGGCTGTCCCTCGGTCAGCTGGGTCACAGAGCAGCCGGCGCCTGCGTCATTCTCAGCCTGCCCGAGGGGGAGGCTTCCGCTCCAGGTGGGTGACCCGGGGCCCTTGCTATTACCCCCACAATGTTTCCTCTTTCCTCTCTGCCTCCTCCAGCCTCCCTAGGCAGCCTCCTCTCTTTCTCTGCTGGAGCCTCCCAGCTTCCGGAGGCCTCCTTGTGAGAGCAATAAAATGTCTTTGAAAGGAGGCTGGGATGTCCAAAGGGTCATCACAGGGCTGGGGGCTGAGAAGCCCAGAGGTGGCTGGGTAGGAGACACAGGCCTTGGCGTGCTTTCAGGGGACACACAACAGGGACAGTCCCCACTGACTTTCCTCCCACTCCCCCTCCACTAACTCACCTCCCTCTTGTCAACACGGGGGGTCTCCTGCCCTGGAACATTCAGGGAAAGAGGTGCGTCTGAACCCCGCCTGGGGAGACAGACGCCCTCAGGCTGTCCTCTTGGCTCCGCTCCCCTCTTTCCTCCTGTTCACCGCTCCCAGCCACCCCGATGGGGCCTGTTTAATTGATTCAATTTGTTCAACAGTAAAAACACTCCACAGATGTCAGCCTCCCAGCACCCCACCCCTGGGGAGCCGCAGACACCTGCCAAGCCTCTGGGGCTGGGAGTCCTTCCATGGGCCACTAACACCAGGATCTGGGGGAGGCCTCTGGGCCTGGGAGCTCGCGTGGGTGCCCCCGCTCACCAGACCAGAGCAGCCACTTCAGCCCAGGGACTGCTCCGTGAATGGCACCAGTGGCGTTCTGAACAGTGATCTGATGCAAATATGTCCTTCTGAAGGATTTAATGTTTTTAGACTCCCAGGTCTGGGAGGATGACCTTGGAGATGAGGTCAAGCTACCATCCCAGGCTCAGGCCACTCACTGTCAGGGTCCCACCTTCTTCATCAACCTGGGCTCGGGGGGTTTTCCAGGTAATCAGTGCTGGGAGGGGGACTGAGGGCTCCCAGGGTCCTGATCCTGTCCCCTGCAGGGGAGAGGCCCCTCGCCTACAGATTGGGAGCCCTGCATCCACAGCTTCAGCGCGGTGGCCCGTCCTACTCCCAGGGATGTGTGTGGCCACAGCCACGCTGGGAGATGCTCTCAGGTGTTGTCTAAGGGAAGACGTGGGCCTGGAGGTCAGGAGACCCAGGCTGAACCCCTGACGCCCCTGCCCGGACCACAGCCCTCTCTCCCTGTGAAGGTCCCTGGTCCCTGGGGCCACCACTTTCCACCCCAGAGGGAGGCCCCTGCGATTGATTGGTTGGCTGAGTGACTGAAGCGGGGGACGGTTTAGGGGAGCATTTGCACAGCTGGCCAGGCTGTGACTGTGGGGGCCTCTGCCCACCCCCATCCAGCCCCACCTTGGACGAAGACGCCCCAGCCGTGATTAGGAGAAGGCTCACCCTGAAAACGGTCTCAGGTTAGAGTTACCAGGACATCTGCCTCTCCAGCTTGGGGGTCTCTCACGTGCCCCTCTCAGGCAAGATCGGGCCTATCATTGGCTTAGGTTTTAGGAAGGTCCCAAGCTCATTTGCCAAGGGCTGAGCTTCCCCATAACTCCCAGGACACAGGGAGAAGACAAGGGGAGGGAAACTGAGGGACGGAGATGAAAGCGCTCGTCCCAGCGAAGGACCCGCGCTTCAGGCGCTGGGCCCTGGCGGCAGTGAACAAGCTGGGGGTGGGGCGTCGGGCCGCGCCCCCGCCCTCCGGACCCCCAGCGCGGACCCCTGCTCCGGGGCGGGGGCGCTCACAGTCGCGCGAACCCGGAGGTGCGGAGAGAACAAAAGGGGTCCCGCCCCCTCCCCCGGGCCGGCCCGCCGCAGCCAATCGGCGCGGCCGCTATCGCCTCCGCTCTCTGATTGGCTGTGCGGCGGCCAATCGGGTGAGGGGGCCGCCAGCCCGTGCGGCCCCACGTGGGGCGGCGCGAGGGGCTGTTAGAGGACCGCAGCGGGCGGGGCGCGTGGTTCGATCGCGCGCTACGCGCCTCGGGGACGCGGTCCGCGCCACCCCCAGCCGTCCCTGCCGTCCCGAGGCCCCCAGCGAGCGGCGCCGTGGCTTCGGGCGCGCGGGGCTCGGGGCCATCGCCGGGTGCTGTGCGGTTCCCGGCTCGGAGGCGCTGGGCCGGCGTCGCGGCTGCCCCCTGCCCACGCGGGAGGGAAGCGAGCGGCGCTCAGGGACCAGGAGCGAAGGCCTTGCCACCTGGCGAGGCGGGGAGGCCAAGGTGGGCTGTGGAAGGAAGAGGCGGGCCTGCCGCTGGTGGTGGTGGGATCAATTCATTCATTCATTGAGTCCGTCATTGACACCTCCTACTCCAGGGCCCTCGGGACACAGACAGCGGTGGCCTCAGCGGAGGCTTGGGGGCTAGCCTCCCCCTAGTTTCCATTAGTCTCCCCTCCAAACTACTTCAAGTGGAACGTACAAGCATGTTTTTTGATATGGGCAATTGACACAGTCTTACATTTTTATGGCACCCTCAGACAGGGTATTTGAGGAGAATTGAATAAATGGAAAATACGTGAATTAAAGGAGAGCTGTGCAGTACCCAGGGCCAGCAACAAAGGGGAGCTGTTACCCCCTGAGACCTGGAGGGCAGCTGGAGCCACAGGAGAGGCCGTCTCCAGGAGCCCTGACCTTGGAGAGGGACACAGCGACCCGGCAGGGAGGAGCTGCTGCTGTACACTGACCTCACCCCTCCTGACCGCTTGGCTTGTCTACCGGCTACGCATTGGCTGAACTAGGTGGAGGCCAGGGAGCAACGAGGCCCCATGGATCCTGTACCTACAGTCAGCTTCCCGGGGCACAGAGCAGGGGCTGGCATGGGGCAATGGGAAGATGTCCAGCACCTGTTTTGAAGTGTGAATAAAAGCATCGTAGAAAATGTTGCTGTTTTGCTTTGTTTTGTGGATGTGTAGCCCATGCAGAGGCAGCCTAAGATGGGGCACGACCAGGCTGGGCCCCGCCTCTTGCAGATCCACTAGGAGCCACCCCAGAGCCAAGGGGACCTTCCTTGGAGGGTTTCCCATCCTGAAAGTGATGAGTCACAAAACGAGGCAGGACTGAGGACGAGGAATGCCCCGTGTCAGCGCACGTGCACGGTGTTGTTCAGGCCCTCTTCCTGGGGGTCCTCCTGGATGCTCCAATGCTTGCCCATCTTGGCAGCTGTCACAAGCCACTGCTGGGACTGTAATTCCCCAGGGCAGGGACTGATCCTGTTTGCTGTTGCCCCTTCATGGGGCCTGTATCTGGAAGGAGGATGAATCTGCCCGTGTGAGGCCTGAGATGGGGGCTTCCCTCTGAGGCAGGGGACATGTATTCACTCATCAAACCTTCTCAGGGGAGCCTTTGTCTGCCAGGTTGGGCTTAGCCCCAGGAGCCCAAGGAAGAAAGGATGTAGTTCAGACTTGGAGACATGTGTGACCCAACACTGCAGCCATGCACAAGTTCCTGATAAGGTGGCTCGGGCCCAGGTCCCCTGAGAGGCTCAGGAGGGGGAGGACTCTTGGATAATGAGGAGAGAGGGGGTGGCACTTGAGGTGGCTTTGAAGGGCAAGGAGGAGTAGGAGTGGTGGAGAAGCTGAAGAAAAGCAGGGGGCAAGGAGGTGCCACCATGGGGATCAGGGACGTGGCATCCGGGGGAGTGTGGCTGTGCACAGCTGGGCCTCTGCCGCAGGCATCAGGAGGCTGGGGCGAGGCACCCCTGTCCCTGGCTTCTCCGCCTGTGGTATGGCGATGATGATAGGGTTGTTGGGCAGGGTGAGGGGATGTAGGTGACGTGCAGCACACTGTCTTGGTAATTACAGGCTCGATAAATATACATGAGCTGTCATTATAAGCATTTGTTGCAGTTGAGGAGGTGGTGGTGGGCTTGGCTGGAGTGAGCTGCCTGTGGGGGGCTGTGAGGTTAGTGCGAGGATGGCCGTCTTTCAGGGACATGGAGGCTGCCTCTCGTTCCTGCAGCGCATGTGGCAGACATCACTAATCCATCAGCCACTCTCTCCCACGGAGCCCAGCGGTGGCCTCGGGCCCTCAGATCATTCTCCAGGCAGCCCCTGCTAATCAACCACAGCTGGCACACAGATGGCCCTGCCTGCCATCTCCAATTCCACCGACATCAAAAACTGGGATCCGGGCTGGGGGTGGTGGATCATGCCTGTAATCCCAACACTTTGGGAGGCCAAGGTGGGCGGACTGCTTGAGCCCAAGGAGGAAGAAGCTGCAGTAAGCCGTGACTGCGCCACTGCATTCCACCCTGGGGAATAGAGGGAGTCCGTCTCAAAAAATAAAATAAAAGGCCGGGCGCGGTGGCTCACGCCTGTAATCCCAGCACTTTGGGAGGCTGAGGCAGGTGGATCACGAGGTCAGGAGATCCAGACCATCCTGTCTAACACGGTGAAACCCCATCTCTATTAAAAATACAAAAGATTAGCCGGGCGTGGTGGCGGGTGCCTGTAGTCCCAGCTACTCGGGAGGCTGAGGCGGGAGAATGGCGTGAACCCGGAAGGCAGAGCTTGCAGTGAGCCGAGATCGTGCCACTGCACTCCAGCCTGGGCAACAGAGTGAGACTCTGTTTCCAAAAAAATAAAAAAATAAAAAAAAAGTGAAGTAGGTGCACCAATCTTTTTTTTTTTTGAGACAGAGTTTTGCTCTGTCGCCCAGGCTAGAGTGCAGTGGCACAATCTCGGCTCACTGCAAGCTCTGCCTCCCGGGTTCACCCTATTCTCCCGCCTCAGCCTCCCGAGTAGCTGGGACCACAGGCACCCGCCACCGCGCCCAGCTAATCTTTTTTTGTATTTTTAGTAGAGATGGGGTTTCACTGTGTTAGCCAGGATGGTCTGGATCTCCTGACCTCGTGATCTGCCTGCCTCGGCCTCCCAAAGTGCTGGGATTACAGGCGTGAGCCACCGCGCCTGGCCAGGTGCACCAATCTTAAGCTGCAGATCACTGGACTTTCACATTCGTGCACATCCGTGCAACCGCCAGCCCGGTCCAGAGAACTCCCAGCCCTTAGAGGCTCCCTCGTGCCCCCTCCCATGCAAGCCCAGGAGCGCTCTGCCACCCATCCCGGAGACTGCTCTGCCTGATCCTTAGTCCGCGCCAGCAGAGCTGTACAGCCGTCCTCTCCGAGGCTGGCGCCTTCACGCCACACAATGCTGCCCGTGCTCACTGCATTGCTGCGTCCTGCGTGTGTCTGTGGTTGTTCTCTTGCGTTGCTGTGTTGTAGTCCATTGTATGGATGTAACACTTTATCTACCAAGTCTCTTGTTGACAGACATTTAGATTATCTCCAAAGTCTGTGAATAGTGTTGCTACAAACATTCTAGTGTGTGTCTCCTTGTGCCCGACAGTGGGGGTTTCTGGTGGATGTTAGCAGACACTGCTAGCTCTGCAAGCCACTGTCCTGACCGCTGCTCCCACCCGCAGTGTGGGTGGGTTCTGATTGCCCCACATGGTGCCAGCACTGGGGACTGTCTGTCCTTTCCTATAGGCCAATCGGGGGGTGGGGGAGACACTCTACCTCTCCATCCTTCTGATGCCCCTGTGGATGGGAGACTTACTGGGGGGCCTGTGCCCCCACACAGCCACCAGCAAGCGCTGGGGCCGCTCCTGGAACACCAGCCTCAGTTCCTTCCTCATGTTTGAAACCCAAGTTCAGAAAATGAAACGTGGCTGGGTGTGGGTCACTGGAAGGCCCCGAGGCCTGCAGCCTCAATGCAAGGTCAGGAAGGGGGCAGAGAAGACAATGGGGTGGAAGAAAAGGGCTGGGAGGGGGACTCTGGGCATTGGGGGAGGGTAGAGAGAGGGACAGGAGTGGCTGGGGCCGGGGTAGCCGAGGAAGGGGTGGGGAGGGTGGTGGGTCACGGAGTCAGCACTCACCAGGACGAGGTTCACCTGCCCAGGGTTCACTGGGTACCTGCTTGAGCCCAGACCCCCAGCCGGGAGCTGAGGATATCATGTGAATACCAGGCAGGGGCCCTGCCCTCACATTAGTGACAGTCCTGGGGAGGCAGCAATCAAATAAACCCACAATAAATACATAATTACAGGCTGTGCTGAGCGCTCTGTGCTGTGAGAGGGGCTGGCTTGGCAGCAACATCAAGCTGAGAGTAGACCTCAACCTCAGAGACCACAGGGCCCTGGGAGTCTCAAAGGGGGGTCCCAGCAGAACGGCGGGGGGGAGAAGAAGTGGAGAGTGGGACCCTCAAAGGGGGGGTCCCAGCAGAACGAGAGCAGGGAGAAGTGGAGAGTGGATGTTGGGTGTGGGCCAGCAGGGCTGGTCACAGAGAAGAGCCAAAGAGACTGAGGGTAGACTGATGGGTAACCAACATAGACATCAGGATTAGATTCAGGCTTCACAGAAACAGCACAGAAGTCGTAGTGACTTAAGGAAGGGGGATGTTTCTTATTCTTTTACTTAAGGCCTCCAGGGCCACTCTGATGCCTCTAGGATCATCAGGAACCCTGGCTCCTCTAGCTTGTTGCTCTGCCATCCTTCACTGTGGCTTCTTTCTCATGATCCAAAATAGCTGCTTAGGATCCAGCCATCACACCTACATTCCAACTAGCAGGAAGGAAGAGCACAGCCTTATGTTTAAGGATACTTTCTGCTGCACGTGACATTGCTGTTCACCCTCGTTGCCCAGAACTCAGACACATGGCTGCATCTAGTTGCAAGGCACGCTGGGAAATGTAATTTTCACTCTTAATGGCCAGGTGCCCAGTTACGAGTTGGGGCTCTGTTACTGAGGAAAAAGCGGGGACAGGTACTGGGCAATATAGTTCCCCCCCACCCCCGGTAACTGGAAAGGAAGAGCTGATGCTGGAGAAGAGGCGCCAGCAGGCCCAGTGCTCAGCCACGTCTCCCATGAGCCATCCTGCTGCTGTCACCTTCCATGTCATTTTCATGGACAAGGAAATCAGGTCTCAGGAAGGCCAGTGGCCTGCCTGAGGGCCCACAGCAAGAGGCAGGCCAAGAGAAGCAGAACCGGCTAGGAACATTCCAGAACTTCCATCTATCTGGTGGGGAGAGGGCTCCAGACCATGAGGCCCCCACTGCTGTCTTCCCCGAGACACTCCTTCTTTCCGGGTCCCTGGATGAAAAAGGCTGTGACGTCACCACCTTAAGCAGCACACAGGTGTGGCCACAGACCCCTTCCCATCTTCCTGGAGCACAGCAGGCACAGCAGGGACCCACCACAGGGTGGCCACGCTCTGGATGGCCAGGTGTGCCCTCAACACTGGCAGCCCCCTGCCTCACGCAGAAGCCCAGGCCGAGGAGAGAAGAGGCTGGACCTGCCACTGCCCTCTATCCTGCCCTCAGCCCCATTTGGGCCCAAGGATAGCATCCTCCCCAGCACCAGAGTTGGGTGTGATCCTCCCACCTTGGCCTCCCAAAGTGTTGGGATTATGGGTATGAACCACTGCACCCGACCCAGAGCGTTTTCTATGCATGCACAAGGGCTGCATTCACTCACACACGTATGGAACAGGACGGAATGTGGGTTTTGTGCTGCTACTGGCCCTGCTCACCTCCCTGGCTGAGTGGCTGGGCCGTCATTCATACTGGATCAGTGAGGTAGACCCTGCTGATGGAGGAGTGTCCAGTCCAGTCTTTTGAGGAGGTCTTTGTGTTGGGTACTTGTGGGTACTCGGGGGGGAGGACTCCCGTCCCCCTTCGTCAGGCCTCAGTCGTTCCCACCTGCCACCACAGTGTTTGTGGGGCCCCGGGAACCCAGAGACACTCAGAGCACACACTGTCACCAGGGGCAGTGGATCCATCGCTACTCTGTGCAGGGCAGGGGCTGAGAGCACCAAGACCCTTAGGATTCTAACTGAAGGAATCAGCTCAAACGCCGTCAGCACAAAAGGAAGCTATGGCCGGAAAGGCCTGGGCGGCGTGGGCCTCTGGGCCTCTGGGCCTCTGAGCCTCCGAGGACCCAGCTGTCGTCAGGGTTCTGTCTGTCTTTCCACTTGTCTCTGTGTTTCTGTCCCTTGCTCTTTCTCCCTGTGTGTGTTGGCCTCTGCTTCTCCACTGCAAACACGTGTTTCCCTATTCTTCAAGGGGAATAGGGGAGGAGAATGGGGGCATGGCTCAGACAGGGCCAGGTCGGCTCGCTTCCAGTGTGGCTACCGAGTAGGAGTGCAGGGTCCTTCCTCATTCCAGGAAAGGGCTTGCTCCCCTGGGCCAGGGGACACGGCCGTGTGATCGTCCAGGCCCGGGGGTCGGGTAACAACTCTACTAGAACCACGTGGGTCAGGTGAGGGCAGTTCCAGCACGAAACAGGGGCATCTGTTACCAGGAGAAGGTGGCAGGAAGGCCTTGGGGCAGACACGGCAGCGGGGGCCACACTCGGCCCCCGTGGGAGCCACACATTTCCCCTGACCCACTCCCACGACTCCAGGGCACCGTGCAGCCATCTGATGATCAATAAAAACACTCCCTTTCCCCCCAGGAGATGAGCTGGGCGGCTCAGCTGTGCCTGCTGTCTGGGATGTCCACCTTCCTGAGTTCGGGTGAGGGTCTGCCGGGCGTCTGCAGCTGTGGAGTGGACGCTGGAACTACCCACTGCTAACCTACCTGACACCCAACAGCAGGGGAAGAAGAGGAAAGAAAATAAAATAGAAAGCACATAGCCCCAGGCAAGAAAGTCGAGGCGCCCTCCTTTTCCTCTGGGGGCCCCAAGCTGCCACTGGTATCGGCATTGCCTTCACTCCTGACCTTACCACCGCTGCCCTCGTCTCCAGCAAGAGCCTCGCACAGGTGGCTTCTTTCCCTGGTGGGATGACCGAACTTTTAAAAAAAATTTTTTTTTGAGATGGAGTCTCGCTCTGTCGCCCAGGCTGGAGTGCAGTGGCACGATCTTGGCTCATTGCAAGCTCCGTCTCCCGGGTTCACGCCATTCTCCTGCCTCAGCCTCCCGAGTAGCTGGGACTACAGGCGCCAGCCACCAGGCCCGGCTAATTTTTTTCTATTTTTTAGTAGAGATGGGGTTTCACCATGTCAGCCAGGATGGTCTCAATCTCCTGACCTCGTGATCCGCCCACCTTGGCCTCCCAAAGTGCTGGGATTACAGGCGGGAGCCACTGTGCCTGGTCCCAGTTTTATTCCTGGGGTGTCTGAGCCCCTGTGGCTCTTGCCCTCTTGGGGTTGCAGAGGTCTCCCGCCAGTGCATCAGCATGTCGTAGGTGTACGTTCTGAGGTCCCCAGCTCCACCCGTCTCCTTGCCCAACTGCAGGCCGGAATGGCAACCACACACCCTCTTTCTCCTACTCACCTTGTGGCCCATGGAACATGAAATGGCTCCAGATCCCTGGGCTGTAACGATGTCTCCCCGTGGGTGCTGCACGGCAGACCAGTGCAGCTCTGAGTCAGGACGGGAGGCAGAGCTTAAGGGCACTAGTGTGACAGTGAGAGGCTGAAACTCCTCCTCCAACTCCTGCCTCCTGAAGCCAGGACTGGAGCTTTTCCTGGCTTGTGGGGTGCCCTGCCTCAGACCAACCAGGTTGCATGGCTCCTGGGCTGCAGATGCCAGGGACAGAGGGTGAGATGGGGAATGGCTGTGACTTAGCTCCTGGCTGTGCTTGTGCCTGGAAATGAGTTCCTTGGTTGCAGGGGCAGGGTGGGGTTCCCTGAGCAGGTCTAGAGGTTCTCTAGGCCCATGGCATGACCTCATCCAGAGCAGAGCTTATTCCTGATGAGGACAAGTTGCTGCCCATGCCATAACGGAAGGGACCAAAGTCATCAATGTGCCCCACAGCACTGCCAGGTGCCCGTGAAGCATGGCACCCTGCTGGGATTTCAGGTCCGTTGTGGCTTCTACAATTGAGCCTTCCTCAGTGGGAATCCAGACCAGCCACAGGGAGGGCCGTTTCAAGAGGGAGTGCCTGTGCTTGACCTTCCTCTCTGCACACTGCGAGCCCGTGGGGTGAGCTGCAGATTGGCTGGGGGGGAGGGAGGTGATGGGCACCCCCGGGTGGGTCATGTGCCCACCTGACTCTGAAAAACTCTTCTGCAGTGGGGCTTCTGGTGGGCTCACACGGGCCTACACATGCTCAGCCTCCAGCCACAGCCCAAATGCCTGCTGACCCTCCTCTTCCTCGAACTCCTCCAACTCCTGTCCCCGACTGGTTTGCCCTGTGTTTTTTCCAAGTCCCTCACGTTTGGCCAGATGCCCAGGCACTGCCCAGGACTCTGTAGGCCTCGGCCTTGAACATGGAGACGTCCACTCAATGTGCTGCACTCTGGGAGGGTTGTCCTGCAAGGTGGGGCTGTGAGGGTGCAGCCATCCACTTGGGGCTGGGGCTGGCTCTGTAAAGGAGGCTGCTGCCTCCTCGGTCAACAGGTGATGAGGCTTCGCAGAGGCCATGGGTTTGAGGTGAGGGAGGGTCAGTGTAGCAGGAGTGGCCTCCAGCAGCTTCCTGAGCCTTAAGGGCCTGCATGGGCTCTTTCTGCCCCGTGATGGATGACTGGGTGCAGCTGCGTGCAGCCAGGTGGGCTGGGGAGACCCACTTTATGTTGGACAGCTGGCTTTCAAGGTCAACCGCCGTTGTGAAGGCGGGCTGCCAGATTTAATGAATAAAATACAAAGCTGGGTGCGGGGCTCATGCCTGTAATACCAGCACTCTGGGAGGCTGAATCCAGGGTTCGAGGCTAGCCTGGGCAAAATAGCGAGACCCTCCCCCGCCAAACTCTACAAAAAAATAAAATTAAAAAATTAGCTGGGCTTGGCACGTGCCTGTAATCCCAGCTACTTGGGAGGCTGAGGTGGGAGGATGGCTTGAGCCCAGGAGGTGGAGGCTGCAGTGAGCCAAGATCCCACCACTGCACCCCATCCTGGGCGACAGAGCGAAACCCTCTCTGTCTCTAAACAAATAAAACAGGACGTCAGGTTAATTTAAATTTCAGATAAAGAATGAATAATTTTTAGTATAAGCATACCCCTGATATTGCATGGAACATGCTTTTGTTACAAATTACTTGTTCTTCACCAGCAATGTGAATGACACCTCAGGCTCTACAACCCCATCCTGGACTCCGAAGTTCTGCCGCGGCGAGAGCCCAGCGCTGGGAGAAGAGAACGTGGCGGGTTAGCTGCAGGAGGCCGCAGGAAAAGCTGTGCGCTCATTGGGTCCCAGTGGTGAACTCTGATTGGCTCAGCTTATGTCACATGCCCGACCCAAAGCCAATCACGGTGGCAGAGGAAGCAGAGGTGTTGTGATTGGCCTGGCGTGGGTCATGTGACCGGAGAGTGGCATGGCTGTCCTCGGATCCACGTGCGTGCATGGCGTGTCTCTGCCCCAGAGGAGGCTCTTCCTGCAGCTTCTGGGGCCCTGGGACAGTGGCCTCGGACACCCTCTGAGGGCTTTGGCTTTTCGGAGCCCTGCGTGTCTGGGGGCAGCACTGTTTGCCTGCTGATCCTTCAGAATCCCCGGCTGCTCCACAGTGCTCACAGCCGAGAGCAGAGGCTGCCTGGGCTCTGGTTGCGCAGCAGTGGGCGCTCGTCCCCTTCCTGTCCGGGCCCCCCGACATCACCTCTGGCCTTCTGCACCCTCGCTGTAGATTGGCTTTCCAACTCCACCCCCCAAAAAGACGGGCCGTAGTGGGGGCTTCCAGGAGCACCAGGCCAGGGGTGCTTTGCCCAGGACCAGAGTGGGGACTAACCGGGCCAGTGGTGAAAAATATAATTAGCCTGTCAGTGTGGAGTCTTCCCTCACTGCTCTGCTCACCGCCGGCCCCTGAGCCAGCCTGTTTCTTGTAAGTGAAAACAGATTTCCTGACAAGGGGCAAGATCATAAACTTGTTCAAAGGCTCCCAAATAAAAAGGGCGGTTTTAACTTTTCCCTCTCAGCAAACCAAATTGTGAGTAGGCTTCTAGACCATTCCGTCACCGCAGGAAGGGTTTGAGAGCCTGAGGCTCCTGACTGCTGGGAACCTTAGGGGAGAGGGGCTCTGGGAGGCGTCTGGTTTAACCCACCCCACTGCCATCTGGAACACTTTTTCTCAGTGAAGTCCCAGCCCCTAGCCCCAGCCTCAGTGAGACCAGAGTTCCCACTGGCCTGCTAGCCAGTCTGCCCTGGGGCTGAGGGCCCAGGCCTAGAGGCTGTTCTCTGAGTCACTGTTTTCTGAGGTGACGCCAGTGGAAGACGAGTCCTACCTAGCAAGCCTCTAGTCCTTCCTTTCTCTGCAAGCTGCCTTAGCTCAACTTTTGTCTTCGGATTAAACTAGTTAAAGGAAGCAACTGTGGATGCCCCCCAGAAGTGCATTCTACTAGGGGCTGAGCTTCCTGGAAGGGCAGCAGGACTGCTCCTCTCCCTGGGGGCCTGGAGCCAGCTTCTTTGGCTTGCAGCTGCTCTGTACTGAGGAAGGGCCCTGTCCTGTACCCTTCGTGTGGCTTCTCGGAGTTCCTGGTGTGCTGGGTGCCAGGGCTTCTGTGTGCTGGCCTTCTTCCCTACTGGGCTCTGAGTTTCTTGGGGGTGTGGGCTTTGTGTAATCTTCTCAACACTGCATCCTGGTGCCTGGCACACAGTAGGTCTTGAGTTTGTATTAATACTTGTTGAAGTGACGGACAGATGGATGGGCAGATGGACACAGGAATGGTTGTCAGAGAAGGAAACAAGAAGTGGCCTTGCCAAGAACAGATCACGTCATCAGGGGTTGAGAACCAGCATGCACTGTCCCCTGCTTTGATGGGACAGGGACATCACAGGCCTATTCTGGCAGGATGACAGATTCTAGGATATCTGGGATAGGCTGGAGGTGTTGAGTTTCCCCACCAGCCCTGGGTATCGTGAGGGACCCTGCTGTCCTCTCTGTCCAGGGAGACAGGACTGGAGATTTTCCCTGAACAGTAGGTGTTGGCCCAGGAAGCCTAGGGTGCTGTGTCAATCCCCTGCCTTTCCTTTCTGTAAATGGGTGCAGTCAGTCTCGGGAACCTCCAAAAAACAGACAGGAAACGCCCATCAGAGTGGGCCCCGCTACTCTAAAGCACAGGATAGAGCCTGCCTGAGAACTCAGTCTCAGCAAAGGAAAGGAGCAAAAGACACCAGAGGGATGTGGAATGTAAGAAAACAGATGCTTTTCCCAGTTCCGCAGCGACATCAGGCCCGAGACCATGTGGCATACTCATGGCAAACCCTGCTCTGGGCTCCGAGTGGCGGCTGTCCATGTCTGGTCTTTTTTTTTTTTCTGAGACAGAGTTTCGCTCTTACTGCCCAGGCTGGAGTGCAATGGCGAGATCTCAGCTCACTGCAAACTCTGCCTCCCGGGTTCAGGCGATTCTCCTGCCTCAGCCTCCCAAGTAGCTGGGATTACAGGCATGCACCACCACGCCTGGCTAATTTTGTATTTTAAGTAGAGACGGGGTTTCACCATGTTAGCCAGGATGGTCTCGATCTGACCTTGTGATCCACCCGCCTCGGCCTCCCATGCTGGGATAACAGGCCTGAGCCACCGTGCCCAGCCTTAGTGTCTGCTCTTGGTCTGCTGCTTCTTCCTGCTTTGGGAGGCCTTTGCTCAGGCCCTCAGGAGTCCAGGGGGCTGAATGGAAGCGGAAGTGTGTCTGGCCTTCGGAAGTGATGTAAGTGGCCCAAAAGCGTTGACTGCGGACCTGATCTCTGTGACGAGACACTGACAGAGCGGAGGCTTGGAGGCCAGCCCTGCTCCTCTTTCTGCCTGAACTGGGCCTCTCAAGCCTCCCTTGGGTGTGGGTGGGGACACAAGGCCTGGGGCTTGAGGTTGTAGGCCAAGGGAAAGGGGCTGAGACCCCCATGCTGACTGGGCTCTGCCTGTGCATCCATCCAGAAATCCCTTGGGCCACCTGTGAGCCTCATCCTGGTCTTATAGGTGGGGAAAGAGACTCAAGGTCTGTATTTCACAGACACGGACACTGAGGTCCGAGCCACTGCAAAGTCAGGCTGCACCTGCAGGCCTGGCCCCGGGGCCGCACCTCTACCCCACTGACCCGTTGCCCGGCCCAGCTCCCCACCTGAGGCAGGGGCAGGCCTGGTCCCCCTGGCAGCTGTGCTGTGGTCCCAGGTGGGCACTGAGTGGTGGTTGGGCCTTGAACAACCCACCCGCCCGTCCGTGGGAAGCTCGCTCCCCTAGACGCGTCCTCGTCACCATTATGGCTCCAGGTAGCCTAAGGCGGGTTACAGAGGCTGCACCGATAGGGAGGGCACGGGAAGCTCAAGGCTGGGTCCTCTGGCTCTTAAAGGAGGGAGGTGCTGGCTTCTCACTGGGACTTCTGGGGAGCGGGAAAGGGTGGCTGTTGGGGGGAGAGTGGAGGCCGAGGGGCCCAGGTTCCTGGTAGGGGCTTGGCGGGAGATGGGGCCGTTCAGAGTTATTCCCCTGGGGTGCTGCCTCTGCTTGTTTTCTTAGCCCGCACCCAGGGGCCAGAGGCGGTTCCCTCCTCACCCTGCCTGGTACAGACTCAGGAGACCATTGAGGGGCCCACCCAGCATGGGCGTCCGGCCAGCTCCAGTGCCCGGTGACCCCGCGGCGGCTGAGCGGTGCGGCTGCCTCTCCCCCACTCCCCGCCAACCCCCAGCAACCTCGCCAGGCCGGGGATGAACAATTAAAGCCCCCTGGTCCCCAGTTGGTTTGTGGTATTAAAAACGAATTGCGATCAGCCAGGTTGTCATTTCTACCTGATAAAACATCACTTTTATTGATCTCACTCACCCAGCGCCAGCATTCATCTTGCTCCAGCATTTCACATAATGGCCCGTTTGTCTTGATCAAAGTGTAGTCTTGCATGTTTAACCCTTGGGGCTCCGCAGCTGTGCATGCCCAGCCCCACTGACTGTCCTTCCCACAACGCCCTGCCCTTTGCCCAGGGCCTGTTCTGGGGGCAGGCAGTTCTGGAAGGCAAGGATGGCCCTGTCTGAGATAAGGTGGGAGGACGAGGGGCAGAGAGGTGATGGAGGGGGAGAGTAGGACGGCGGTGTTGCGGGGCCAGAGCCAGGCGTGAGTCCTGCCCTTAGATTCAGCAGTGTGCCCTGCAGGGCTCCTGGGGAGGTCAGACCCTCGAGGTCGGGGGCCCACCTAAGCCTGCCGTCAACCCCACTCGCTAAGCCCGGGTCACCTGCCTCCTGGGCTCACTGGTGGCACCCCCTTCAGCCAGGCCCCCTCCCCTCTGGCCGTTTCCGGCCCTCAGCCCCACCTGGACCCCTAGTCCGGCCCTGTGCCACCCTTAAAGCCTTTCTCTTGGTGCCAGCCCCTCCCCCCAGGTACCTGTGCCGGCCTGGGCCCTCAGGTGTCTAGTTGACCTGGCCCCTCTAACCCTGACCCCCAGGTGCCTGGCTGGCCTGGGACCTTCAACCCTGACTCCCAGGCTGCAGAACCAGTGCCTCAATTTGACTGCAGACTCTGCTTAGAGCCCTTGGGGCACCCATTGTCAGAGAGAGAAGACAGGCTCCATGCTGCTCTCAGGGGCTTGAGATTTGGCCTCTGTCACCCTCTAGCTCTAACATCAATCCCCTACCTCCCCCCGCCCCCATTAACCACCTGCTGGCCACCCCAGCTGTTCCTTGACTACCCTCTGTCTGCCCTGCCCTGCCCTGGGCTTTTCCAAGACAGCCCAGGTGTTACTTCTTCCAGGGAGCCCACCTGGACCACCCCAGGGACAGTCAGTTCTTTGTCTGCTTTGCCAGGTGCGGAAGTCCCCGCTGATCCTGCTGCCACATGCAGCGGGGGGCGGGGAGCCACAGTGCTGCCCCACCAGGCCTGGCTCAGCCCCGATACCACACTTTTGGCTGAGATGGGGGTGGCCGACCTTGGGGTTCCACGGGTGAGGTTATCTCAGCTGCGTGGCCCCGGGTGCAGCTGCTGGGCCCCACTGTTCTGGTCTCTCCCATCTGCCTGTCATGAAGGTGGGGCCGTGGGCCGCTCACTTCCACTGTGGCTCACTGCTTGGTACACTGCTGGCACCAGGCAGTGCTGGGTGAATGGAGGATTTGAACCTGAGACCTGCTGGCAGAGGTTTCCTGTGGGCTTCCCAGGCAGGTGTCACCTCTCCGGCCTGGGCCTCATCCGGCTCTCTTGCCCCAGAGTCCCTGTCGGCTGCCTGTGGCCTCTCCGTGCGACCTGCTCCGTCAGGCAAGCTCCTGGAGTGGGCAGGAGGCGGCAGCAAGTCCTGGCTCAGGGCTCCAGGAACCGGGGCAACAGCCGCAGGCCTTCCTCCCTGTTCCGGGCTGGATTCTGCCCGAAAAAAGTCACTGAGATCACTGAAGTCAGGGTCTCCTGAGCCCACAGGGAGTGTCTGGCCTCACCCGTCTTTCCTTTCTTGCCACAGAGGACCCCTGACCCAGAAACCTGGTCCAGCAGCCCCCTTACTCAGCGCTCGGCCCGGCCAGGGCCTCATCTGCTCCCTGCCCTCACAGCAGCCTGAGGCACGGCCGGTCCCTGAGCACCTCTCTCCGCACTCACCGGCCCAGGAAGGCACTGCTGACTCAGGGACTCCGTCCTCCAAGGACCATGTTTCCTGGCCTTGGACGCAGCTGTGACCAGGCACTCAGGGCCCACTGGGACAGATGTGCACCGACTTCATGCAGCTTCCCAAGATCCCGGCGGCAGAGGGGGAACAAGGAGGGTCCCCTACCCCCTGCAAGCATCCGGCTTCCTCTGGGTCTGCAGCCTCATGAACAGGGCTCTCTCCAGCTGGGGGTGCACTCATCTGTGTTCCCACACCCGGGCCGTGGGCCGCCCCTCCCAGGATGGTCATTCACGTCTGAGACCCTGCCCAGCGTGGCGGCTCGGAGACTGCTCTTGCCCTTCGTCCTCTCCAGTGGAACCTACTCTGGCCCTGGACTGGTTCAGGCTGGACAGGGACTGTGAGAGCAACCAGGAAAGGGGCCCTCCTCCTGGAGGGACCCCACCCCTAAGACCACTCTGAGCCCATTCCGGTCACATGACCCTTTCCTGGCCTGAGGGGCTTCACTTGGGCCAACACAGGGGGCGGTGGGGAGGCCTGGCCCAGAAGCCCCAGCTCTGGGAACGAGAGGCTTCTGCTGAGCCCCCGGAGCCCTGGGGAACCCCCAGGAGTACCGTGGGACACAGGACCCTGGACCACCGAAAACCTGTACAATAGTCCATATATTTATTCTTAAGCAAGTTATCAATAAAAAATTTGATACTAAAATGCCTTTACATAGAGTCTGCTGTTCATAAAACCTTTGTGTGTTTTTTTGTCCATTTTGTTTTTAGTGTTTACATTGAAAAAAAATCCAACCATCCCCTTAGTTTACACATTTACAGGAATCGTGCCTTCGTCACGTTAACCACGGTGAGAGGGGAGGGGCCGCACCATTCGCACGCACACAGAAAAAGAAAGGAAAAAACCAGGGACAAAGCGGAACCCAGCAGAAGCGGGACGAGGACGAGGCGGCGGAGCAGAGGATCCAACCTCCGTGGCTGCACCCTCCTCGGCCCTCTCTGGAACTCCAGTGGCTCAGCATGCCCCCGTGCATTTTTCTTCACTTGACATCGTTCTGATCCCCGAGCCTCAAGCAGGACCTCGTCCAACCACCTCCCCAGACAACCACCGGGAATGAAATATTGCACTCATGCGAGACAAAGGGTAGGCTCGGGGGTGGGAGCGGGGGGCTGGAGGCGGGGACCCCCGACCACAACATAAGCCCCCAGCCTTGAGCCTCCTGGGGAGCCTCTGGGAACGGCCCTTCAGGGGGTCCAGCCAGCAGGTGAGAAACAGGCCCCAATGGGCCCGAGAAAAATAGGGGGCCAAGGGGACCTGGGATTGGGGTACAGGGCACCCACCAGCACCCTGCTTCGAGGCCTGTGGTGTGGGGGACACAGAGCTCGTCCTAGAGCAGTGGCTAACTTGGGGGGCTTTCCTGAAGCTCCCGTGGGGCCAGGGGAACCTTAGTGTGGGAGGATATAAGGAGTGTGTGGCCCCCCATGCGTTTCTGAGGCTGAAGGCTGTTGGGCTCAGGTCCAGGCAGCCTGTCTGTCCTTGGCTGTGGGAGAAGGGGAGGGGTGTGAATTCCCTGGGGATACTGGGGCAGAGCCCTCGAGGGGTGCTGCTTGCACCTGGGGCCAGGATTTGGGCTCAGGTGGTCAGGGGGACCCTCATTCTATGCCCCAAGCACTAGCCCATCAGGCCATCTGCCCCACCAAGTGGCACAGAAAAGGCCGAGAAACCTCCAAAGGGGTTGGGGCAGGCAGAGGGGTCCGAGGGCCAGGCAGATTTGGCTGGTGGAAAAGGGGGCCCAGAAAGGGGCCTTCCCCAAGGGCAGGGCCTGCGTTTTATTTTCTTCTCCCCTGGCCACAGCACTGCTGGCCTGGCCTCACCACCATCTACGCAGCAGGCCAGGGGTTTGGGGGCACCAATAAGGTGGGTGGGAAAAGGGGTGTCTTTTGCATGCATTCTGCTTGGGGGTGAGGAGAGAATCTGGTGGGACTGTGAACCTGCCCTCATAGGCCCCGAGCCCTGCCCAGTTCAGGAACCTGGCCAAACTGCCCCTTCTCACGGCACCTACTACTTTCAGGAAAGTTAGGACCCCAGGGGTGAGGAGGGGCTCAGAGCTGGGCCCTGCTTCCCGAGTGTGCCAGGGCGGCGAGGGTGAGGGGGGCGAGGGGCCAGCCCCTCCCTGCTCTGGGTGGAGGCCAGACTCCTTGGCCTCAGACCAACTGGCCCCGGAAACAGAAATCAGATATAGGTTGGAATATGATTCAGCAGATACAATCCAAACATTGCTTTTTCTTATCAATACTTTAAAATATTTGTTCGTCTTTGTCTTGTTTTGAACACAGGTGAGATGCTCACGGCTGTTGTCACACTCCCTGGTCTGGGCTTTGCCTCTTGAATCCTTTCCCCACGGGCCCCTCATCACCACCCCCTGCTCCAACACTTCTTTTCTAGGAGATGCACTGAAAGCAAATAAACTTGACCGACTTTCATCTTACACGGTCGTCCCCCCAAGAGATCAGAGGGTGCCGTCAAGGGTCCCACCTGACCCTCCCGTGGCCTCTGCCCCCTGCCCCGAGATGCCTCTGTCGTCCCAGGTGCCCCCGTTGGAACCCAGCTGGGCTGAGAACAGTGCATTTCCAAAGGAAACCCCAGGACAAAAATCGCCACACACGCGCACACACATACACGCTCACACACACCTTGTCACGCGGATGGGGAAAAACCCTTTTCCACTTTTTACCATAAAATTTCCCCGCAGAAATACAATATTTACATAGAGAAATAAATAGACAACACACCTGATTTCTGCTTTCCCTGGTGGGAGACAGTCGGAGGTACTAGGGAATATGGCTTGGATTCAAATCTCCCGTGAACTGCCGGTGCGGGAAACGGAGGGCGCTGTGGGTGGGGCGGGCCGGGGACCCATGAGGGCCACAGCCCGACCCTCCGCAGAGGATGGGACGGGACTGGATTCCGACACCTGGAGCGCTCTTTCCAGGGAAAACCGTAAGAAAGCCTGGGTCTTGCCCTGTGGGCTTTTGCATATTTGCTCAGATGCGCCCTTGGGAGGCCGGGGCTGCCTCCTGCCCGGTGGCTTGGCCGACGCCAGGCTCCGCACACAGGGTCCCTGGCGCACGTGGGAGGCATCTGCGGTGGGCGGCTCAGCATAGGATGGGCACGCCATCAGCCGTCACCAGGCGCCCGGTGGTGGGGTCGTAGGTGCCCGCCAGGTAGTAGAGGTCCTGCCGGTCCTGGCACTTGCGGCTCCGGGCCATCTGCTCATACTGCTCGCGCGCCACGACCTGGCACTTGTGGGAGATGGTCTGCACGTCGTTCTCATCCTCGTGGCAGGACTGGTACAGCGCATTCTGGGGGCAAGGCGCGCGGGGCATCAGTGGCCGGCCTTGGCCAGTGCGCCCCTGCCCAGCCAGGAAAGACCACCCGCCCACCCATGCTCTGTAAGGGTCACCGGATGGACTTCTGTGTGGCCGGAAGACGGGGCCGAGGAACCTGCCAGGGACCAGGTCCAGGCAGCCCTGTCTGTCCAGAGGCCGAGGAACCTGCCGGGGACCCTCTGGGGGCTGTCGGAGTCAGAGAAATACTAATTTCCCTGAAAGATGGACGTGTCATATGGTCTGGAAAATGGCTTCTTCTCAGAGAGGAGCAGAGGGTGTGCTGAGTGCAATTTCTGTCTCAGGCTGGCACTGGAGGCAGGGAGGGCCCACGGGGTGGGGGCCGCCACACATCCCAGGAGTGAACTAGACCTGCCGGATGCTGAGCACTGCTGTGGGCCACAGCCCCCCACTGTGGGGAGGGACCTGGGAGCCCTGCTCTAGGGCATGCCCATGGGCTGTGCGGCTCCCTGCAGGGCCGTGGTACCTGCTGAGCGGGGGCTGTGTGGTGGGGCCAGGTGCTCCGTGTTGGGGCACAGTGCTGGCTGCTGTCGTGTCCCCTCCCTGGGGCCCCGAGGGGGGCTGGGCCCCACACCTGTCCGGGCCTCACCTTGCCGTCGCACTGCCTCTTGCCCAGCTTGGTCTCCTCAGGGTGGTAGAACCACTTGACCTTGACCACCATGTTGCTGCCCCACGACTCCCACATGCTCTCGATGCGGCCGATGTAGGGGAGGTTGGGCCGCCCAGCTGACAGGAAGACGGCACAGTCCCCGACACGCAGGGTCTCCTCGCCCCGCACGATGGCCTTGTAGAACAGCTTCCGGGCCTTCCCCTTCATGCCACGCCGCTGTGGGGGACATGGGCAGGGTGGCTCTGAGAGGCCGGGGGGCTGTGGGGACAGGTGGCGGCCAGGAGGCATGGAGGGTGTGGTGTGGGTGTGAGTGTGAGTCTGAGTGTGAGTGTGCAGGGCGCCCACAAGGGCAGGAAGCCGCAGCACCGCGGCTTAAGGCCATGGCAGCCATGGATCTGGAGCAGGGGCCACGCCTCCACGGAGCCCGCACATGGAATCATGACGTCTGGACACTGGATCTGGGACAGGGACATGTGGACAAGACGTTCACCACAGTGTTATTTACGAAGGCAAAAGACCCACGAGTGGCCCCACATGCGCCCCCGAGCAGTGCCCTGGTGAGGACAGACGCAGGCATCTGAGTGCGGGGATACACAGCTCTCCAGCTGGCCACGCCACTTATCAACGTGGAAAAGTGAGGCCACACCATGCGGAGTGCAGCTCAGGCCCGGCCCGACATGAAGCCATTTCTACTGTCACGCAGGCCACGGGCTCCAGCGAGGGGCCAGCGGAAGCGGCTGCCTCACTGGGTCATGGATGGGTCTTTGTTCTTCCCTTGAGTTTTCCACATTTTTTAACTTGAAATCAAGTAGGAAGATGAAAAAGGAGAGGGAAGGGCAGCAGGGGCGCATGAGCCCGCCCCGGTTTCCTTGGGAACCAGGAGCTCCTCCCGCCTCCCGCTGGACCTACCTGTGTGGGATTCCCCGACCACTTCCAGAGCTGCCGGGCGGGCAGGAAGGCTGAGATCTTTGGCCGGTTTTCCACGGAGGGCGGCCGCTGCCTCCGGGAGAGCTCTTTGGCTTTGGAGAAGCTCAGGGCCTCTTTGCGCTTGAGCTTGGATTTGCTGCTGCTGCTGGGGCCTGAGCCCGCACCGGTGCCAGCCACCGTGGCCCTGGACAGGAAGCAGCGCTGGGCATGCGCGTGAGGGCCGCTGCCCTTGGAGCGCAGGGCCTCGGGCTGGGCCAGGAGGGTGGGCACGGGGTGGGTGAGGCAGGTCTGCAGCAGCAGAGCCGGGTCCTCGTCGTCTGAGCTGTAGGACGAGTCCTCGTTGTCGGAGGAGCAGAGGCTGGAGGTGGACACGGAGCCTGAGGAGGAGGAGGTGGACGAGCCAGAGGAGGAAGAGGACACGGACAGGCGGGCGAGGAAGCGGGAGGGCACGCCGGCCGCCAGCCCCGGCCCGTCCTCGTCCTCGTCCGAGAAGGAGCTGTGGCAGTCGCTGTCGTAGGGCAGCGGGAACTCTGCCTGGCCCGCGTACTTGCGCAGCGCCAGCCCCATGGGCAGCGGGGGGATGGGTGCCCGCCCCTTCTTGTCCTTGCCCACAAGGGCCGGGTGCACATAGCTGGGGCTGGGCAGGGGCCGCCCGAGCTTGGGGCTGAAGTCCTTGTCCCCCATGAGCAACGCCTTGCAGGTCTTGTTCTTGGGGGAGGTCACACCCTCGTGGTCCAGCTTGACCAGGAACTCACCGCCCGCCCGCCGCCGCCCACCCTTCTCGGCCTCCACCCTCTCGGCCTTCTTAGCCCGCAGCAGCTTGTGGGCTCCCCTGGGGAGGCCCGGCCCGGTCCCCCCGACGAAGGGCGCGTAGGAGCTGGCCAGGCTGCTGAAGGAGTCGGCGCGGAAGCCGTTGCCAAATATGGGTGTGGCCACGCTGTGCACGGGGAACAGGGCCTCGCGGGCCCGCAGCTTCTTGCTGCTGCCGTTGAGCTGGAAGAGGTTCTGCAGCACCCCCGGCCCCTTGCTGGCCGCTGCCACCGCCTTCCGCTTGGTCTGCGCCACCGCGGACCAGCTCAGCAAGGGGCTGCCACGGCGGCCCAGGAAGTGGTCGGAGGCCCCCGTGGGGGATTTGGCACCTGAGGTTAGGAGTTCGGCTTTACCTGAGGGCAAAAGCCCAGCAGAGTCAGCCCCAGCTGGGCCCACAAAGCTGCCTCCACCTGCCCCTCCCCGGACCCTGCCTACCCCACGGGCCTCCTGGTTCCCCCAGCCCCCAGAGGGTGCCTTCCCCGATCCGGATTCTGGGAAGTCCGGTAAAATACCAGCTTTGTCTTTGCTAATGGATTTTTTCCCAGGTGTCTTCAAAGCTTCGGGGCCGTCCTGTGCTTTGGGGGACAGGCTGGGGGTGGCGGCTTCACTAGGCGGGGGTGCCTCACTGGATACCTTCTTGGTCCTCCGGCAGCTGCTAGACACTAGCAGGGCTGGAGAGGGCTCTGTGCCTGTGGATAGCATGGGCCAAGGGCTTCAGTGCCATGGCTGTGGGGTGACTGCCACCCCAACCCTTCCTTGGGAGCCCGTCTGGACACAGTGGAGCCCAGGCAGGGCCCTGCCCCGTGCAGCTCCCAGGCTCACACTGGATCTTGAAGTCAGGGGGCAGCAGCCTGACGTTGGAGACGGCGATGTGGCCTGTATCCCCATCGTCAAATTCCACCACTACTGAGTCCAGGTCCTCATCTTCGTCACCGGAGGCCCCTGTGGACGGCACACCTGAGCTTGCAGCTGGAACCCCCAGTAGGCGCCCGAAACAGGGAGGCGGGGCTGCCAAAGCCGGTGGGGAGGGTGAGGGGAGGGCTCTGGGGTTCTGCTCCCTGACCACACAGACAGTGGAGCCGCCCTGCAGCCCAGGAGCGGGGGCCTCCTCTCCACCTCCTGCAGTGCCTCCCATGTGATGCCACCGTCACCCCACCCAGCCCAGAACCAGACCTCCCCACACGTGCTGACGCCCACGTGCCCACCTCCCAGCCGAGTCCCGCCTGGAGGCGCCTCCCGCCCACCTGGCCACTTGCCTGTGGGACCCTTGAGCCTTTCGCCCTAGGGACCTACATGCCCCTGCCTGTAGTCAGGAGGTTTTGCCCAGGGGAGCTGGTGCCCCCTGACGTACTCTGTGACCCCCAGCAGCAGTGCTCAGGGCCCCTTCCTGCTGGGCCCTCTCTGCTTGGCTGGAGGCCGGAGCCCCCACCCTCCCTCCCCACACACCCTGTGCTTTTTCATGGCGCCTGGGGAGCTCATTTTATTGTCGTACTCTGTCTAAGCAGAGAGCTGGTTCTGCCCTCGCCAGCCTCGGAAGCCAGGCTGTTGGGGGCAGATATGAGCCTGTGGGTCTCAGAGGGGCCTGCCCCAGCCCCCGCTTTGGGTGCAACTTACCCCGGACCACGTTGCCCGGGTACAGACATCGAGACTTCTGACTCCAGTAGGCGCAGACCCGCGTGCCGGGCGGGAGGTACCGGCTGGACTGTGGCCGCACATCGAGAACCTGCAGGAACGCGGGCGACGACCCATGAGCAGGTGGGGCCTGGCCCAGGGCTGCCTGAGAGTCTGGTCCCTGGGCCTGGGAGTGGCTGCGGCCCAGGCCAAGGCCTTCCTTTGTCCTGGGACAAGCCAGCCAGGCCCCTCCCCGGGGCGGGCCGGCCCGGTCCTCACCGCTTCCTGCAGCAGCTGCTCCAGTGAGTAGATCCTCTGCCGGTTGCCCCTCTCGCCCTCGATGACGATGCTATAGCTGGGGGCATTGGGGAATGTGAGGTGCCACGGGTCTCGGTTGCCCTCCAGGCCCCTGCCCTGCCCCACCATGCCCAGGCCTCACATGTCGGGTGGCTGCAGGGTCCTGACGCTGCCCGCGTACAGCAGGCTATCCTCCTTGGGGATGAGCACGGGCAGCCCGTCCCGCAGGTCCTCCTTGTGGATGGCACACGAGCGCGCTGTGGGCACAAGGTGTCAGCGGCCGGCACGGCCTACCCACCACCCCTCCCCAGGCGGCTGGCACCCTTCCTGGCCCTGCTCACCTAGGGCGGCGCTCTGCTCTGCGCTCAGAGGGCCGCTGTCCTCCTCCTCTTCCTCCTCGTCCTCCTCCTCTTCCGAGAAGCTGCTGTTGTCGTCGAACTCAAAGTCTTCCTCCACGGCGAAGCTTTCCAGCAGGCGGCTCACGGCCCGGCCCTTGCCCTGGGGGCCAGAGGAGTCAGGCTTGGGTGGGGTGCAGGCGGGGTGCAGGTGGGTGCACAGTGGGCTCCCAGAGTGGGGGGCTGCTACCTGCTTGCCGGCCTTGTGCTTCACCTTGCTCAGCTTCCGGCCCTTCCCCAGGATGGCCTTGGCGTTGCGTGTGGCCAGCGTGATGGACAGGGCCCCGTTCTTCCGCTGCGCGTGGGCAGGCAGAGAAGGGGCTGAGTCAAGGGTGGGACAGCCTCAGGTTGACCCAGAGCTCAGGGGCCAGCGTGCGGGGGAGGGCGGGGAAGGCCTTTCCTCACAGGCACCCACCCTCTCCGCCCAGCACCCCAGAGCCCAGCCTCACCCGCAGCACTGGCTGCAGCACTGTGCCCTTGCGCGTGGCCCTCTTGAGGCGCTCACTGGCCAGCTGGCTGCCCTCCTCACGGCAGGCGAAGGCCCGAGAGGGGTTGAAGAGGGCGTCCCTGCTGGGGGTGGCCCCCGGCTCTGCCCGCAGGCTGCCCTTGGCCTTGCCCTTGGCTTTCTTCTTGCCCAGCGCACCTGGGGGCCTCTGCCCTGGGGCCCGCTCCAGGGTGGTGCCCACCTTGGCCTTCACCGACCGCCTCTTGATCTTGACCTCACTCTCAGGGCTGGACAGGCGGCAGGCCCCTGTGGGAAGGAGAGGAGGCCGTCACAGGGGTCCCCATCCTAGAGACCCGGCTGGTTGGGCTGACTGTGCCGGTCCTCCCTCCTGGTTACCTAGCAACCCCTGCCCGCCCCCGGGTTACCCAGCAACCTCTGCCCTCCCCCTCCTGGTTACCCAGCAACCCCTGCCCTCCCTCCTGGTTACCCAGCAACCCCTGCCCTCCCCCCGGTTACCCAGCAACCCCTGCCCTCCCTCCTGGTTACCCAGCAACCCCTGCCCTCCCTCCTGGTTACCTAGCAACCCCTGCCCTCCCCCCGGTTACCCAACAACCCCTGCCCTCCCCCTCCTGGTTACCCAGCAACCCCTGCCCTCCCCCCGGTTACCCAGCAACCCCTGCCCTCCCCCTCCTGATTACCCAGCAACCCCTGCCCTTCCTCCTGGTTACCCAGCAACCCCTGCCCTCCCTCCTGGTTACCCAGCAAACCCTGCCCTCCCTCCTGGTTACCCAGCAACCCCTGCCCTCCCTCCTGGTTATCTAGCAATCCCTGCCCTCCCTCCTGGTTACCTAGCAACCCCTGTCCTCCCTCCTGGTTACCTAGCAACCCCTGCCTCTCCTTCTTCTTCTTGGCCTTCTGGTTGGCCTCCATCTTGACCACAGAGGAGGGTGAGGGCCCCAGCACGGCCACACTGGCCCCGGTGTGCAGCAGCAGCCCTGCTTCCCTGGGTGGTGCCTCTGTCCCCAGGAGACCCTCGCAGTCCTCACTGTCATAGCCACTGCCTGGGAGAGAGGCAGAGGGGTCCTGATGACTTGATGGTAAGCTGTGCCATTGAGAGGTGGGGGAGGTGACCCTCTGGGCATGCGGTTATGGCGGGGCTGTGAGTGGAGCTGGTCACCGTCACCCTCTGGGCCGCTCTGTGGGGCTGCTTTGGGGGCAGGTGCCTGAGGTCCTGGCCTCCAGCCTGAAGGGATTTGTATGGGTGTGGGGAGGGGTGTTTTTTTCTTATACCCTGGGCAATAGGGCACCCACCAGGCAGGGCTGGGGCCCCCTCCCCAGAAAGTCCCTTCCCCTTTTTCTGCTGTCCTCCGCCCAGATGGCCCTCTGCCCCTCCCCCAGCCCCAAGCGGCCCTCCCTTTGTTCTTTCTCAGGCATCTGAGACCTTGGGGGAAGGGGCTGGCAGAAGAAAGGAAGCTTCTATTTTTCTAGGCTCCTGTTTCTGGACACACGTGTTTGCTGGGGGGGGTGGTCAGATAACGCCTCAGGGTCAGCTCAGCCGGATGCTACAGTCACAGGGGCTGGGGCCGTTGAGAGGGCTATTTTTAACCTGGATGCTTCCAGTGGGGGTCCTTCCTTCCCCTTCGGCCCTGACATGGGGGTGAGGCATGCTGAGCCACTGAGCTCTGCCTGGGGATGGGGGTCTCCTTCCGTGAGACCTTCATCTCCTTCCCCAGCCTGTTCAGTGAAAACGTCTCCTTGGACCTGTCACACCCCACAAGCCATGACCCAGCCCTGGTGGCGGCCATGAACCTGCCGCCCCCTCCTCCAGCCCCCGAGCGACCATGACCGGGGCTCCTGGCAGTGGCCACTCACGCCAGCAACTTGCCTGCCTCCTGGGACGCAGCCACGGAGGGCTGGGCTGGGCACCTGGGTGTCTCCCGGCTGCCGTGGCCCTTGGGCTGTGGGTGCCGTGTGGCCCCAGACACCTTGGCACTCTTGGCTCGGGACAGCTTCTCCCGGATGCGCCCCCCGGGGGTAGCCTCCTTCTGCTGGAAAGAGCTGAGGCCTGTGGGCAGCCCTTTGCTCTTGACCTTGGGTTTCAGCTGGGCCACCCTGTGGGCCACGGAGGGCGCCAGCCCGCCCTGACAGCTGCTCTTCTTACACTGCGCCTTCTCCTGTGAACAGGGAGGGGCAGCTGCACTCTCAGGGCGCCCTCTGCAAACCACAGCCCCTGGGCGGTTAGGTGCCTCTCTGTTGATGCCCGGCTCAGAACTGGTACCTCGAGGCCCCTGCCCTCGATCCACAGGGGCTGAAGGGATGTCTGGCCCAGAGACACAGGGCCTGCCCCTGGAGCCTACGCTGCGGCCTTTCCCACACAACCCACTGCCCACCAACTGCCCACCCCACGTAGGGGACATGGAGGAGGCTGAGGGCCCAGTGGCTGTGGGTTGTGGGGCCAGGCTGTTAGCTTTTCTAAAGGGAGGGATAAAACAGCATCTGGGCAGAAGGATCAGCCCCCTGGGCAGACAGGTGAAGTATGCTGGGGCCCACGTCTCACCAGCCCCGCCGAGGCCACGGAGAGAGGAGGGGCAGGAGGCAGCTGTTGTGCCAAGAAAGAAGGGGTGTCGGCAGCCGAGAGAGCCCCCACCACGCCAAGAAGAAACAGGGTGCCAGCAGCGTGGGGAGCCCCCCCACACCAAGAAGAAAGGGGGTGCCGGCAGCCGGAGGAGCCCCCGCCACACCAAGTGTGCCCTGGGCCACCTGAAGAAAGGCAGGGCCTCGTTCCAGGGAGTCTCTGTGAGCAGAGTGTAGCCTGGGCATTTGCTTTCCTGCTGGAGTGAGACGAGGAGGGTGGAGTGACGTGGGCAAGTGGCGGCAGGGCCACCCGGTCAGACCTTCCTGTGTTACACCGCAGGGTCACCCTCCTCCTCCTGCTGTCGGCGCTCGGAGCTCCCCAGCCTTGCTTCGCTCATCTGAGCAATGGGTTTCGGCACAGGGCTGGGGAGAGTCTGCTACCTGCCAGGAAGGGACCTGAAGGGACCTGAAGGGCCCTGGGGCAAGGCGGGCGCCTCGGCACTCACCACGGAGGCAGTCTGCAGGCCCGCATAGACGCTCCTCTCCAGCTTGCTTCGCTTCTTCGCAGGCTCGCCCCCACTGCCTCCTCGCAGCTCCGCACACAGCAGACCCAGGCTTGTCCGCACCGCCCTGGGGGCATGGGGTGGTGGGTGCAGGGCAGATGCAGGCCCGGCCGCCCCAGCCTTGTCCCCCTACTGTCTCTGTAGTGGGTCACACTGTGGGTCACCCTCCTCCAAGGGCCCCACGTCTCGGGCAGACAGAGCAGGGGGTGAGGGGCCCCGGGGGCCGAGCCAGCTCTGACCTCCTCTGAGCACCTGCCTGCAGCCAGCCCCTCTGCCTGCCAACCACCGGCCCTCAGCAGTCCCTATATCCTCAAATCCGCCCCATCCCCCACTTGGCTATACTGGAAGTGGGCACGCTTCTGTTACCCAAATCCCATCCTTCCAGCCTGATAGGAAGGAACGCCCTGGCAGTGCTGTCTGGTCCTAGCCACAGTGACCCAGAGGCCAGGTGTCGGGGGCTGGGGCCGGTGAGGGCTCTGAGGGGCCGCCCAGTGCTCAGGAGCCAGGGCTCTGCTGCTACTGGGGCCTGAGTGGGGCTGCAGCCCCAGCCTTGGCACCTGGAACAAGGGACAGCCACACATGTGCCTGTCTGAGTCTGGGGCAGGGCTTATGCAGGCCGGGCCCGGCCCTTGGCGGGTGTTCAGGGCCTGATACTACCACCCTTAGGAGTGGGGCAGGCACCGGGCAGGTTTGTGAGAACTGCACCCACATTTCCGCCACAGCTGGAAGAGGACGTGCCAACCGGAGTCCCACCAGGGGCGGGGGTAGGGGCAGGTGGGTGGGGTGGGGTGGGGGCGGTGTCCAGAGAAGCCTGGGCTTTCCCCTGAGTCCCCAGGGACCCCGTTGCCGGGCTCAGGCCCTCTCAGGAGCCCATTCTGTCCTCCACGCGGGTCTTAAGGATGGAATTCTGCATCCCTGGCCCCTCCCAGATGGAGCCCTGGACACTGCGGAGGCTGAGCCTCAGTATTCCCCATGCCCCAGAGCTGTGCTGTCCCCCAGGCTGGGAGCTGGGGCAGAAGTCAACTCCAGCCTACATGGGCCCAGCAGCTACCTCCAGATGCCCCAAAACAGGTCCCACCTGATCCCCCCACATCCTGGGCTCCCCCTCTTGTGTGGGTGACCCACCCTCCCCAGAACCTCCCACTGCCCCATTTCACATGGAGAAGCCAAGGCTTGGGGAGTCTCTCTGCCTGTTCTTGGCTAGACAGGGGCTGGGGGCTTGGCCTCTCACCTTTCAACCCCCACCTGCCCACAGGTGCAAAGGGATACCCAGCTGCTCATGAAAATGAATCCCAGATGGAGACAAAGAGCCCTGCCTGGCCCTGGCCTGGCGTGGCCGGATGTCCCTTTCCACCTTCCTGCTCACAGAGGAGGCTGGGCTTCTGAGGCCTGAGGGGCCAGGCAGGAAGCCATGGGCCACAAGGCACCCCTGGGCCCCCGCTCCCCGACTTCCTGCATGGTAGAAGGCCCGTCCCGGGGCCAACTGCCTCTGCCACCACTGCCTGGATGAGTGAGGGCAGGAGGTGGAAGGGTGAGGTGGGGCCCTGACCCTCGGGAAGAGGGGTCCTGGACTCAGTTTCCCTCCCTGTCCTGAGGCTGCTGCCTTCTAGCCAGATCCTGGTTTCCAGGGGCCCTGTCCTGCCCAGCAGTTCCCACAGTGCTGGCTGGTTCTCAAAGGGAGACCCCAGGAGACCCCCCCCCAGGAGACACCTGGGCAGGGCAGGGGCAGCTCTGGGGGGGGGCAGCCATATGGTGACCCCTCCACTGCCCACAGCCACACAGCCCCTCCCCGTAACCTTCTCTGCATTTGCTAATGTTTTGTGACATGAAGCCCTGAGATTAATTTTTTGCCTGTCTTAATTGAAGGAACCATTTAGTGCCGATTTAACTATTATTACCAAATCATCAGGATTGATGCAGTGCGCACACGCACGCGCCAATCGTGTTTGGAGGAGCTCGGAGGATTTATGCAAATGGGCCTGCCGGGAGAGGCAATTTGTAGCCGAGAAGGACAATTATACCAGGCCCGGGAGTGCGCCAACGACTGCGCCGGGCGGGTAATGGATAATAACATCGCGCCGGCAGCCGTGAGCAGCTCCACAGCGTGACCAACGACTTTATACAGTGCAGATAAAGAGGCCTGCACGCAACACCGCCTCACACTCCAGGGGGGCCGGGCGGGGACGATGCCACAGCCAGGTGTGCAGAGCCGGCGTGGCTGGGCCTGGGGGCCGTGACTTCCAGAGGGGGACCCGGGCCAGGGTGGTGCTGGGAGCTGCCAGAAGGGCAAAGCCTGTCTGGAGCAGGGCTCTGTCTGCTGGTCACTCTCGATGGTCTAGGAAGGGCAGGGCCAGGCCTTCAGAGTAGGTGTGAAGGGGCACCAGCAGCCTGGAAGCCTCAGGGGAGCCTGGACCCTGCTCCCCAGCCTCGAGGGCCCAGGGCCGGCCACACGCGCCCTGCCATGCCAGTGCCCAGGACTCACTTGACTTTCTTGCCATCGCTCCTGGGGAGCGGCCCCGTGGGACGTGGGGCAGGCAGCGAGCTTGAGTGTTTGCGCTTCCTCGGCCGGCCAGGCCCCCGCCGTGCAGGGCTCCGTGAACTCTCGTCTCTCCTGGGGGCCGCAGGGGGGATGGTCAGAGGCTCATGCACAACCCAGCTCCCCGACAAGGTTCCAGCCGAGGGCATTGGCCTTCGAGGGCTACTGGGTGTGGGGAAAGATGCGGCCCAGACTCGGCCTGGGGAGCCTGACCCCTCACGCAGAGGGCAAGGCCAGCCAGGGGCCCCCGCCGCCCCCACCTCCTACCATCCACACACACTGGTCAGGTGGTGCCCCTGCCCTTGTTGCAACTGCGGGGTGTCCCCTCCCCCAGAGAATCCCCCAACTTCTGCCCTGGCCCCACAGCACCCCCAGTCCTCCCTACTCCCCCTTCTGCCACTGTCCCCTCACCCGCCACCCTGCGGCCAGCCTCCTGCCACACCAGGCTCTGACAAGCGGCTCTTCCACAGACCCCTGGCCCTGCCACTTGGTCTCGCTGCTGGCCGAATGCCTCCCTCCTTGGGCCCCACTGCCTCTGGGGGGCCTCCCCGATGGACCCTGGTGTCTGCCCACAGGTAGGGGGCAGAGCCCAATCCTGGCCTGTTCCCACATCGGCCCCAGCACTGTGGGCGCCTCCCGGGGGTGGGGGTGCTGCGACCCTCCCAGGCCCCCCCGCCACGCCAGGCGTACTCATGGTCGTGCTTGCGCTGCAGGCGGGCCAGCTCCCGCTGCTTCTCCTTGTAGCGCCGCTGCAGCTCCGCCAGCCGCACGCGCATCCCCACCTCCTGCGTGTCCAGCCGGTCGATGGCGGCCTTCAGGGGGCACACCTGGTGGGGGGGGCACAGGGGCCTGTGAGCCGGGCCAGGGCCCAGGCTGGGGCTCTGTGGCAACGCACTGGGCGACGTGGGCACTGGGACCTCCACTCACAGGCTTGGTCTTGGGGGTCCAGGTGTCCTTGCGCTGCAGGATCTGCATGCGGGGGGTGAGCCTGGGGCCGCTGCAGGGGTTGGCTGTGGGCGGCTGCGCTGGGGCAGTGGAGCTGTCCAGGCCAGCGGCCTCCACCAGGGACCAGGCTGTGGCCAGCGTGGCCAGGTGCTGCAGGTTGAAGGCTAGCACGTCCTCTTCCTCCTCTGTGCGGCATGGGAAGGTCAGCATGGGCATAACTGGGCACACACTGCCCCTCACAGGCTCTTGATGTCAGCCCTGGCCCCCTGAAGCCACCCAGCCTTGAAGACCGGGATGAGGGTCAGGAGACCGGGAAGAGTGAGGTGGGCACCAGGGCTGACACCCAGCACCCCTGTTTTGCTGCATGCTGGGGAGACACTCCCTTGGTGGTAAGGCAGGGCCAGCTGGGAGGACCCACGGGGCAGGGTCCTCTGTGTCACAGAGCAAGACAGGCCCCAAAGCATCGAAGTAAAAGCAATCTGCTCGTTACAGCTTCTAACAGAAACGCCTGTGTGTCCCCCCACCGGGGGGGCCCTGCTTCGAACGGCAGCCCTGGGAAGGGATACTCTGGGGCCCTCAGAGACACAGGCAGTGCTACGAGAGCCCACTGAGGCCTCGTGCACGGAAGCTGCTGAAGTTCAACCGAGTTGAATGCTGTGGCTCAAGCCTGCGGTTCCAACAGGCGTCTGTCTACGTGGCTTCAACCAAGTTCAAAGTCACGCGGAGAGATGGCTTTGGAACCAGGGGCTTCAGCACCTGGGCATCACTCCATCCAGGTGGTGGAGGCTGGCGTCCCCCAGCAGCTAAGACCTGCCATTGCCTGTCCATCTGCCCATCAGTCCTTCCGTCCACTCGCCTGTGTGGACACCTAAAGAGCAATGGCTGCAGGGAGGCCAGTGGTCAGTGCAGAGGGAGGGGACAAGTCCCCTCGATACCTTTAAATTTGAGACAGGGTCTCGCTTTATTGCCTGGGCTGGAGTGTGGTGGCTCCATCACGGCTCACTGCAACCTCGAACTCCTGGGCTCCAGTACCCTCCCACCTCAGCTTCCTGGGTAGCTGGGACCCCAGGCCCTCGATTCCTTGTGAGGAGGGCAGCGGGCAGGGGTTTCTGGATGCAGTCTCATCTGCTGTGACCCTTCTCAGAGGAGCAGCCACCATTCCTCCATCCTCCCTCAGAGCACCAAATCCCTGCCCCTGCCCGGTCTCTGAACACAGTGCTGGGCTCTGCCAAGCCCTTTCCAGCACGCTCCAGCCCTGGGGCAGGCAGGAGGGCCATGGGCTGAACACAGGTCAGGAGGAAGGGGCTGCCAGGGCCGCATCCTCTGGGACCTCAACCTGGGGGCAGGGACAGGGGAGCTACCCTCACAGTGACCGCAGGAACAGCGGCAGCCCAACAGCCCAGGCAGTGGCCTGGGGAAGGGATGGCCCATCTTGGGGTCAGAGCATGGGCCAGCAGAGGCTGGCGTCCATGCAGGGTCGGGCCCAGGTTGGGGACTCAGGGCCTGAGTAGGGGAAGCCAGCCCTGAGGGCTGACCACAGAGACCAGGAACGGGGTCCCCATGGGCTGATCCCACAAGGACATCCAGCAGGAGACAGGAGCCAGACACCTTGCGGTGGGGGTGGGTGGTGATGGCCAGGAAGGCAGGAGAACTGCGGAACCCCTGTGGGGTGAGTAGAGGTGCTGGTATCCCCTGGGAAAGCCCAGGAGCAACGATAACCTCACAGCAACGAGCACCCCAAACCTAGTCTCTGCCTCAGAACCCCACGCTCCACTTAACGGACCGGGGCTCCCCAGAGATATGGCTCATCTCAGCCAGAAGCAGGAGTGCGGGAGAACCCCATCCACGATGGGACAAATCAGCGCCTGACAGCTGGGGCACGCACCTGAGATTCCACCAAAGGCACTGACCTGAGCGCCCAGGCTGGGGCACTCCATGGTGCGTGGCTGCTTCCCTCCTCAAGTATGGGGAGGGCCAGGGGGCCACAAGCCCAGACCAAGGGTTGATCCATCCCCAGAAGTCATTACTAAGAAGCCAGGAGGTGCTCGGAGGGGCAGATGCTGGGGTGCAAAGCTCTGGACCGAGACCACAGATCTGATGGGGACCAAGGGAACACTCAGGCTGCTGGGTCCAGGATCCGCAGGGAATGGGAGGGGGAGAGAGGGCCGAGGGGGGGTGGGCTGAGCAGCTGCTGCCATCAGCAGCCGGGGAGGCACATCTGCAGGCCCCTTCCACTGAAGGCCCCAGGTCTCCTGGGGTCACTGCAGTTGGCCAGAAGCCCCTCTGTGCCTCCCCTGCCCTTGCAGGCTACAGGCGTGTGGCTCCCACGTGGCCTCACCCAGATGGTTCTGCCAGTCCTGGGGGCTCTATGCTTGCCCGGCCCCGATGGTGGGGGCTTTTTCTCCACTTCCCCCTCTGCAAATCTTGCTGTCTGGCACAGGACAAAACCAACCTCCTAATTAATTTCAATTGAAGTGATCGCTACACTTGTAGGGATCAGCTCTGAGCCCAGCAGCTGCAGAGACCTGCCCATTAACGGGGACAAGGGGAGGGCAGGGGCAGGGGTGGGGGCCCAGGGGGGGACCATGAGGTGGAGACCCGGAGGGCAGAGCTGGCCCTGACTCCACTTCTGCACACCCTGGGGATTGGGACACCTGGCCTGGCCGGAGTGTGACGACATCCATGCTGGGTTAAGCCACATGGCCCACCACCCGGGACACGTGGTCTACACATGAGTATTCATGCAGTGAACGGGCTCCTGTCCTGCAGGCATTCACACAGGCAGACCGGCCACTCTGGCCATACACACGGGACCTGCTATCTACTGACGCCTCCTCATGCTGCCAGGTGAGGGTCCCTGAGACCCTCCCACGGCGGGTCCCTGGCAGCTCAGGCCCTGCCCCAAGGTGCCTCCACCTCGCCCTATCTAACTTCTCATATATTGCCAGCTGGAGGCCCAAGGGAGGGCCTCTGGGGGGTCCAGGTGGAGCCCACCCTGGTAGGACTCCAAGCTTCCTCAAACCCTCTGCACAGCCCCACCCAGAAGCAGGGACTCTGGGCCAGATACCCCCGAGGGCAGGCAGCTCCCAGCACTGCGGAACCACCCCTGCCGCGTGCGGGCCAGCAGCCTCATCCAGCACAGGGTGACCACGGGCCCCTGGGGAAATGCACTGTTCGAGAACATTCTCTTCATCGCGGTGGTGAGCTTTATGCATCCAGAAAGCAGCGGCCGAGCCCTGAAGACTGTCAGCTTCGTGCTATCAACAACCACGGCGCCGTGCCCGGCTGGGGGACGCCCTCCACCCCGGGGCTTTCTCTGGGGCCCACAGGGAAGACGGCAGGAAGCGGGCGCTTTCCCGGGAGCACTGGACCGCAGGGAGTGCCCGGACCAAGGCCCAGGGTGGACGAAGCAGACACCTGGCCCTCGGGTGTCCCAGGTGCTCTGGACCCGCCCACTGTTGTCCGGCTGTCCTTGGGGCCCCTGGGTGGGCGGAAGAGCCCAGGAGCTCCCAGTCCCATAGGCCTCCCTGCAGCAGGAGCCCCAGCCTCCTGCCCCCTCCCCTGGGCCTGAAGCGGGGAGCCGACGGTTCCTGAACTGGACCCCCCAGGCCAGGGTAGCAGCCGTGGAGGCTGAGGAGGTGGAGGCCTGGCAGAGCAGGAGGCAGGCGGCAGGCTCTCCTCTCCCCTTGCCAGGACGCGAGCCCCTGTTCAGCCACTTCCAACAGGAGGTGCTGCCCGAGAGGCCCTTCCTCTGAGACCACCATGGAGGTTAGTCCTGCTCCCAGGGCCCCACCTGGGACGGAGAGATTCGGAGATGGCACACCTGCCTCGGACTTCCATGGACGAGGGACGGCAAGGGGAGGCGGACACTCTCCAGGGGACCTACCACACTTTGGGGACAACTGAGCGGGGCCCAAGGCTGCCGTCTGGCCAGGTGACCCTGAGGCAGGCGTGTGGGTCCCACTGCTGGGACTCTGGGGGGTGGCGGCAACCACCGGGCTTACCTGGCACAGTCCTCTCACTCCTCTGCCGCTGGATTGCCAGGTCAGCCAGCTCGCTGAGCAGAGCGATCCCATGAATCCCTGAGCTATGAGGCAGGGGGACTGTGCTGGGGGGCCCAGAGGCCGCTGGGGGCTGAGGGTCCGGTGGGCTGTCGCTGGGCAGGTCCCCCAGGTTGATGGTGGCGGCCACCAAGGCATCCAGGCCTGGTAGCGCCCTGGGTGGGTGGCTGTTGTCGGGAGCTCCGCCACAGTCCTCCTCTGAGTCCTCCATGCTCTGCTGCCCCAGCTCGTCTTCCTCCAGCTCGTCCTCCTCAGGGGCCGGCTGCTCCCCCTCGTCCTCAAGGGCACCCGGACTCCCTGCTCGCTGCTCCAGGACTTGGGAGGAGGCCCCTGACGAGGGCCCCTGCTCCCCCTCCTCCCTGCTCCTCTCTTCTCGTGCCCCTCCCTGAGTAGAATGAGCCTGGCCGGTGGCCTCGGGGCCCCCTGCCTCCAGGAGGGCCGCACATTGCAGTTCTTGTAGCCCCTCTAGTGGGCTGGGGTCCGCTGCCTTCCCCTGGGGTCCCCGCTCGGTAGGGTAGGGGGTGGCGGCAAGGTCCTGGGTGGCCTCCCTGGCCCCTGAGAGCAGCCCGGGCTCCTCCAGGCTCCTGGGGCTGCAGGGAGGCGGCTCCCCAGGCAGGAATGTCCTTGTGGGCTCAGGCTGGGCCCCCGGGGCGGTGGTTTGCATAGTTTCAGGGTCCTCGAGGTTAGAAGAGTGCACGTCTGAGGGTAGGGAGAAGCCCAGGCCAGCCATGGGGCGCAGGTATCCGGGAGGCAGGTCTGCAAAGGAGGGGACAGGTCAGCAGGGAGCTGGGAGTGGTGGTGAGGGGGTGTCCTGCGATAGGACGGAGGACAGTGGCCTCGAACCCTCAGACCCAAGCCCGTGCGGAAGGGCCCTGGGCTAGCTGCAGGTCTGCAAGACTGGTGGCGGGGAAAGGGTTACGTTAATTAAGGGGGCAACCTGGCTGGGTGCAGTAGCTCACACCTGTAATCCCAAAACTTTGGGAGGCTGAGGTGGATGGATCATTTGAGGCCAGGAATTCGAGACCAGCGTGGGCAACAGAGTGAGCACGTGCCACTACAAAAAAATTAAAGAACAATGAGCTGGGCGTGGTGGTGCATGCCTGTGGTCCAAGCTACACAGGAGGCTGAGGTGGGAGGATGGCTTGAGCCCAGGAGGCCGAGGCTGCAGTGAACCATGTTCGCGTCACTGCACTCCAGACTGGGCGACATAGGGAGATACCCTGTCTCAAAAAAAAAAAAAAAAAAAAAAAAAAAAAAAAAAAAAAGGTGTGAGCAGCCTGAGGCCAGGCCCTCATTCCCCTAAAGAGTGGCCTTGAAGCTCCCCCCAACAACCCTGGCTGCCGGGGCTGGGGGTGGCCTCAGGAGCCATCTCTGGCATGGTATGCTGTGGGTAACCAGAAAAGGGGGAATTTGTAAAACATGATGCTTTAATCAGGGTTTTCCCTGAACCAGAACAAGCCGGCAGCATGTCAGAGGCATCATGTCCCATTAACTGCAAAAAAAAGAAAAAAAAAACGAAGGGAAAAAAACGGAAAAACCCTCTGCTAGCTCCATCTCCTGACTGTGAAACTAGGACGGGTTTTATGTTCGCCACACGGTTTCCAGTGTGACCTCTCAGTCCCACTCAGAGAGAATCAAATAGGCTGGTGGGGAGTGGATGGGCGGGTGGCAGGGGCCGAGGCCAGGCCCGAGACCCCCCCACCCAGGCACCCCGCCTCGCTGCCCCTCCCTCTCCCAGCTTTGCTGAGACCCTGAATGGCAGCCTGGTCAAGTCCCATGCCCAGTGCCCCCAGGGTGCCAGTACCACCACCAGCAGGCCCCGCCTTCATTGCTGGAGGGCCCCTACGACAGCCAGCGGGACCCCGTCTTCCTCCCGCCTTCGTCAGCCCACGGCCAGGAAGGGGGCGGCTGGGGCACTGTGTGCTTCTCCCAAGGTCATTGGGAGGACTGGGAAGAGGGAAGAGAGAGGAAGGGAACAGCCATGCTGCCCTGGGTCTGGGCAGGTGTGGCGCCTCCCTGCAGGCAGCCCGGATTCAGCGCAGCCCTGCCGGGCAGGGGTGGGAGGGCTTGGAGCGGAGCACAGTGGGCCGGGCCAGGCGGCTACTCTCACCTGGTTCGGATGTGATGATGTCGGCCGTGGACTGCTGACCCTCCCCATTCTTTTCCTCGGCGCTGCGCACCCGGGAGCCAGGCCCGGGGCTGCTGGCAGGGCAGACATTTAAAGTGCACGGGGCGCTGGGCCGAGGTGGTGGGGTGGGGGAGCTGGCGGGGGGCTTTGGGTCGGGCGGATGGCAGCAAGGTGGCAGCTTGGTGGGGCCTGCAGCGGGTGAGGGGGCGCCCGGGGCCGTGGGGGTTAAGGCAACTGGCTTGTGGGTGGACTTTGGGGCCTTCTCCTGGGCGGGCTCCTCCAGATCCAGGTGCTGGTCTTCGGGCTTCCGCTGTCAGGGATGGGGGCAAGCTCGGTCAGGCTCAGGATCCCCTGACCCCAGTGGGCCCCCTGCTTGGGTTCATCCTGCCAGAGGCCAGGCATGCAGGGGTCTCCTGGAGCCAGGTCCGGCCAGGCAGGGTTGGGGAGAAGTGCCCGGCCCAGGTGAGCGTGGCTAGGGGCGGTACCTGGAACTGGGCGGCCCTCTGCTGCTGCAAAGCATAGAGCTCCTGCTGCCGGAGGAGCTGCGGCCTCGAGTACACAGGGAGCTGGCCCGGGTGCTGCATGTGAGAGGCGGGGCCCCGGCCCCCGTACATGGGGGGCCACAGTGACGCCTGGTCCATGACATCCGCTGTGGGCAGGGCCCAGGAGGGGTCAGCCTGGCTGGGGAGGGGACAGCTCCGGGGCTGCTTCCCCGCCACCCTTTCCTCAGCCCACCAAGCCCACCGCTCCCTCCTGAGCCCTGGCCAGCACACCCCCGGCTGCCCCTCCTTCCAACAGCACCCCCCAAGTACAGCAGCCTGGACCAGGGGCCCTTACCAAGTGCGTGGGGGGCGCTGTGGGGTGTGGGCTCTGAGGGCAGGATGACCAGCTGTGTGGGGGCGTCCTGTGGGAGGGGGAAGACAGAGGGCACAGGGCCAGCCACGGAGGCGGGGAAGCCGGGGGGCAGGTTCTGGTGCAGGGCAGGGTGCCCCAGGCCTGGGAGGCAGAGGGCACAGTGGTCAGGCCTCGCACTCTCGGGGACCAGGAGGGAACCCTCATCAGCCCCAGGCCAGCCCCCGCCCTTGGATCACTGACCGTAGGAGTGCCCCCCCATCCACAGGGAGGGGCTGCGGGTGCGGGGCAGCCAGGGGGGATGGGGGTGGGTGTGGGGGGCTGGGTCCCCGCCCAGCTGGCCGCTCTGCATCATGAGGTGGGGGGCCAGGTCCCCAGGGCAGCTGCTCGGTGGGTGGATCCGGGCGAACTCTACGCGGTCTTTGCTGTCCCTGTAAGACCTGGGGCTCAGCCCTGCCGCCGGCGCCAAGGCCCAGCTCCCCATCCCACCCCCGGCCCTTTGTTGTCTCTGTAAGACCTGGGGCTCAGCCCCACCAACGGTGCCAATGCCTGACTCCCTGTCCCACCCCCTGCCATCAACCTGGGAGGGAGAACGGGACCTGGAGGCTCAGGGAAAACCCCAGGCTCCAGCCTCAGTGCTCTGCAGGGCTGACTGGGGGCCATCTCCTGGCCCCTGAAAGTGGGTAACCTGACCGCTGCAAGGGGTTAACTGAGACCCCCAACCCCGGGTGAGACTCCAGAAAGGCTCTAGGGGTGGGGAGAACCCCACCCACGGCCGGCCATAGAATCTGCTGCCCCAGCCATGACCACCCCTCTTTCTCCACGTGGCTCTGAGTGGGGAGCCCCAAGCCCAGGCCTAGCCCCACTCTCCAGGGCCACAGGCCCAGCTCTCACTGCAGCAGCAGCTCGCGGCTGGCAAGCCCCAGGCGGTCATCACATAGCCTCGTCCTCTCCTCCTCAGCCTCCAGGTCCAGCGCGTGTGTGGAACGGGGCCCACCGCCACCTGCACAGGGTCGAGACAGCAGACGGGAGAGGGTTGGGGCGGCCAGGGAGCCACCAGCTAAGGCAAGCAGTGACCCCGCTTCGAGCTGGGGGGCCTGATGCACTGAGGAGGATCCCCTGGTCCTGGGGCCTCGGAGGGTCTGCCAAGGGCAGGTGTGGGAGCTGGGGAGCCGGGGCGCAGGGCAGGGCCAGCTGGGCCCCCTAGACTGTCCCGGCCTGCCTCCCTCTCTGTGCAGGGCCTGTACCTTTGAAGGCGGGGGCGGCCCGGCCCTGCCGCGCAGTGTTGGTGCCGTAGGCTGCCTCAGACCGGCTCACTGTGTCCTTCTGCCGGGCCAAGGCCACTGCAATGCCCACAGGGGGCTGCCGCACCTCCCCGTCGCCGTGCGTGGTGTCGTGCTCCCTGCTGCGGGCACAGTCCGGCCTCTCCGACTGGCCTGGGCCCTTAGAGGACAGGAACTTTGCTTCCTGCTGGATGCAGCTGGCCTTGAGGCCACCCAGGCCCACCAAGGGTGCTTTCTGGCCCACCACCAGGGCCTGGCTGCTGTATTTGAGCAGGTTCTTCATGGCTGAGACCTCGTCCGGCGGCGCAGGCAGTTCCTGGGGCAGAAGAGCCGCCTGCTGCAGGCCACTGCCAAAGGGGTCCAGGTAGGCGCCAGCCTTGCGCTCCTCGCTGATGGCCATGGCGGTGCCCTGGCCTGCCTGGACACCCCATGGGGGCAGGTGGGGCCCACTGTAGCCCAGGGATGCCAGCTCCAGGGACTTGCGCTTGGCCTCAGCCCCAATGCCCCCCTGCTCCACCTCGGCGGCCATCAAGTGCTGCTGGTGCCTGATGCGGGCCACCTTCTGTGCCCCTGGGGGGCCGGCCGGGGCTTCCTTGCCAACAGTCTTATCTAAAGTGCAGCAGGCCTGGGGGGCCTTCCCGCCCAGCGGGTCCTGGTGACCAGGCCGGGCACAGTCCTGTGAAGAGGTGGGCAACTCGAAGTAGCCGCTTTTGTCCAGACCGCTTTTAGGGAGTCCGGGGAAGGAGGCCTCGGGGCCTGCGCTGCTGAGATAGTCGAGGCCCTTTAGCCGGGGGTTGAGGGCCGCCTCAAAGCCCCCAGGCCGCCGCTCGCCCTTGCCCTCGGCCTTCAGGTGGGCATAGGAGACTCCATAGGGTGCAGCGTGGTCGGGGGCCATGGTTCCCTCCAGGTGCCGGTCCTTGCCCTCCCCTGCCACGGCACAGGCCTCGGCGGCCTGGAAGGGGCGGCCCTTGTCGGCCAGGTGTCCCACAGAAGGCACGAAGGTGGGCCCGCTGGCCTTTAGGTCCCGGGGGGCTTTGTCCTGCAGCGGGCAGAGCCCGTCAGGGCCCCCGTGCAGCTGCAGGCAGGGGAAGGAGCCGGCGGCTGTGCTGAGGGGCGGGGGTGGCCCGGCGTAGGATGCGGTGTGGTGTAGCATCTGCCGCCGCTCCAGGCACTCGCTGAAGGCCGGCCCGGGCTCCGGGGGGCCTGCTGCCTCCTTTGCACAGCGCCCGGAGGTCACCACCCCCGTGCCAGGCCGCCCCAGCATGCCCCCTGCACAGCTGGCTAGCGCAGCCCTGCCCATCTCGCCGTTGAGCACCTTGGTGTTGAGGAGGCAGGAGGTGAGGTGCTTGGGGCGGCCCTCGCAGGCCCCTCGGGGTGCGGGGCCGCCCTCCCTGCAG